>NC_000010.11:132294908-132643798 GCF_000001405.40 Homo sapiens | reverse complement strand
GCTGTGGGCATAGTGGCGCAGGGCTGGGCACAGGAACCGACGCTGGCTTTTGCTTCTATGCCAGAGCTCCTGGCCTTGGTCACAGCACCTCGAATGCACCAGCAGAATTAGTAACTCACAGCATCCTCAGACCTGGGCCAGGCTGATGCTTTTATGCCCTTTGACTTCCTCTCATGCCCCGTCCCTTCACCATTCCTGCTAGGTCTCAGAATCCAAACACTAAGCTGCCCGTCCTAAGACAACATATTTATTACACTTATAGGTTATTTAATTTAATTTTATTTCATTTAATTTCATTTGAGACAGGGTCTCACTCTGTTGCCCAGGCTGGAGTACAGTAGTGTGATCATAGCTCACAGCAGCCTCCAACTCCTGGGCTCGAGTGATCTCCCACCTCAGCCTCCCAAAGTGCTGGGACTACAGGTGTGAGTCCCCACATCTGGCCTCAAAATCCTTCAGGCCCGTGACTTTTCTCACTAGACTGCCTCAACTCCTGTACCACCCAGAGAAAGACAGTGGCAGTAGTACAATATTCAGTGATAACTTGGATGTGTTTAGGTTTATTTTGTGCCTTTCTTAGTCTTTAATAGTTGAATTCCTTCTATATACTAGCAGAGCTAACTGATTAAACCATACCTCTATGGGAGAAAAAAACCCCCCTATATTCAATATATCTTAATTGGTCAACCCAATGACCTTGCTAATTAATAGTATTTGAAACTAAATTTTAACAAATCACTAAGTTTAAATAAACAACTGAGGAAAATGACTCCTCTCTCCGTGACATTCATTTAAAGTCAACATCTCCCACAGAGCGACCTGGCAACACCTGCTTTGTACTGGACGGAACGTGAGCTCAGCTACGTCAACAGCACATACTCTCAGTTTCCCCAAGCTGGCAAGATTTCAAGCACGTGACAGAAAAGCAGGATGATGAAGAGTTATGACATGTAAAATTACCACTGCGCTTCATCGGCAGGTCTTTATCCCCACGTGCGGCCGCCCCTCCACATGGACAGTTGGGTCAGAAGTCTTACGTATATATTTTCATGCAGTTATTGACAAACGGTCCCACTAATTTAAAGCGGGACAGCTTGGTTTCTCTCAACAGCAAGTGTACGTGACATGGATGAGCTCCTCAGCAAAGCCCAACAAAGGCCAGGCCTGCTCAAACAGAGGGGACCCCTGCTCCCGGAGTGACAGGGGAGGAGAGGGGGCTGCGACGCACACAGCTCTGTAGGCAAACGCCATCACAAGAAAAGATGTGTCCTCAGATTCCAACGACCCCACGGATAACTAGATTTTACAGCATTTCCTGGGCTGTCACGGCAGGAGTAAGGCGGTGGAGAAACTGCAGCTATGCTGGCATAGCCACCACATCAGGGGCCCCGGAACGCCAGACGCACAGTGAGACACAGCCCTGATGCGAGAGGATGGCCGGCGAACCGCGTGGAGAAGAACCGAGGACACCAGGGCTTCTCAGATGTCGTCCCCAGCCCGCCGGACACTGCACAGAGCAAGTGCTGCACGCTGGGGCTCTGCTGCTGCCCCTCTGCTGGAAACGCCTCCACCCACTCCCACGCCCCAGGCCTCCTCTGCAGATGGGCTCCAGGCTGTCCCCAGACCGCAGACGGGCTCCAGGCTGTCCCCAGACCGCAGACGAGCTCCAGGCTGTTCCCAGAAGGCCGCCCCTTCCCGCTGGACTCCCAGATGGCTTTGTGAACCTCCTTTTCTTCTGTGGTCACAGGCTGCTCTCCACATCCCCTCCCACTGGACCATGAGCCCTGAACCGTGATGCGCCAGCACTGGTCCACACTGGGGAGCCCTGCTGGTGTGCTCCACACCCTGACCATGCACAGGGGTGATGACGCCCTCAAAGCTGAAGTGAGAGGACGCTTCAGAAACACAGAATGTTGCATCAGGAGAAGCCCGGGGTTCCCACACATCTGCAACAGGTTATGGAGATGGGTACCCCAAACAGACGAAAGGCCACACTTCCTTTGAAAACCAAGTTATCAAAATGATAAGATCTTTACCATGAGAAGTTTCAGAAGAAAAGCAATGAACGACTATAGAAAAGAGCAGGGCACTGAATGGCAGCAGATGATGCTATTGTTCCTCCACACCCACAAATCAAACTACCTCCACGCACAGTTTACAACACGGGGCCCTTGCGAAGCTGTGCTGGAACAGACTGCAGGTGAGTTAACACCCAGTCCCTGGAGCTTCTGCTGAAAGACTGGGCTCAGAAAATCGCCCTCTGGCACGGGGTCGTCTCACTCCACAAAGGCACAGGCAAACTGTCTGAGGAATTCATGAAGGAGAAGGAAGACATCCTGGTTAGATCTATCCGGATAGCTGGACTAGTTAGCTGTATGGAGAAATATAACTTCACATATTATAAACTCCATCTAGGAGACAGAATTATGGTCTAGAATGGATCGGCACAACAAGAAAGTTTATATCCATGAGTACATAATGAGCCTGAGAGTCTCCAGGCATTGGTCATCTTGAAATCAGGGTGTTATTTTAAATCCCGACATTGTTTGGAAAACTGGCAAATAAGGGGAATGGAGCAACGTGTTATCCTGCCTTTCTTGGACAAACAGTGTCTCTGGAAAAGCACAGGGGACACAGTCCCTCTTTACAGAAACACTCCTACCAAAAAGTGAAAAAGAAATGGTAGAATTAGAATACAGCCATTTTACAATTCTTAATGACGCAGTGAATCGAGGCAGTGAACACCAGCAGCTGCTAATACCACAAAGAGACACAGACAGAGGGGTGAACAGAGTACATGCCTCCCGATGAAAGCTGTAACGCCATGGCAGAGCATCCCGGCGGAAAAACTGAACCCACGTCGGATCTCGACGGAGGCCGATTCCAGGAAATGGGAGACAGCACGCTGAGCACAGCCACAGGACACCTCCAGCCACAGGACCACGGACACTGTGTGGGGGACACTGGATGCCTTCCACAGATAAGTGCTGGCAAAGAGGGGCAAAGAAGAACAGGAAACGGCCGAGAGAAAAGAAGGTATACAGAGACACGCATCAACTAAAAGGCACTACAAGGGCATATCAGCAGGGGCTCCGGTTTTGCCATGGGAGCATGTGGCCCTCGGAGGCCACTGTTCCCGCCGAGGACAACCACACACTACAAACAAAACATGTGCCCGAGGAGGCTGAGAGGTAAAGAGAGGCAGACAGGCAGCGCCGGGAGTCAGAGCCTGGAGAAGTGATACACAGGGCGAGCCTCTTATTCTTTCCCTCTTCGGGCTTTGCCCAAGCCTGGGCCACACTTACGGGAGCAGCAGAATGTGGACCCTACAAATCCAGAGGAAACCCCACCCTCTCTCTGGCCAGAAGAGCAACAGAAAGAAACCCAGGCTAGCCGGACGGTGTGGGGCAACCCTGGAGGGAAGAGCTAGGAAGAGGGAACCCTAAGTCTGTGTATGAAGCCGCTTGAGTCTCCAATAACCCCAAACACACACATGTGTGACAACCCACGTGAGCGAGCAGAGGCTCTGAGCAGTGAGGTGGGCTCTGACCAGCACCCAGCATGAGACTGAGCTTATGGTCTGTACCTCATCAGGGTGAATGCGTGCATGCTGAGAACCGTAAGAAAAGCCAGTGTCTATACAACGCAGCATCCACAATGACCAGGACACAACCCTGAGTTATCGGAATCTGAAAACATGGCCCACATTTAATAGAAAGAATGACAGACAGATGCCACCACTAAGACAACACCAATGCCGGACACAGCAGAGGAAGGTTTTCAAGCAACAACTACAACATGCTCCATGAGGTCAAAGTAAATACTCTTGAAATAAATGAAAAGACAGAAAATTTCAACAGAAACTATAAAGGAGAAACAAATGGAAATTTCAAAAACTAAAAACATTTATACAACATCTAAAATAAATGACCAGAAGAACTCAATGGTAAAATGAAGATGACAGAGAACAGCTGGCAAATCTGAAAATAAGTCAGTAGAAATTACTGAAATCAAAGAACAGAAAGCACAAAGGTTCAGCAAAAGCCAGCAGAGCCTCCAGAAAATGGCATCACATCTACTCTACGCGTAGTCGGAGCAACAGAAGGAGAGGAGAAACAGATGGTGCATGAGAAAAACACTTGGAAAAAACAACGGCCAAAATGTCCCCAAATTTAGTGAAAGACATACATTTACAGATTCTAGAACCTCAGTGAGTGCATAACAAGATAAATTCAAACAAATAACAAGATAAATTCAAAGAAATTCCTATCTAGGCATATCTGTGCCACATTTTATCATAATCAAATTGAGGAAAAACAAAGATGTATTAATAGAAAAAACTTCTGAAACCAACTGGACAGAAGTAACAGAACACACATACAGGAAGGAGTCAACAATTCAAATTACCACGGATTTCTTATCAGGAAACCTGGAGGCCAAAAGACAGTGGAACAAGGCCTTTAAAGTGCTTAAGGAAAAAAAAAAAAAAAGTCAACCCAGAAGTCAGTATCTATTGAAAATATCCCTCAGGAATGAAGGCAAAGGGAAACATTTTCACACAAAAGAAAACTAAGCAAATGTTCCACCAGCAGGTCTGCTGGAAACTGATGGCTGGGCAGGGCTGGAGGGGAATGATCTGGGGGCAGCTTGGATCTCCAAGAATAAGGAAAGGCAGGAAAAATGGGAAGCATCTGGGTAAATATAAAAGATTATATTTTTTCTTCTTGGGTTCTTTAAAATACATAGAATGAGCCTCCAGGGTAGCTGAAGACAGCCTAGTCCCAAAAATTTGCTCCCCAATTTTCTATGTAGGCAGGGGATGTGATATATAATGAATGTAACATATAAACTATGTCATATATATATGTAACTTATATAGAGAGAAAAACCCAAATTGCAGCCTCAGCGTGGCTTGAAGAAAAAGTGGAAGCTGCCAGGCTCAATGGCTCACACCTCTAATCCCAGCAATTTGGGAGGCCGAGGCGGGTGGATCACCTGAGGTCAGAAGTTCGAGACCAGCCTGGCCAACATGGTGAAACCCCGTCTCTACTAAAAATACAAAAATTAGCCAGGCATGGTTGCATACACCTGTGATCCCAGCTACTTGGGAGGCTAAGGCAGGAGAATCACATAAGCCCAAGAGGCAGAGGCTGCAGTGCTCCGAGATTGTGCCACTGCACTCCAGCCTGGGTGACAGAGCGACATTCTGTCTCAAAAAATAAACAAATAAATAAATAAAATAAAATTGGGAGCTACAAATAGCAGTGAATAAAATGAGGAAAAATCCAGACTCCAGAAGGTGATCTCTCGGGCTCCGGGACTGCCCCCGCTGGGGTGTGAGGCTTTGTGAAGCACAAAGGCACAGCAAGAAACACCACAAGAGAGGGAAGGGAGACACCAGGGAAGAGACACACAGAGAGTCAAACACACAGCCAGCAAGTCCGGAGGCTGAAGATTCTGGAAGAGCATCCCAGCACATCCGAGCGTGGGTTGGAACACAAGGCGAGACTTGGAGGCTGCTGTGATGGAAAGTGGGAGGCCCAGCCTAGCAGGACAGCCATGCTTCAAGGGCACTACTGAGACACTACCAACGAAGAAGAGAAAAATATTTCTAAAAAGAGAGAGAAGTAGCAGCCCTGAGTCACCAGGTGGCAAAGGAGAAAGGAAGAAAAGGCAGGAAAAGAGGGACTTGAAAGAGAAAGAGCGCCAGCAAATCAGAGAACGAACAACTCCCAGACCCCAATCACTGCCCAACTTCCAAAGCCAGCGAATGCACTTGGACTTTGCAATACCAACACAAGAGGGTGCTATTAAATTAGGAATCTTGCAAACCCCATACTCCCACTAAAGATGAGCAAAAGGAAGTCCCTACAAAACGGCTGTAAAAAAAAGACAAAAAATTGTACACACACAAACTGAGGAAAACGTGCCCGACCTGAGGAAAACGACCGTGAGGCAGAACAGGACGGGAGCCCACATTGCAGATAAAATCAAATCTACTCAAGCAGTCGAGAATATGAAAAACCACCTCACATCAGAGATGCGAAACTAAAACACAGAATGGACCACTGGGAGAAAGAGACGGAGAGCGCCCATCAACCTCGGGGGCGGCAAAGGCAAAGCACAGAACAGTCATGACAGAGGAGGACAGCCACAGCAGGCGCCAGGAGAGTCACTGGAAGGAAACCCCAACATGGGCATCAAAACCAGAAAAATCCACTGAGAAAGCAAAATCGCACAGAGAAAACAGCGTGAGAGAAAGAAGTGACCGTGGGAGACAGGCAGAGAAGGAGGAACATTTGGAGGATCAGGGACCCAAAGGACACCCGAAACACCTAACATTTAAAACTATAACCCAGGAAAACTTCAAAACAGAAAAAGACCCGCACTTACACACTCACCTGAAACACCTAACATTTAAAACTATAACCCAGGAAAACTTCAAAACAGAAAAAGACCCGCACTTATACACTGAAAGGCTCACTGAATACTTCAGAAAATTAACCCAAAGTAATCAACTCCAAGATTTCAAAGATAAAGATAAGATCCTCATGGCCTCCAGGTAAAAAAGATCAATTAAACAACAGGTGGCTCACGCCTGTAATCCCACCACTTTGGGAGGCCGAGGCAGCGGGCGGATCAACCACAAGGTCAGGAGATCAAGACCATCCTGGCCAACATGGTCAAACCCCGTCTCTACTAAAAATGCAAAAATTAGCTGGGCCTGGTGGCGCACGCTTGTAGTCCTACCTACTTGGGAGGCTGAGGCAGGAGAATCGCTTGAACCCGGGAGGCGGAAGTTTCAGTGAGCTGAGATTGTGCCACTGCACTCCAGCCTGGCGACAGAGCGAGGCTCCATCTCAAAGAGAAAAAAATAAAAATAAAAATAAAATGTAAAGAATCGGACCAGCACCAGTCTCTTCAAACCCAACATACGCACTAAGACGACAACAGAATGACCTTTCCTAAACATCTCAGTGAAATGAGGCCTGAACCAAGGGCGATTTATCCAGCAAAGCATCCTTCAAATTCCAAAACTATACAAAACAGTTTTCAACGTACAAAAATTTGGGAAATTTTGCCCCCATCAGCCCTTTCTGAGGAATCCAGGAAGGCAGGGCTGGTTCTCTTCCATAAATAACCAAATGGACATGGGAGCTCTGTGGTCCCTGCTCAGCAGCGCAAGGGCAGCCCCAAGGGACAGGAGCGACTGGGGGTGGCTGTGCGTCCACAACCTCGATTTCCAAAGGCGTGCAGCAGGCTGGCTTGGGCTGCAAACCAGGGTGGAGGGAGTGCAGTTTGCTGATGCTGAGTTCATTTTTTAAATTTGTATACATGTAAGGGGTACAGTGCAGTTTTGTGACGTGGCTGTTTTGCACAGGGCTAAAGCCAGGGCTTTCAGTGTAACCACCACTCGAATCGTGTGCACACTGTACCCTTAGGTGACTCTCATCCCTCACTCCCATTTAGAAGGGAGAACATGTGGACTGACTTTCTGAGCTGTTTCACGGAAGAAGTAAAGCAAGTTCTATCCACGTTGCTGCAAAAGACGATTTCATTCTTTTTATGGCCGAATATTACATTGCATATATGTGTGTGGTATAGAAAATACACACACACACACACACACACACATTTTGTTTATCCAATAAAGCATTTTTTTGAAATAATATTTCCAACTGGGATTTTCAACGTACACAGATGGAATACATGCCATATAGAAACCTATGTGATTTCAAGATTTCAACATTGCACATGAAGTAGTACAATATTAACTAGCAACCACTTGAATATGCCTTTTTTTTTTTTTTTTTTGTCTTTGAGATAGGATTTCGCTCTGTCACCCAGGCTGAAGTGCTGTGGTGTGATCACAGCTCACTGCAGTCTCCACCTCCCAGGCTTCAGTTATCCTTCTGGCTTAGCCTCCAGCCTCCTGATGCTGGGACAACAGGTGTGCACCACCAAACCCAGCTAATTTTTTTTTTTTTTAAATCTTCGAGAGACAGGGATCTTGCTATGTTGCTCAGGCTGGTCTCAAACTCCTGGCCTCAAGCAACCCTCCCACCTCACCCTCCCAAGTAGCTTTAAAAATATCTTTAAAAAGGGCCGGGCGCAATGGCTCATGCGTGTAATCCCAGCACTTTGGGAGGCTGAGGAGGGCGGGTCACGAGGTCAGGAGATCGAGACCATCCTGGCTAACACAGTGAAACCCCATCTCTACTAAAAATACAAAAAATTAGCCGGGCATGGTGGCGGGCACCTGTAGTCCCAGCTACTCAGGAGGCTGAGGCAGGAGAATGGCATGAACCCGGGAGGCGGAGTTTGCAGTGAGCCAAGATCGCGCCACTGCACTCCAGCCTGGGCAACAGAGCGAGACTCCGTCTCAAAAAAAAAAAAAAAAAAAAAAAAAAATCTTTAAAAAGGCAAACAGCCAATAAAGAAATAAAAATGGAATGCCAAAAAAAATTAAATAATTCAAAAGACAGCAGGAATGAGGGGAAAAGGGTACAAAAACCAGTGTACAAACAGAAAAATAAAAAATGGCAGACCCCAATTCAACCACATCAACAGTTATAACAGGGTTAGTGGTCTAGACTGGCACTGTGTTATCTAGCTGTCACAAGTCAAATGTGGCTATTTAAAAGAAAACGAAATAAATGTTTAAAAACTGAGTTCTTTGACAGCACGAATCACATTTCAAATATGCGCCATCAAAAGCCACAGGTGGCCAGTGGCTGCCATTGTGAATGCCACAGACTGGAACTCTCATCAGGAAGTTCCGTCAGCTGAGGCTGTTCTGGACTTTCCAATTGCAAGGCTGGGAGCTACAGGGTGGATAAAAAACAAGACTGAAGGACACACTGCCTGTAAGAGACACACTTTCAGGATAAAGACACAAACAGACAGAGAGCAAACAGGAAAGCACACACCACACCAGCCATGAGCCTGGGAGGGCTGCGGTGAGCCAGGCAGGGCTGCCGGCCGAGAGCCTGGGAGGGCCACCGTGAGCCGCAGTGGCGGCAACATTCATTGGACCAAGGCTCCAGGAGACGAAGAAGAACATTCGTGATGACCGAGACAACTCTCAGGAAGACAGCACAACCACAAATGTGTATATGGCTAATAACAAAAAACACACTGGGCAGAGGTTGACAGAACAAAGGAGAAACAGACAATCCCACAACCACTGTAGGAGACTTTAGCGCCCTCCCTTGGCACTCAATGGATCTAGACCAACACACACAAGCAGTCAAGATGCAGGACACAGTCAAGCTCCGTGGTCCACTTGGCACGACAGAAAACCACATCTGACACCTGCAGAACACAGAATGCATACTCCTCTCCGTGGCACACTCACCAAGGGAGATGACACGCCTCTCCGGGGCACACCCAAGGGAGATGACATGCCTCTCTGGGGCACACCCACCAAGGGAGATGATACGCCTCTCCGGGGCACACCCACCAAGGGAGATGATACGCCTCTCCGGGGCACACCCACCAAGGGAGATGATACGCCTCTCCGGGGCACACCTGCCAAGGGAGATGACACGCCTCTCCGGGGCACACCCGCCAAGGGAGATGGCACTCCTAACTTCACGAAAGCTACAAAACAATTTCCATCAAAACATCAATTAATTGTAACACATGAACTGTAAAAAACAATTATGAGACAACTGAGAACATCTAAATCCTAACTGGATATTGAATAGGTTGGAATTACTGATCATCTTTTTAGATATAAAGCTACTGTGTAGGGTCTGTATTCTTTGAAATACCTACTGAAATAGTCACGAATGAAGTGATGCACTGTCTGGTTTTTGCTTCAAATGCTCAGGGGTGGGAAGAGCAGGTGGAGGGGTCTGAAGCAGAACTGGCCACGAGCTTCACAGCTGAGCGTGGGTGCTGGGCACGGAAAGGATTCTCTCCATGTTTATATGGGCTTGAAATCGTCACAATAAGTTTGCTGAACGTGCTCACTGTTTAACTAACTCTGTAGGAACAAAACCAGAAACCCAAAAAACACATTCCCTCCAGCCAGCAACACCCAAGGCAGGAGCCCTGGAGCTGCGCAAAGCCACCCCCAGGGCCTTCGAGTGAGTGCCTCTGAACAATGGAAAAATCATGACCTTCTCTGAGGTCTGTGATCTTTCCTGGTCTCATAATGGCAAGGCCAGGGAGAAAAGAGGGAATCTCTGTTTCTTACCAACGTCCTGCTTGGGGATTCAGCTTGAAAACACTTCTGTTTGCCAGCTCTGGAGGAGGTGCGGTGCCCAGGCTCAGACAGTACGAACCCACTCCACGCTTGGGCACCTGCAGTGGCCTCACCAGAGCCGACAGACACGCACATCAGAGACTTCGTTTTAAAACAGATTTAGTCACTGCACAAGGCGAGAAACTCAAAATAGCTCATTTGAAGAGGATGGGTTTTCGTGACCTACTATTGGACATTTTTGGCTAACAGAAAAAAAAATATTTCCTCTGCAAGTGAGTGAAGCTGCAGAATGTACCGGGTAAATGTAAATGCTTCACTGATGAGCAATGACTCCCAACAGCCAGGATTCAAGCACCTCGCCCACTAAAGGGAGCCAGGCAGGGGCTGAGGTCCGGGAGCTCACTACTGAAGCTGATGGGTGGCTAGCACCACCACAAAAGGCAGCCAGGGACAGGGCACCTTTGTTGCAATGTCTTTACCTGACCAAGTAAGCCAGCACCCAGGAGCCCCTGCCCTGGGGACAGAGGCCTCCTCCATGGGGAAGGGAGACAGAACCAGCCCCCCAACTCCCCAGGCAGTGGTGTGCTCGAAAGCTCTCAATACTAGCTCTCCAGGCGAGGCCCTGGGACTGCCCTTCCGAGGTGTGAATGCCCCGCCATGGCCAACGCTAAGCCACCGATGTGGCATCACTGAACCTGGGGTAGGAGAGGTGCTCGGCAAGGCACCATCATTCACACATCAAATACTGTGTGAGTATTTCCCTCACCCAGACACAGAGCTAAATAGTCAAGATCATACGTAACAGTACAATAATTAGGAAGGGATGAGTGTGGGGCATTTATTGCCTTTGGTTTTAATATATTTACTTTATTACAGGTTTATATAATTTGATTTTTAATAATGGCTGCATTTCACACCTGGCTCCCAAGTTCCTGATCAATTCAGTCAGTGCCCATGACAATCTGGGCGGGGTGCAGTGGTGGTGGGTGGAAGTGTGGGCTTTCCAGGAAGCACACCGGGCACGGGCTCCTGCTGGACCCCTTCCTGGCGGGAATTCTGGGGCCTGGTTCCTGCCTCTCAGAGGATCCACTTCGGCACATGCCTTCCTGAGACGGTCGCTGTGAGGTGTCAACAATGCTGGCATCCAGGCTCAGCACAGGCTGGACAGAGTGAGGTGACACCAGCCAGACACAGCTACTCACACCACAGGCGTTGGCCCGTGCCAGAGAGATACAGCCACAGGGGACACAGGCGCCCTGGCATCCGGGAGGACAGGGACACACACAGAGCTCTAGGCAGCTGCAGAAAGCCAAGCAGCTCCCCAGGGCTGGCCTGGGAGCCTCTGCAGCCTGCACGATCCTGGACAAAGATCCCTTCAACAAAACATATTGCTGGACCGCAGAGGATGGACAGGAAAGGCCACGCCACAGTGTCGGACAGCACGCTTGGGTCAGGCCTGGCTGGAAACACACTGCTGCAAAGCACAGATGTGACCGAGTGTCCCCAGGTTACCAGGCAGGGCTGTGAAGAGACACAACCCCCATGGGGGTGCACATCTCCACCCACGAGTCTGAGCTTCTGCTCAGCACTTCACGCCCTGAGTGACAATGACACTGGCATGCGTGACCTTGGAACTATCGGGGAAGTCACGGCCCAAAGCTGTGCATTTTCTTCACCAAAATTCTACAGTGAAAAAGCAGGTGCTCCTACCTTAAAGGAAAAAAGGGCAGTCAATAAAACCACATGGGTTGTTTTATTATAGTGTCCTTGAACTGGATGCTTCATAGGAAGGCCCAGGAAAAATATCTTGGAAAGGCATGGCAAGAAAAAGCACGTTCACCAGCCAAACAAGCAGCACCCTGCTTCTGCCGCGGAGCGGGGCCCAGCACGAAGGGCCCCTGGTTCCCAGGAAACAGGCAGCACAGGCCTGCCCAGGCCACGTCCATCGGCACGGCCAAGACTCGGTGTTAAAAATAGCAACAGCCAGGCCCTGTCAGGCGTTCTCCAAAGAGGAGTATCGGAGTGACCTAAAAAGGAATTACATCCTGCACAGCACCCCAGTGGAAGCCCCATGCCAAGATAAGGCGCGCAGAGGGACACGGGAATTTCTTGATAGAAAAAGGCCACAGTTACTTGCCAACGACGCCTGGAAAACACCCTGTTTAAAATCCCCGCTGCCCACCCTTGCCCTGGGTGGGGGCTCTCCTCTCCAGGTCCCTTCGGGGCTGGGCTGGGCTGCAACGGGTGCTGGGACCCCAGAAAGAGGCCTGTTTGTGACCAACCAGACCCAGGTTCCCACAGGCCCCTGGTCAGACAGCCTCCTCAAGGCGCAGCCGATGGGACCGGCCAGGGCACACGGAGCAGCTGTGTGGGCAGGGGCCTGTTCTTCTCTCCGCCCTGCACACAGGACACCATGAGTTTCCATGACCTCACCGCAGGCAGCCTGGCCAGCCTGTGTGATCTGGAGCTGCCTTTCCTTGGCCCTGCGTGGGGCTGGGCCACCATGGGGAGGGGTGTGGGACCCAGCAGGCCCCACCCAAGCACAGCCTAGAGGTTTTTTGGGGAGACTGTGGGTTCTACCACACTGACCACATGCAGCAGCCTTCCCCCCAGAGATAGGGCAAGTGACTTAAGCAAATCTGCAGATGGAGCCAGAAGCTGCTGCCGGAGACGCCACGGGCAGAGGTGGAAACGCAGGGCTCTAACCCGAACAAAGTCCGGGCTTGGGCCATCGAAGCTCCCACAAATCAGCTCTAGTTTAAGAAGCACGTCCCCCGCCGCCCCCGCCGCCTCCCGGCCCCCACCACCGCACAGGGCAGGGCAAGGTTAAGTCCAGGGTCATGGCAGGTGCGACCGAGGCCCCACCCGCCCCCCACCCTCATGGACACTTTCACTTCACTGATGCCTTCCCCTCATGGATGTCTTCCCCTCATGGATGTCTTCCCCTCATGGATGTCTTCCCCTCATGGATGTCTTCCCCTCATGGACGTCTTCCCCTCATGGACGTCTTCCTCTCATGGATGTCTTCCCCTCATGGACATCTTTCCCTCATGAAAGCCTTTCCCTCATGGATGCCTTTTCCTCAAGGATGGCCTCTCTTCATGTATGCCTTTCCCTAGAGCTTGCCTTCCCCTCAAGGACACCCTCCCCTCATGGGCACCTTTCCCTTATGGACACCATCTCCTCATAGACATCTTTTCCTCAAGGACACCTCCCCTCAAGGACGTCTTTCCCTCATGGAGGCCTTTCCCTAGAGGACACCCTCCCCTCACAGACACATATCCCTGGAGGATGCCTTCCCCTCAAGGATGCCTTCCCCTCATGGACGCCTTCCCCTCATGGACGTCTTCCCCTCATGGACAGCTTTCCCTCATGGACGCCTTCCCCTCATGGACACCTTACCCTCATGGACGCCTTTTCTTCATGGATGGCTTTCCCTCATAGACGCCTTTTCCTGGAGGACATCATCCCCTCATAGATGCCTTTCTGAAGGATGTCTTTCCCTAGAGGGTACCCTATCCTCGAGGACGCCCTCCTCCATGAACACCTTTCCCTCATGGATGCCACCTTCCCCTGGAGGATGCTTTTCCCTCGAGGATGACGTTCCCTCAAGAACGCTTTGCCCTCAAGAACACTCTCCCCTCAAGGACGCCCACCCTTCTTGGATGCCTTCCCCTTATGGACACTTTCCCCTTATGATTGTCTTTCCCTGGAGGGCAGCTTCCCCTGGAGGACACCCTGCCCTTGTGGACACCCCTCCCTCATGGATACCCTCCACTCATGGACCCTCCCTCATGGATGCCTTCCCTGGAGGACAGCTTCCCCGGAGGCCACCTGGCCATCGTGGATGCCATTCCCTTGTGGATACCCACCCCTCATGGATGCTCACGTGTGGAATGCATGTGGAGAACTGCCGCAGCACAGGGCTGTCCGCACAATGCAGAGGGAAGGGCCAAACCACGCAGCAGCAAGTGAACACTCATTCCACAGCCACTAGCACCAACCCTGGAGCCACACTGGAGACTTCCAGAAAAAGAGGGGACACAGAAGAACCTTCTGTTCAGGTCTCCCGTCGCCCCACAGCCAATCTTCCGCTATGCATGCAAATGTAACACAACTCCCTTCAAAGATGTACGATGAGATTTTTATCTTCAGCCACTTTCCTGAGTCACTGAAAGTTCATGAAGACACTGAACAGCTGCAGGGCCCTGGCTCGAGAGGATGGGGCCATTCGTCACCTGAAGTTGAGCAGGCGGGCAGCGCACTGCCCTACAACAGAGCTGGGGTTCCCTCACGTGGAGTCTGTGTTTCTGGAGCTCTTAGGAGGGGAGGGCTGGGGTCAGAGGGCAAGAGCAAGTTTGAGGCCACTGCTGTATAACACCAGGTAGCTTAAAGAGGAACCACCCATCTGCAGTGCTGGGGACACACGTCAGGCAGCCAAATGGACCCACCCTCGGCACCCAGAGGCCAAGAATGGGAATGCCAGGTGCTGCTTCAGCTGTAAGCAAGGAAGGGGCACTACCTGGCAGCCACCTCCCCTCGCTCCTGCCATCTGTGCGGCCACGGCTCAGGGTCAAACACACCCGGTTCTGAAGGCCACACAAAAACAGATAACATGTCTCATTAATAACTGTATACTGATTATATGTTGAAATGATAACATTCTAGATACACTGGGTGAAATAAAATATATTATTAAAATAATTTCACCTATTTCTTTTTGCTTTTTAAAATGTGACTCTTCAAACTTTGAAATGACATATGCACTTTACACACCATTTCTATTGGATGGGGCTGGGCTAGATTCTAAGAGAAGCTTTTGACCATCTTTCTATTGGAATTTTACATGTTCTCTTTCATTTATAAGAGTTCTTTATAAAAATTGTTAAACCAGCCTATTGTTGTTTTTAAAAATATATTCCCAGTCTGCCTTTTAATCACATTTAAACTCTAAGAGCCTAAGAAAAGTCCTGCCAGTTTTATTTACTCGAATCCATCAGTCTTTGCCTCTACAAATTCCTTCAACTATGTGGAGTTTAGAAAAGCCTTCCCCATCCGGAAAGGAAATAAACAGCCATGTTTCCTTCTACGTGTCCCCCACGCCACGCCCCCCCCCCCCCCCGCCACCAGAGCACATCTGGAGGGAGAGGGGGCGGCCACCATAGGGCACAGGGCTCCAGGCCCTCACAGCAGTTAGTGCTTCCTGAATGGTGCTGCCGGCCCGGTGGAATTCACTCTGTCACTCCTCACAGTCATTGCCAGCCATGGGTGCATGCTCACGAGGAAGCGGGGCACGGTGAGGTTACACAGCCCAGAAAGGGGAGCCTCCCATCAGTCTCCTCCCAGGGTCCACGATGGGCTCTCAGCCATGCCGGCCCTTACTGAGCTGGTAGGAATGGGCCTGAGCTGCGTCAGGCAGACAAGGATCACACTGTCTTCCAAAGGAGACCAGACCACTGGCAGGAGGTCTGCTTTTAGAATCTGGTTTGCGGTTAATTTCCACACTTGAGCCTAATCTAATGGTTGCTCTTCACCAAGAGTAGATCCGCAGCTGCTGATCAGAGCGCTGTGCTGTAAACACCCTCCTGGGCAATGGCAACCAGTGAAGACATCAACATCAACAACAAAGTCACCGAGTCAGATTCGCGTCCCTTATCTCCAGTTTCTCTCCACACCCGACGCCGCCACTCCAGCCTGGGCACCTCCCCCACACGGCTCTCTCCACGGCCTCACCCCTCCCGGTTTCCAATACTCCAACCAAAGGTCCTCACAAATCTGTCCGTGGCTGCCGTTACCCTGAGGATGAAGAAAGTCTGAAGCTTTTCACGGGGAAGAGGAGGCCCTGTGGCATCTACCCGTCTGCATCCCCTGTCTCGCCTCTCACTATAATCCCAGCCATCTCACACCCCCAGCCCCGGACCACACTGTGCTCGCTGCTTTCACCACGATTCCTGGAAGGTGTCTTTTTCGGCTCTCACTCCCTCGTTCATTTCACTTGTCATCCGCTGCACGTTGCTGGCAGCTGGGGACACAGAGGGAGTCGGGACAGACCAGGCACTGGCCCTCAAAGCACCCACTTCTGGCAGGGACGCTGCTGGACGAGGCAGCCACCGCGGACAGCTGCACGCATCTTGGGAGCCGCGCCCAGCACCGCCAGCCCCACCGCCCTCCAGACCCACCTGCTCAGCGGCCAGGACAGACCCTCTCAGGACAGGTGTGGAGCCAGCAGCAGCTCCCGGCCCCGGTCTCCCCGTGAAGCCTCCTGGGAGCACCCAAGGTGAGGTATTCCCAGCCTGTCCACCCTCAGCCCCTCCCTCGGTCGGCAGAGGCTCCATCACAAAATGCCACAGACCAGAGAGCCTAAACGAGACACGTATTTCTCCCAGTTCTGGAGCTGTCAGTCTGAGGCCAAGAAGCCGGCCGGTTTGGTTCCTGGTGAGGGTCCTTCCTGGCTCACAGAGCTGCCTCTGCGCCCTGTGGAGAGAGCCTGATCCCGTGTCCCTTCTTGTAAGGGCACCCATCCCATCCGGGGGGCCCACCGCATAACCTCATCTCACCCCATCACCTCCCAAAGGGCCCACCCCCCTCAATACCATTACACTGGGGTCAGAGCACAACCTATGAACTTGGGGGGACACAATTTGGTCTATGACACCCACCCCGCCCCAGTGCCAAGCACAGGACCAAACTACAGCCAAACAGACTCTAGCAGAACACACGACCCTTCGAGGGCAGTGGGGCATGAGCTGGGAGGGCCTCACACGGAGCCAACAAGGGGCCTCCCACAGTCGCCACAGGAACCCCTGCACTGCTGTGAGCTCGGGCTGTCCACAGGGCACAGCAGACTGCTAACGTGTGCATTCCACAGCAAGCCTTGACAATCTGTCTGTAAAGAATCTAAGTGCTGGCTAAAACGAACACCAGAATCCACCTTGTGGATACTGACAGAGGGCTCTTGTGCACACCCACAAAATCTCACTTCAGAACAGAGAGAAAGAATTGCACAGTCTGCGATCTTGAACACGCCAGCTCCCACAACTGTATATTGCTACGAGGCACTTAGCGGTGTCAGGGAGCCGAAAGGCAAAGGACAGCACCAACTGTGAGAGACACATGGAGTGACCAGGACTCCCACCTACTGGCTGCAGGCGTGACCAGGCACCTCACCTGGGCAGCTCCTTGAAGCCTTCAACACACACCCACCCTACAGCCAACAGTCTCCCTGAGGAATGGACCCAGGCAGAATGAAGGCGTGTGTCCCGGGAAGCCTGCGTGTCCACATGCACGGCAGCTTTGTTTAACCAGGCGAACCTGGATATAGCCCAGGTGTCACCAAGGGGAGAGTGGGGAGCGCAGAGTGGGCCCCACACAGCAGGATCCAGGACCAGTGCTCGTGATGACAGCACTGAGCCACAGTGTGTGACAACACGGAACTGGCTCAACACACTAGCACAGGGAAAGCAGGCGGGTGCCGCCACGTTCCCTGGGTCTCAGCGTGTGACGTTCTGGAATGGGAAAAACGGATCTGTGGTACCCGAGGGGCGGGGCAGCAGGGAAGAGGAAGATGGAAATTCCCCATTATGTTGGGGCGGGCACTATACAGGTGTGCGCATTTGTCAAAATCGAAGAAACATGCACCAAAGATCAATATATTTTACTGTGTATAAACTACCTCAAGTTTACAAACACTGTACACACACACACACAAACACACACACACACACACACACACACACACACACACAGAAGTCCTGCCAGCCCTTGCAGAGAAGCAGCCTCAGGTGAGTGGGAAGTTGGGCCAGGCAGGATGGCACCTCCCCCTCCAGAACCCCCTGCTCCGTGCAATGCCCAGGGCCAAGGCACGCCCCTGACCTCAGCCAAAGAAAGGAACTGAGAGTCACAGGGCCCGACCTTGGTCAGGAAGCCTCAGGACTGGCCAGGGGTCACCCCTTGCCCCTGCAGCAGAGGCTCCCATGTCCCCGGGCCTGCCCTTCAGTGCCCCTCAGCCAGCTGCCGGCCAGTCTGAGACCCCTGTGCCTCAAGGGGCTCCCAAAGCCTCCCCTCCTAGTCTCATCTACCCACTCCCCAGCTGGTTTTTCCTGCACCTCCCAGCTCAACTGCTTTCACTGGAATCCTGCCTGGGGTGTGTTTTGGGAGACCTCAAACCAAGACATGAATATTTATTGACTGCCTCCCTCCCTAGCCCAGGCATTGACTCAGAAGCTGGGAAATCATACAGTAATTCAGAAAGACACAGGGCCACAGAAAAAGATCCTGCTGAGAAAGGGGTGTGGGGTGGGATGACAGGAGCGGAGTAGGGAAAGCCTTGGGTTGAGCCACGTGAGGGGGAAGGACAGGGACAGGCAGGGAGCAGAGGTGCCGTCAGAGGGAGCGGTGGCCTGTGCGAGGTCCTGAGATGGCAGAGCAAGGCCAGCTGGAGGGAGGGAAGGAAGGAAGGAGGGAGGGGGAGGGGGGAGGGAGAGAGGGAAGGGGCGGGGCCTCCAAGGCTCAGCCTGTGAGAAAACTGAGGCAGGAGCAGGAGGCCCTGCAACCAACCAAGGAGAGTGGACTGTGGCGTGGGCAGGGTGGCAGCAGGGACAGTGACCAATGCCAGATGCCAGGGAGCCTCTGAGGGTGGCGGGGCAGCACCTGCTGACAGGTGCGATGCCACATGGGAGAAGAGGCAGATGCCACGGTGTGGGCCCTGGCACCGGCGGCATGGAGCTGTGTCAGCCAGGAGGGTGACACTGTGGGGCAGGCCAGGGCGGGGGTGGGGTGTGGAGCAGAGGACGGAGAAGCCCCTCTGGACATTCTAAGTCCGGCAGGCCACAGGGCATCCAGGCAGCTGGAACCAAGAGTCTGGAAGGAAAGGAGGGGTTTGGGTTTGAACAGAAAGGTGGGGAGTCCTGAGCATGTATGGAGGTGCTGAACGGGCAGAGACCACGGCCTACATGCCAGGCACCAAACAGGTGGGAATGGGAGGAACCGCACAGAAGACAGGAGCTGCCAAAGGGAAATGCACATTCCCCAAGTGCAGACACGCCAGTGGGAAGTGCAGACACGCCGGTGGAAGTGCAGACACGCCGGTGGGAAGTGCAGACACGCCGGTGGGAAGTGCAGACACGCTGGTGGGAAGTGCACGTGCCGGTGTGAGGTGCAGGTGTGCTGGTGAGGGCGCGCCGGTGTGAAGCACGGGCATGCCGGTGTGCAAGTGGCACCACAGCCAAAACAGCGAGCTCACACTTCAAACTCCTTCAAAGACCCCAGGCCTCTGTAAGAACCGCTCATCTCTGTGCCCACAGCTCCCCCGCTTCCATGTGACCCAGAAATGGAACCACGCAGCAGAGGCGGGGATCACAGGTGAAGCAGCTGTGAACATTTGCTTCAGGCTTCTGTGCAAACAGGCGCCATCATGTCAGCCGGTGAGCAGGAGCAACGTGCGTGGGTCAGGGGGTGGCCACACGTCCAACTTTATAAGAAATGACAGATTCCCTGATGGCCATAGGGATCTGCAGGGCCAGCAGCAGGCATAGGACTTCCGGTGGCCCTGCGTCTTCATCAACACTGAGTATTGTCAGGGTTTCTGTACTGTTTTTACAGCCAATTGAATTTTAGCCAGTCTAATAGGCACGTACTGATTATGTTGCTGTAATCTGCATTTCCCGAAAGACTACTGAAGCTGAGCACCATCTCAGGCACTTACTTGCCATTTGTATTCTCTTCTTCAGTGAAGTATCTAGTAAAATTTTTCAGTTATTTTAAAATTGGGTTCTTTGCTTTCTTATTATTGGCTTTTCAGAGTTCTTTGTATATTCTAGATACAAGTCCTTCATCAAATATGTAATTTGCAAATATTTTCCTCCAATCTGTGATATGTCTTTTCATTCTTTTCACAGTGTCTTAACAAAGAGCAGAAGTTCCTAATTATGATATATTTGAATTTGCCAATTCTTTTCTTTTATTAATTGTGCTTTTGCTGTTGCATCTAAGAAATCTTTGCCTAATCCAAGGTCAAAAAGATTTTCTCTTAAGTTTCCTTCTAGAACTTTTGTACTTTTTAAGATTTATATTTAGCTCTAAGATCCATTTTGAGTTAATTTTTGTGTATGGTATAAAGTATTAAAATTCTCAACTTTTTGCATATGGATGTCCTATTGTTCCTGCACAATTTGTTGAAAAAAAAAAAAAACTGTTCCTTTCTTTAACAAATTGCCTTTACCCCCTGGTCAATCCTAACTGTATGTGTGAGTCTAGTTCTTAATCTCTTTTCTGTTCCACTGATCTGTATTTCTGTGCTTTTACAAAGAGCACACTGTTGTGATTGCTTCAGCTTTATGGTATGTCTTGAAATCTGAATATAAGCCCCCAAACATTAGTATGTTTTTACTTTTTAACTGTTCTGGCTATTCTAGTTCTTTTGCTTTCCTGTGTATATTTTAGAATAATCTTATAGAGTTCTACAAAAAAAAAATCCTGCTGAGATTTTGGTTGCAACTGCACTAACTCAGTAGATTGGTTAGTGGGGAATTAACATGTCAGCGTAACTGAGTCTTCCAATCCACGAACACGGACGGTATATTTCTCAAGTTCTAACACGTCACCGTAACTGAGTCTTCCAATCCACGAACACGGACGGTATATTTCTCAAGTTCTAACACGTCAGCGTAACTGAGTCTTCCAATCCACGAACGCGGTATATTTCTCAAGTTCTAACACGTCAGCGTAACTGAGTCTTCCAATCCACGAACGCGGTATATTTCTCAAGTTCTAACACGTCAGCGTAACTGAGTCTTCCAATCCACGAACGCGGTATATTTCTCAAGTTCTAACACGTCAGCGTAACTGAGTCTTCCAATCCACGAACGCGGTATATTTCTCAAGTTCTAACACGTCAGCGTAACTGAGTCTTCCAATCCACGAACGCGGTATATTTCTCAAGTTCTAACACGTCAGCGTAACTGAGTCTTCCAATCCACGAACGCGGTATATTTCTCAAGTTCTAACACGTCAGCGTAACTGAGTCTTCCAATCCACGAACGCGGTATATTTCTCAAGTTCTAACACGTCAGCGTAACTGAGTCTTCCAATCCACGAACGCGGTATATTTCTCAAGTTCTAACACGTCAGCGTAACTGAGTCTTCCAATCCACGAACGCGGTATATTTCTCAAGTTCTAACACGTCAGCGTAACTGAGTCTTCCAATCCACGAACGCGGTATATTTCTCAAGTTCTAACACGTCAGCGTAACTGAGTCTTCCAATCCACGAACGCGGTATATTTCTCAAGTTCTAACATGTCAGTGTAACTGAGTCTTCCAATCCATGAACATGGTATATTTCTCAAGTTCTTTATATCTTCTCTGATTCTTTCATCAGTGTTTCAAACTTTTCAGTACAGAGATATTGACATATTTTACCAATTTATACCCAACTATTTCATTTTACTGCTATTGTAAATATTTTTTAAGTCTCCAATTATTGATAGCTAATGTAAACAAGATGTTTTCATACTGACCTTGTATGTTGAAAACTAAATAAATCCACTTAATAGTAATAGTAAAGTTTTATGGATTCCTTCAGTTTTTCTAAATAGTCCACCATGTCTTCTACCAATAAAGTTCTATTTCTTCCTTTCAAATCTGTATGACTTTTGTTTCCTTTTGTGAAAGGAAAATAAACCTTGGGAACACAGAATCACTAAGCCAGTGGGAAAAGTTAAGCTAGGAATTGCGTGAGGCAAACCTGCCTCCTATTTTATTCCTAAATAAGACAGCTACACAGATTTAAAAAAAAAAAAAAAAGACATACCCCCCTCACGATTTTCCCACAAGGTAATTCCTTATGGACAAAGGACAGACAGAACTCAAAGTCATCCCTCTGAGGCTCCTCTGGGACAAACGCATGACTGATGGCTTCCTCTGCCCTACCACTTCACTGAGCCAGACTAAGGCATAAGTGATTATTCCTCTACCCCCTCACATGTAAACTGTGTATTCAGTAAAAGGCTAATCAGAGACTCAAAAGAATATGACCCTTTGTCTCTTATCTACCTGTGACCTGAAAGCCCCCTCCCCTGCTTCAAGCGGTACCACCTTTCCAGAACAAACCAATGTACATGAACACACACTGAGGCCTCATGTCTCCCTAAAATAGATAAAATCAAGCTGTGCCCCAATCGCCTTAGGCAACATCATCAGAACCTCCTGAGGCTGTGCCACAGGAGTATTCTTAACCTTGGCAAAATAAAATTTCTAAATTGGTTGAGACCTGTCTCCAATATGGTGTGTTCACACTTTCTTGCCCTATTGTGCTGGCTAAGTCTTTTAGTACCATACTGCATGGGAGAAGTAAGATCAGGCAGCCTTGCCCTGTTCCCAGTCTTCAGGTAAATAAGCACTTCCTCTATCACAGTTTAAGTGTGGCATGAGCTGTGGGGCTCTGTAGATAGATGCCCTTTACAGGCTGAGAATGCTCTTTTCTATTCCTAGTTTGCTAAGAGTTTTTATCAGAAATGGTTACAGAATTGTGTCAAATGCGTTTTCTGCATCTACTGAGATGATCATATGGCTTTTCTTCCTCAATCAGTTGACATGGTAAATTCTGTTGATTGATTCTTGAATGTTAAACCAGGCTTGCATCCCTTGATTTACAACATTGAAAATAATTTTTGCCTTTATTTTCATGGGGAATGTTGGTTTGAATTTTTCTAATGTTCATATCAAAGAATAATTCAAAAAGTATCATCTGTGACTCAGTCTTCTTCTAAAGGCTCTGTAGAATTTCTGTTGTTTCTTGTTTAAATATAGAATTCACCAGGGAAGCCATCTGGGCTGGGAGGGTTTTTGTGGAAAGGTAATGGGCAAATTTTTAATTGAATAGATATAGGACTATTGAGTTCATTATTTCTTCTTGATACTTTTGTTTTTCAAAAAAAAAAGTTTCTTTCATATAAAATTTCAAGTTTATTGGCATAAATTATATTAATATTCCCATAACCCATGATATGCTTTAGCAAAGAACTTGGCTGCATTCTGTTTATGCTCTAGAGATCAATGGAAATTTGAAGCAAAGAGTGATGATTTAGGGTATCTGATGGAAGAAATTTCTAAGCAGCAAAGTGCTCAAGAAAGATGTGGCCTGGCTGCTTCTAACAGCCTACACTCAGATGTGGGAGCAAAGAAATGACTTACAGTTGGAACTTACATTTAAAAGGGAAGCAGAGCACAAAAGTTTGAAAACTTTGCAGCCTGGCCACATAGCAAAGAAAGAAAAAGCTTTCTCAGGAAAGAAAATCAAAAAGGCTGTAAAGCAACCACTTGCTAGAGATATTTGCATAACTAAAAAGGAGTCGAGTGCCAACAGACGAGACAATGACAAAAAGGCCTTGAAGGCATTTCAGAGACCTTTGCAGCAGCTCCTCCTGTCACAGGTCCTGAGGCCTAGGAGGAAAGAATGGTTTCATGGGTCAGGCCCAGGACCCTGCTGTCCTGTGCAGCTTCAGGTCAGTGCTCCCCACATCTAGGTTGTTCCAGCTCCAGCCTCAGCTCAAAGGGCCCCAGACACAGCCCAGGCTGCCATTTTGAAAAATGCAGGTGTTAAGCCTGTAGGTGCACAGAATGCAAGAGTGAAGAATGCTGGCAAAGTGCAGTGGCTCACACCTGTAATCCCAGCACCTGAGGTGGGTGAATCACTTGAGGTCAGGAGTTCAAGACAAGCCTGGCCAATATGGTGAAACCCTGTCTCTACTAAAAATACAAAAATTAGCCAGGTGTGGTGGTACATGACTGTAATCCCAGCTACTCAGGAGGCTGAGGCAGGAGAATCATTTGAACCTGGGAGACTGAAGTTGCAGTGAGCTGAGATCATGCCATTGCACTCCAGCCTGGGTAACAGGATGTATAAGAAAACCCAGGTGCCCAGGCAAAAGCCTGCTGCAGGGGTGCAGCCCTCACAGAACCTCTATAGGGGCAGTGTCAAGGGAAAATGTGGGGTTAAAGCTCCCACAGAGAGTCCCCAGCAGTGCACTGCATAGTGGATCTGTGAGCAGGGGGCCACCATCCTCCAGATCCCAAAATGGTATATCCACTGGCAGCTTGTACCCTGTGCCTGGAAAAGCCACAGGCATTCAACTCCAACCCATGAGAGCAGTCCTGGGGGCTGAACCCTGCAAAGCCACAGGGGCAGAGCTGGTCAAGGCCATAGAAGCCCACCCCTTGAGCCTGTGTGCCCTGAGTGTGGGACATAGACTCTGAGGAGATGATTTTGGAGCTTTAAGATTTAATAGCCGCCCTACTGGGTTTCAAACTCGCCTGGGGGCTATAGCCCATTTCTTTTGGCTTATTTCTCCCTTTTGAAGCAGAAATGTTTACCCAATACCTATATCCCCATTGTATCTTGGGAGAAAATAACTTGTTTTTGATTTTGCAGGTTCATAGGTGGAAAGGACATGCCTTGTCTCAGAGAAGTCATCAGACATGGGACTTCTGAGGTGAGTCAAGACTTTGGGGGGACTATTGAGAAGGGATGATTGTATTTTGAAATGTGAGAAGAACATGAGATCTGGGAGGGGCTGGGGCAGAATGATACAGTTTGTATATTTGTCCCCGGCCAAATCTCATGTTGAAATGTGTCCCCAGTGTTAGAGGAGGAACCTGGTGGGAGGTGTTTGGATCATGGGGGCAGATGCCTCCTGAATGGACTGGGCCATCCCCTTGGTGATAAGTGAGTTCTTACTCTTGAGTTCACATGAGGTCTGGTCATTTGAAGGTGTGTGCACTTCATCCCCACTCGCTCTCTCTTGCTCTGGCTTTCACTGTGTGGCATGGCTACTCCCCCTTTGCCTTCTGCCTGACTGAAAATTCCATGAGGCCTCCAAGGGCTGAGCAGGTGCCAGCACTAAGCTTCCTGCACATCCTGCGAACCGTGAGCGAATTAAACCTCTTTCCCTCATAAATTACCCAGTCTCGGGTATTTCTTTACAGCAAAGCAAGAATGGCCTAATACACTCTTCTTCCATGTTAGCTGGAAACAGACACTGCCTATCACATCATTCTTAAAATTACCATCAGGAAAAACTGTGAAAGACTTTAAAATGAGCAATAATGAGAGTGCCTCCATTTAGCTCACCTATTTGGGTTATCTCTACCTTTAGTTGTCTCTGAGCTATGTTGCAACTCTGTGAGTTTAAAAGCTGATGATGATGGAAATGATTCTTGACCACAGAAATGCACAATGTCCAGCAGATGTGATGGATCATGACCCTGTGGACAGTGCCAGCCTTGCATCCGTGAAGCACACTCATGTCAGTACTGCTGATGGGAGAAGCTATTTGCCTACATTCTGGATTCTTCCCTGAACCAGTTCTACATCTTACTGGGTCTCTCCCTGATAAATAAACAACATTTATTATCTCAATTTAAAACTCTATTTTTAAAATAGGTATTTAAAGTGAATAAGTACCTATTCATTTTATATTTGCATGACAGACAACATTATATCCTGTTTTAAAATTTATCCTCATTCCCACAAGCAAACTTTAAACTACCTCAAGGTCCAACAGAAAAACAACTTTAAAAAATTAAGGCCTAACTATATCATAAAATATTCTGAAGCTATTAAGATAGACAGCATATATTAATTCACATAGAAAGATTTCCCAGCTTACAAAAAAGGCAGAGAGAGTAAGCTGTACGCACATGTGTCTGCTGCCCACTTGTGGATGACCCACTTGTGGACTGCACACCTGCCCACAGCCACGCAGGCAAACACATATGATGGGGTGTGCATCATGCTGGAGGCAAAACTGGGGAAGGAAAGAATGTTTATCCTTTTCTGCTTTGATCAGTATCCTCAGACTTCTGTGTGGCAGGCAGTTGCTCCACACACGCCACGTGCCAGACGCAGTCAGGTGCTCGGTGAAGCAATGCACAGATAGCCAGAAGCTTCCACTCCATGTACTGTCTTTGTCAACAGGAAGAAGGTCACAATGGATGTCCTGGCTACCTCACCTGCAGTCTGAGGATTCAAGATCTGCACTGGCCACACGAGCAGGTAACAGCCGCTCCTCCACACCCTTCAGGTGTGGCTCACAGGAGACCTTCCCTCTGGGAAAGGGGTCCTCCACCGCCTCTCACCCAGGCAGTGAGCGTGTGTGAGTGTGAGCATGCCCACGGCCGGTGGACATCCCTTCCTCTCGTCCCTGCAGTCACCGGAGGGAAAGCTTCTTGTCCTTAGATCAGACCAGGAGGCAGAAGGGCCCTGAGAGAGCCACAGGGTGGCTTTGCCCCAAGCCACACTGCACAGGAGCTCTGAAGGGCGGGGACTGTCTGCTGAGCTGCCTGCAAAGAGCCAGAGCCCAGGGCCAAGCAGGGTCTGTCCTGGCTCTGCCTCAGCCTGTGGCTTCGTGGCTCCCCACCTCAGCTCGTCACTGGGAGACCAAGAATCAATACAGCCACCAACCAGGGCGCGGTGTTTGAGGAGTCACCAGATGATGGAGGGAGAGAGAGCCTGCAGAATCTTCCTACAGGTGAAGGCTGCGGGGCTGGGCTGGGACATGATGCCGAAGCTGCAGAAGCGGCCTGCATCTGACCCCAGGGAGCAGACAGACCCAGGCTGCTTCGAAGGACCTCAGGCGGCCTCTCCCCACCAGCGCAGCAAAGCAACTGGCCAGCACGATGGCTCCACAACCCCCAAACATCCTCACTCCCAGAACAGACTGCCCAGGAGCTCCTGCAGCGTGAAGCTGGCCTTCCTCCCTGCTGCATGGTGCCACTCGCCACTGGCCAGAGCTACAGGAGATCCAGGACCCCATATCCCCCACGCCACGTCCCCCATCACCACATGACACATCGCCATGTCACCATGTCCCCCACACTGCATCCTCCACGCCACATTACCACACCACCTCCATCACCACCACACCCTACCCTGTCACCATGTCCCATGTCACTACCATGTCCCATGTCACCACTGCAACCCCAAAACCACATCCCATGTCACCACCCCATCCCCTATCACCAACACACACTATGTCACCACCACGTCCCATACACCATGTCCCATGTGACCACAGCATCCCACACACACCACATCCATCAGCACCACATTCTACACCACCACCACATCCTGCGTCACCACCATGTTCCCAATACCACATATCCCACACCACGCCCACGGCGTCCCCGCACGCCACATACCTCACACCACGCCCACGGCGTCCCCGCACGCCACGTGCCCCACACCACGCCCACGGCGTCCCTGCACGCCACATGCCCCACACTGCACATCTGCCACTGTGGTCCTCCCTTGGATGCTTGTTCACAACCAACAAAGCACAGGCACCTCCCACTGCAGCTGCCTCCCACGCCACCCTGTGGTTCTTTCAGGGCCCGTCTGCCTCCCGGTCTGACTTAAGGACAAGAAGCTTCCCCTCCAGTGGCTGCAAGGACAGGAGGAAGGCATGTCCACTGGCCATGGGCATCCTCACGCTCACACACATGCTCCTAAAACGACGCACACGACCATCCCTCACCGCTCCCCACAGGACCCGGAACCGGCAGCTACAGAGGGTGAAGCCCATCACCACTAAGAGGGGAGGCCCCTGTTCCCCAGGCCCAGGGCCTCAGGTGCCAGGCCCACCAGGCCATGAAGGTCGCAGCCTCTCAGCTGAGAGGCTCAGCTGCACAGCTTTGTTTATCCCAGCCGCCCAGAGCGGCAGACACCCCCTTGCCCCAGCCTGGGGCCTCCCAGCCCCTCAGTCTCCAACCAGCTCCTCCACCAACCCAGTGCCTACACTCCACTGACCCAGGGCCCACTCTGTCCTCAAAGCCCGCCCCTTCTCCTGGGTCTTCTTAGCTTCAAGCAAGGGTGCCCACCTCAGTCCCAGCTGCCCACTCTCCAGCAGGGCCAGTTCCTACCCCAAAGACGGGGCCCTCAAGCAAAGGGGCCTGCCCAGCTGCTTCACCAGGGGCAGAAATGCAGCCGCAAAGCTGTGTGTCGAATGCAGGCTGGGTCCCACCCCTTCGGTCAAACCAAGCGCAGTGAACTTCCAGGTTCCGAGAGTTCAGGAGCCTCCCCGCACCCAGCAGCCACTTCCTCCAACTCCACTGAGCAGCGGCCACGGGCCTTCACCCCAGATGCCTGGGGGTTTAGAAGGAAACTCGGTGGGCCAGAAAAGTCACGTGTGAAAGCCACACAGAAGTCTTCCTCATACAGCATCCCATGTGCTTCCAGGGTGCACATTTTTTAAAGGCTAAAACCAGCAGTTGCATCCTGAGCTGGTTCCGGACGCCACACTTGGAAGACAGGCAAGGAGTATGGGAAGCTTCTGAGATGAAGCCCTCCATTGTGGCCCACGGGCTGCGGGCCGCCACGAGACAGTGCTGGGAATTCAGAGCAACTCGAGACGTGGATCGGGCCACTGTGGGGACAGAGGGCAGCAGCTCCAGGCCCAGACTCGGGGCTCCCTCTTGCCCCACGCACCATCCCTCCATCT
Source organism: Homo sapiens (assembly GCF_000001405.40). NCBI lineage: Eukaryota > Metazoa > Chordata > Mammalia > Primates > Hominidae > Homo > Homo sapiens. The sequence continues at coordinate 132,615,092 of NC_000010.11, read as the reverse complement.
GAGTGCAGCCTGGCATCCCCCAGCAAGCGTTCTTATCGGGTCCTCCACACTGACCCAACGCTGGACGCGTCACGGGAAGGCGTTCTCTTCACTCAGGCTGCGGCAACAAAACACCGCAGCCTGCGGGGCCTACGCCACAGACGTGTGCTCCACAGGGCACCTGAAGCTGGGAGGATAAGAGCGAGGCCAGCCCATTCCACGAGGAGGGTCCACTCTTCACAGACGGCACCTTCTTGCCGTGTCCTTGTAGGATAGAAGGGGTGAGGCAGCACTCAGGCCTCTTCTTTCAGGGCACTGATTGCATTCATGGGGATGGAGTCCTCTCCTTGCGATCTCATCGGCCCCCAGAGCCAGGCCTCCTGAGGCCACCACCTTGGGGGCAGGATGTTAACACAGGAATGTGGGAGGGGCCATAAGCATTCTGAAGACAGCAGCGGGGGCTGGCTCCTGTGTTTGGGGCCTGAGCCCCTCCTGACATAGAGAAGATTCTGGAACCCCTGGTGATGAGTCTGTGAGTCTGATTCTCAGGAGAGAGGACGGAACCTGGACGGGTGGACAGGACAGCTGAGGAGGCCAGCACAGGGTGAGCCCAGGCTCTGCAGCTTTGTTTATCTATTTATTTTTTTGAGACAGGGTCTCACTCCATCACCCAGGCTGGAGTACAGTGGTGCAATCTCGGCTCACTGCAACCTCTGACCCCTGGGTTCAAGCGATTCTCCTGCCTCAGCCTCCCAAGTAGCTGAGATTACAGGCGCCCACCACCATGCCTGGCTAATTTTTTGTATTTGTAGTAAAGACGGGGTTTCATCATGTTGGCCAGGCTGGTCTCGAACTCCTGAGCTCAAGTGATCCACCCGCTTCGGCCTCCCAAAGTGCTGGGATTGCAGGCATGAGCCATCGTGCCGTCCAGGCTCTGCCTGGGGACTCAAGACTTGGGAAGGCGTGCCAAGCTCTCCAGTGCCAGGCTGAGTTCTGGACCTAATCTTCGAAAGCCGTGGGTCCCAAAGGCGTCGAGGGTGCTCACGACTGGCGATGGAGGCACACACAGGCTTTTCTGCGCTGTCTCCTGCACTCTCTACAGGGATCAAGTTTTACAGAAAGGGTTTCTAAAAGACCATGAAGATCATATTTAGTTCTTCCCTATATAAAAGCCACTTCTTCAAGGCTATTTTGAAAAATAATTGTATAATGGAAACTCTAGGATTTAAAAACACCCGAAACAGTCAGAGGCCCAGTGTCGAGGCATCTCATCCACCCCTTGCCCTTGAGCTGCTGGCACAGTGGGCTCTGGTCATGGAGACCACCAGGTGTCTGATCCAGCCCTGGCGAGGCCCACTCACTGCCAGAAACCCACCAGCCCGAGGCCCCTCAGTGCAGCCGCTGAACTGGCTGATAGCCTAAGAAACAAAGTCAGGCTAAAACAAGCATGAGAGTGGGGATTGGCATTGAAATCGAGAGTGGGGATTGGCGCTGAAATCTCACTTTTGAGAATTCTCTGTTCTAAGTGTCACTGAAATTTCTTCCTTCTGAAGAGGTTTTTCCAAGAAAACCAAGAAAATTTGGTTTTGCAACCAGGAAAAATGACACACTGCACAGAGCAAACCATCATTCATTATTTTTCTTTACAAATGACTCTACTGTCTTTCATAAAGGCTGAGTCTCCAGAAAGGACGCCAGGTGCTGCTGTCCACCTCCAAGAGCCCTGCCCACCTTTCTGTCAGGTCCCACAAACCGCCCAGCAGGGCCTCTGTTCAGTGGGGGACTCGGGAAGGAGGGGGCCCTGCGGGGGGACTCGGGAAGGAGGGGGCCCTGCGGGGGGACTCGGGAAGGAGGGGGTCCTGTGGGCCGTGGCGTTCCAGGGGCTGCAGGTCACAGGAGGAACCACCTCGCTCAGAACTCACTTCCAGCACCACTGGCGAACTCTACTATCAACGCTCACAGTAACTGTTTAAGCCATAAGTAAAAGAAAAAAAGGTAAAAGGGAAAGAAATGAAAGAAATGGGACATGTACGTGGGGATTCTGGGCGGCCTGAGCCTTGGATCTGAGGTCTGTCAAGTTGGGGTCTTGCCGCCTGCTCCCCAAGACTGCCCTCCCCCATGGCCTCTGGTGCAGACGGTCCCACACTGAACAGGCTGCAGAGACCCGAATGCGCGGGAACTGTCCCTGCTCCATGGGACAGAGCAGCCAGGACCCATCCCCACTGCCGGCCCCTCCTGGATGCGCCCAAAACCCAAAAAGAATTCCAACCCCCACCCCACTGCCCCAAGGCCTCCATCTTAAAAGAAAACAAACAAAAGCTTGAGCTTAACACACAGCTGTTGCTGCCAAAATGTAACACAAACCAGGAAGCCTAGAGAGCGGACATGGGCTCCAGCCACAGCCCAGCCCCTCACAGCCGAGGGCCACGCACACGGCCAGGCAAGGGGCAAGGGCCCCTCCAGCCAGCGCCACTGTCCCAGATCAGCAAAACCAGCAGGGGAACCGGGCCTCAGCCCAAACCACCATCAGCCAGCTTGGAGCAGCCCTAGGAGTGCCAGGCCCCCTGCACAGCCTCCCCAAACTCCCAAAACAGGCCCCCTGCACAGCCTCCCCGAACCCCCAAAACAGGGCACCTGCACAGCCTCCCCGAACCCCCAAAACAGGGCACCTTCACAGCCTCCCCAAACCCCACAAAACACAACATCACAATTCTAACTCAACAGGACAGAAAATGGGAAAGAGAGGCTCACCATGTGATAAGACACCATTTCTCTACCACAGGTCTTGTCTGACAGGAGCTGTCCCATGAACTCCTCACCTCCCTCACCCTCCTCTGACAAGGCCTCTCCCCTGCCCACCTCACCTCCCACACCCTCCCGACAGGGCCTCTCCCCTGCCCACCTCACTTCCTCCACCCTCTTCAGACAGCGCCTCTCCCCTCTCTGACAGGGCCTCTCCCACGAACTCATAACCTCCCTCACCCTCCTCTGATGGGGCCTCTCCCCTGCCCACCTCACTTCCCTCTCCCCTCTCTGACAGGGCCTCTCCCCTGCCCACCTCACCTCCCACACCCTCCTCTTGACAGGGCCTCTCCCCTACCCTCCTCACCTCCCACACCTTCCTCTGACAGGGCCTCTCCCCTGCCCTCCTCACCTCCCACACCCTCCTCTGACAGGGCCTCTCCCCTGCCCCCCTCACCTCCCACACCCTCCTCTGATGGGGCCTCTCCCCTGCCCACTTCACCTCCCACACCCTCCTCTGACGGGGCCTCTCCCCTGCCCTCCTCACCTCCCGCACCCTCCTCTGATGGAGCCTTTCCCCTGCCCACCTGACCTCCCTCACCCTCCTCTGACAGGGCCTCTCCCATGAACTCCTCACCTCCCTCACCCTCCCTGGACAGGGCCTCTCCCCTGCCCACCTCACCTCCCTCACCCTCCCCTGACAGGGCCTCTCCCCTGCCCACCTCACCTCCCTCACCCTCCCCTGACAGGGCCTCTCCCCTGCCTACCTCACCTCCCTCACCCTCCCCTGACAGGGCCTCTCCCCTTCCCACCTCACCTCCCTCACCCTCCCCTGACAGGGCCTCGCCCCTTCCCACCTCACCTCCGTCACCCTCCCCGGACAGGGCCTCTCCCATGCCCACCTCACTTCCTCCACCCTCCTCAGACAGGGCCTCTCCCATGAACTCCTCACCTCCCACACCCTCCTCTGACAGGCCTCTCCTCTGCCCACCTCACCTCCCTCACCCTCCTCTGATAGGGCCTCTGCCCTGCCCACCTCACCTCCCTCATTCTCCTCTGACAGGGCCTCTCCCCTGCCCACCTCACCTCCCTCATCCTCCTCTGACAGGGCCTCTCCCCTGCCCACCTCACCTCCCTCATCCTCCTCTGACAGGCCTCTCCCATGAACTCCTCACCTCCCTCACTCTCCCCTGACAGGGCCTCTCCCATGAACTCCTAACCTCCCTCACCATCCTCAGACAGGGCCTCTCCCCTGCCCACCTCACCTCCCACCCCACATCCTCCTCTGACAGGGCCTCTGCCCTGCCCAACTCACCTCCCTCATCCTCCTCTGACAGGGCCTCTCCTCTGCCCACGTCACCTCCCTCCCCTCCTCTGACAGGGCCTCTCTCCCCTGCACTCCTCATCTCCTGAGATCCTCCTGATGCTGACCTCTCCTTGTCCCAATCTCAAAAGACCCCTTTCCAGATGTTTTTTCCTGTTCAGGCCTCAGCTGTTCTCCAAGCGATCTGCCTACATCCTCATCCCAAACCCAACCATAAACCCTGGAGAACAAGAGCTTCTTCAGTTAGTGAGCAAAGACACCAGCTCCAAACCCTGCAGCAGATGCAGCTGTCTGGATGGTGAGGAGCAGAGCAGAGAAGCTGCCACGGCCCAGCCTGTGGGTGCCTGAGCATCAGTGGGATGTGGATGGCTGGGCCCAGCCGACCCAGCACTGGGTGGTCCCCACGCTGGCCAGCATAGGCTGCAGACCCTGGAGCAGCCCCAGGTCTCCCCACCACACCTGCGCCCTGCAGCGAGCTGGCTGGGGCCACACGCCAACGTCCACTGGCAGGCCCTCTGGGTTTTTTGCAGCTCTCTGTGCTCAGGTCACATGTCCCAGGGCCAGCACCTCGCTTGGGAAGTCCAGCACATGGTCCAGCCTGAAGAGAGCCCACCAGGTGTGCAGGCCCGGAGCTAGGCCCGGGGCAACCCCTACTTCCTGTTCACGAACCGCCCCCCACCCCCCACCCCCATCACTGGGCTCCACAGAGCTGCAGGGGCAGAGGGGACCCAGGATTCGGGGGGCCACGCACACAGGGAAACAATTGCCAGGGGCTGGAGCGTGGGGACAGGGGCTTCCTCCACATCGACCTTTCCGGTCCCTCACAGGTGGGGCTCACGTGCCCCTCCATGAGGCAGAAGAGGCCTTTGGAGCCCCAGGTAGAGCCTGGCCACTGCCTGGTGTGAGGAAGCCCAGGGTTTGTTGGGAGCTGTTGCCGGGACCTCGGTGTCCGCCATGGCTGCACTGTACCATCAGGAACTGCGGGTCAGGCCCAGCCACTGTAAACGTCTCCTAAAACTCTGCTCCTGCGGGGCTGCCGCTGGCTTGATTGGGACAAAATTTAAATATAATTAAAATAAAATAAACCAAGAAAAAAGCGGCAGACAGGCCAGGTGCGGTGGCTCATGCCTATAATCCCAGCACTTTGGGAGGCCAAGGCAGGCAGATCAGCTGAGGTCAGTTCAAGACCAGCCTGGTCAACGTGGTGAAACCCCGTCTCTACTAAAAATACAAAAATTAGCCGGGCATGGTGGCGGGTGCCTGTAATCCCAGCTATTTGGGAGGCTGAGGCAGGAGAATGGCGTGAACCCGGGAGGTGGAGCTTGCAGTGAGCCGAGATCGCAACACTGCACTCCAGTCTGGGTGACAGAGTGAGACTCCGTCTCAAAAACAAAAACAACAACAACAACAACAAAAGCAGCAGACAGTTTTCAAAAAGGAAAAACACCAAAACACAGGGGCAGATTCTGATTTCAGCTGTGTAGGCGGCAGGTTCTGCTCCTTGCCGGTCACACACACCTAAACATTCAGTGAGGGAAAACCTGTGGATCCCTGGAGGGGAGACACACCAGGAGAGGACGAAGGTTCTGCAAGGATGTGGGTCTCCCCGACAGGCACACGCAGCAAGACCCCACCTCACAAGGCAAACCCGCCCCCGCCACTGGCCCCCGACGTGCGGTTGACATAAAGGACAGAGATGATGAGAGCACCGTGGATGGGGGTGGCACGGCAGCTTCAACTCCTGGAGTGTCCTCTTTCTCCAAGTGAGCGCTGAGCAGATGATGTCACACATTACAGCTAAATTCATCATATCTATTATTTCGATTTGTAAATATATGTTTTCAAAAGGGAAAGATGTCTCTCATTTGCACATCTGACCAAAGACTCTACGGAGAGAGATTTATCAGGTCCCTGTAGAACAATGGCTTCCTCACCACATAGGTGCTAAGCACACACATGCGCACACACGTGCACACACACGCCGTTGTCCCTATGGGGGGACTTGGATGCCGGCTACAGAGCACCATTGCATGCTGGGAGCCTCACCACATGGGAGCACTGGCAGGCAGGACACAGGCCCGAGGGCACAGAGGTCCCCAGCCCTCCTGGCTGTCCCAGCTCCACCTCTGGCCCAGCACCTCAGGCCCAGGTCGGGCCACCCCCCAGGTCCCACACCCCCATGCCCTCACAGAGGGCCCCTGGGCCTCCACTCTGGCCTCCCCAGCCCATCTCCAATCAGCAGCCAAACACACCTGAAACAGGATTTCAGTCCCGGGCTCAGCCCTTGCGTGGGTCTGAGCATGTGAGCAGCTCCACCGTCCAGGCCACCCCATCCTGAAGCTGACCTCACCACCAGCCCCTGGAGCCGAGCCTGGCCACCGTCATGCCCATGGCCACGTTGCCCTCCTCGCCTGCCTGGCCTCCCCCATGCACCCAGTCCTCAGAGAGGCCTCTGGCGCCACCCCACAGGCACACATGCTCGGCCACAGGCCCCAGGTGGCTCCTTCCATGAAGACCTGCGAGGGCACCAGCCTGTCTCTTCACAGTGGCATCTGCAGCGTCCACACCAGAGCACAGCACAGTACCGGGCTCCATAAACACCGGCCCCATATTAGACAGGGGGGTCCGTGCCTCGGCCTGGCAGTGCCAGCCCGAAACCCTCCAACCGGTCGCCTCCCCCAGCCCAGCACCCACTCTCTGCACAGAGTGCGCTGCACGGACCGGACCTGGTGAGGAGCACACCCAGCCTCGCTGCCAGCTCTCCACGGCCCCACTGGGGATGCTCACCCAGCCCTGGAGGGAGCCCCCAGGTTCTCTGATTCTCTGAACCCCGCGGGGAGCGGGGAGGGAGCCGGAATGTGAACAGTGAGCCCGAGGAGGATCTGGCCAGGCTCACCGGCAGGCGGGCAGTGGACCGACTGTGACACAGAAACATGTTGCCCAGCACAGGCAGCGGAGCCGAGAGACCCAGCCACAGCCCAGGCCTGCGCTCCCCATAGACACACCAGACTCCATGGAGGAATGCCAAAGCAAAAAGGCACCTTATTGGCTAAGTAATGAATCCAAAAGAACACGTTTCAGTGGTTCTTACCTGGTAAAATTCCCGAAGCCAGTTCTTCTGCAGGTTTTCTGGCTGTAAATTAAGAAGAAAAAGAAAAGCCAGTCAGACCAATGGCACAGCCCTAAACAGAGCCAGGACAAGCTCCTGTGAAGACAACGTGGGGCAGGAGCAGAGGCGCAGCCCGGGCCCACCCCGCATGGAGGAGCTCCACCCGCACGGGGAAACCCCAGGCCCACGCGGGGACCCCGCTCTGTGTGGGGGCTCCGCTCTGTGCTGTCCCAGGGACATGGTGCACGATGCACTCTGTCTCAGGAAAGCTCGGGCAGCGTCGCGCAGCCCCCACACGGGTGGCGAGGAGGGGAAGGCTCTGTGTTGCTCCAGCCTCCAGCCTCCCAGGGAAGAGACGGCTCAGCCAGTAACCCAGCTTCAACAAGCAAGACGGTGGCACCTTTCCACACCCGCCCCTGCCTGAGCCAAAGCCCCTTCACAGGCACTAGACAAAGCTGAGCTTTGTGGAGTACAAAACATCATGGTCGCATATGGCATTTCTGTGTGTTTGGGGTGAAGAGCAAGGGGCTTTTATAGAGTCCGTCACAACTGTCAGAATCTTCAGAAAGCACTTGCTAGAGCCATCAACAGAAAACCTACCACATGCCACAGGCGTGCACACACGTGCACACACGCAAGGAAACTCCAGCCCCGCCAGAGACCCAGGCCCCAGGAAGCTCCTGGACAGAATCGGAGGAGCTAAGCGCAAGCCTGAAAATGCCACTGCTTCAGGAGAAGGGACGGCCCAGTCGCTCTCCACCCTGACCGCTCCGCTGAGCCCCAGGCCACCTGGCTGCTCCTGGGCTCTGTGCCAGCTCCGGCCAAGGGCAGCACAGCCATTCAAACCCAAGAGGAGGGAGGTCACCGCGGACGAGGCTGAGCGCGAGCACTCAGCACAAGCCGCCCACGCTCAGGAAGCACCCCAGCTCCAACATCGCCCACCGTGAGGGGACAGAGTCAGCATCTAAAAGGGTAGAGTTTCCATTTTGCGAGAGAACAAGTTCTAGAGATCCGTGCAACAACGTGAATGTACTTAGCACTAAGGAACTGCACACTCGGAAACGGTTAAGGTGGTAAATTTAATGTTGTGGGTTTTTGCCGCGATTAAAAACAATAAACAAGGCCCTGCCCCCGCTCCCATCGGGACTAAAGCCCCTGCCCTGGTCTCAGCCTCCGTGGCCGTGGGCATGGGGCCAAGGCGTGCAGGCCGCCAGTGCAGCTGGGCCCAGACTCCGCGCCCACGCAAACACAACAGCATCGCAAGGCTGGCCACACACCAGGCGCGCTCCTCCGTTCACTTGCTGACGGGTCTAAGAACCCTAAAAAGCAGGAAGACTGAATTTTAGATAAATTAATGAAAAATAAAAAACCTGACAAGAAACAAGAGCTTCACAGATCACAGGACCGAGCCGAGAACACCCTGGCTCCAGGCTTCAAGGACACACAACCCCAGCACACACACACGCGAAGGGAGAGAATCGCCCACTGCGGCTCTGAGCACCCCCATGCCCTGCCCTCTGGGTCCAGGGACCTCCTCGTGGGACGCACGCAACCGCCCCAGCAGGAGGGGAGGCCATCAGCCCACGCCACTGTCCCGCCACTGAGGACCCGGCAGGAGGGGAGGCGACTGACCCACGCCGCTGTCCCGCCACTGAGGACCCGGCAGGAGGGGAGGCGACTGACCCACGCCGCTGTCCCGCCACTGAGGACCCTCAGCCCACGTGGACAGCCTCCCTTGGCCCCAGCTCCTACCAGCAAGTCCCCATCGAGGGTCCCAGCCCCACATCCAGCTGCAGCTGCGTGCCCAGCAGCCCTGCCCAGGAGCCACCCTAAACACCAAACGCACAAATGTGACAGCGGACACCTGGACACACCGTTCACTGTGTGCACCTCGCCCCAGTAACACGCGCTCCAGCCCAATTCATGGGTCATGACCTCATTTAAACCGTGGATATGACTTCCCCCAACATTGACTGTGGATCCACTAAGGTTAATAAGCCCAGACAGTCCTAACACGGTGCTCTAAACAAAGACATCCGTGTTTGCTGACTGTTTATGAGGAGGCACTCAAAGGCTGTGAAATAATTAGACCAAAAGTCTAAATGAAAGATGAGAGCAAAAACACTCCAAAGAAGGAAGAGAAGAAACGTGAAAAAAAGACAAGGCCCTCAAGGCCTTCAGTTCTTGCCTTTGGCACACACCCCAACACTAGTCGGGGCCACTGTGACGGCCACGGTGACCATGGGGCCCTGCCCAGGGGCCACTTTCTGGCCCGCGTGGCGCTGCTGCGTCTGCCTGGCTGACCCCAGCTTGGAAGCTCCCAGGGCCTCCTGGGCCCCATCCCACCATCCCACCATCCCACCAGCCTCCCTTGGCCTCAGTGCCACTGTGTCACTTCCAGGACATCCCCCAGGGGATCCACGCCCTCCCTGTCCCCTCCCCATCCCCAGCCCCTTCCCCATCCCTCCAAGGGATCCACACCCTCCCCATCCCCTCCCCATCCCCAGCCCCTTTCCCATCCCTCCTGGGGATCCACTCCCTCCCTGTCCCTTCCCCATCCCCCAGCCGCTTCCCCCTCACTCCTGGGGGATCAATGCCCTCCCCATCCCCTCCCCATCCCCAGCTGCTTCCCCCTCACTCCTGGGGGATCCACCCACTCCCCATCCCCAGCCCCTCCCCCACTCCCTCCTGGGGGATCCACTTCTTCCCCATCCCCAGCCCCTCCCCCACTCCCTCCTGGGGGATCCACTTCTTCCCCATCCCCAGCCCCTTCCCCACTCCCTCCTGGGGGATCCACTTCTTCCCCATCCCCAGTCCCTTCCCACTCCCTCCTCAGGGATCTCCCTGCTCTGTCCTTACCTGCTTCCAGTCTACACTCCACAGGCAGCCAGGGTGATTCTCAGAAAACACAAGTGGATCCACCCTCCAGGGCCCTCCTGCTCTCTCAGGATAAACAGCAAAGGCCTTCCAGGTCTGCACAGCCACCAGGCCCTGAGCCCGTGGCCTCCCTGCCCTCCGCTCCACCTGCTTTGCTCTGAGTCTCAGACATTTGGTCCTCTGGCCCCAGGGCCTTTGCACTCTCTCTTTGCAGACTGGCAACAGCCCCCATGCCTTCACTGCTCACAGGTCTGATCAAATACTGTCTTCTCCATCAGTTCAATTTTCCCTGGGTCACTGAGCTTCCCCAGACCAATAGGTGACCCCTAATCCCAGCGTTTTTCCATCCTGAGCAGTGAGGCTGCATCATGTTCCTTCTCTGTCTTCCCTCCATCCAGGAAAAGGACATTTCACTATGCAGCCCCACAGACCACAGTGTGCAAGTAGCATAGCTTGAGGAATTGATATGACAAGAAAACCTTTTCAACTACTATTGAGCTCTGGGCAAACACACCATAAGGAAGATTAAGACACCCCTTTCCCCCCAAACCTCACCAAATAACAAACGGGGGGAAGAGGAAGAGAAGGATGCTCCAGAGGCAACAAAACAGGGTCTGACTGCATCCTCGCTCCTGAGCGTAGCAGTCACGGGAAAGGAGGATGTTTGCAGGGCAAGCGTCAGAGAGGGGACCCTGACAGCACAGGGCAGGATGGAGAGGGGACCCTGATGGCACAGGGCGCGCCAGAGAGGGGACCCTGACAGCACAGGGCAGGATGGAGAGGGGACCCTGACGGCACAGGGCAGGATGGAGAGGGGACCGTGACAGCATAGGGCAGGATGGAGAGGGGACCCTGACAGCACAGGGTACGCCAGAGAGGGGACCCTGACGGTGCAGGGCAGGATGGAGAGGGGACCCTGACAGCACAGGAGCACAGGGTGCGCCGGAGAGGGGACCCTGACAGCACAGGGCGGGACAGAGAGGGGACCCTGACGGCACAGGGCGGGACAGAGAGGGGACCCTGACGGCACAGGGCGGGACAGAGAGGGGACCCTGACGGCACAGGGCGGGACGGAGAGGGGACCCTGACGGCGCAGGGCGGGACGGAGAGGGGACCTTGACGGCGCAGGGCTGGACGGAGAGGGGACCCTGACGGCGCAGGGCAGAACTCAGGTGATGCAGCAGAGCCCAGAAGTCAGAAAGGAAAGACCACAGTGACCCACACCATGTCCACACAGTACAGAACCAAGGGCTGAAAACGGAGGCAGGGAAAGGTGGAACAGAGTGTCTCTGTTACAAACTAACAAAACACAAGTAATAGAATCTATTAAATCAGCAAGTGGGGCCCAGGAGCTGAGAGGCTGCCTAAGAATCATGATACCTTCCAAACCAGAGCATTCATAAACGTGCTCTAAAATTAAAATGTATTCTTAAACGCTACATTCTTCAAGTTTAGAAAAGTTTTCTTATCCTTAGAGGAATTGTAGAGCTTTATCTCTTGCACCAATAAATATTTATCTCAAATTCAGAAGTTCCTTGAGTTTCACTTCAGTGTCTGTTTCTCCTGACAATTTGAGCAGGATTAAATTTAACTGGTGAAGCACAGCCTGTCCTCCTTGCTGGAGCTCTGCAGACTGGGATGACGTTTATTCCACGTGGACAAGCGTTCTTTCTGGGTAGTGGGAGCTGGAGTGATCTGTAATTTTCTATAGTGCATATTCTGAAGGGAAGGGAGAAACAGACCTTATAAAATGATTCCATTTTAGTGAGAAGTACTAAAAAACTGAGATGATCTTTAGCGTGTTTGCTATACAGCCCCTAATAGAGAATACCCACATGAGAGACCAAGATGCCAGAGGCAGCCTGGCCCACAGCCGCCCAGAAGGCCCAACTCTTCCCCTTTGTAGCTTCGGAAGGCAGAGACGTCAGCAGGAGAGATTGAGGCATTTCACACTGTTGAGGGAAGAGGCATTAATTGACAAGCAATACTAGGACTAGTTAAATATTTACTTTTAAAATGCTATATTAGATCCTTTCTTTATTCCACAAAGAAACTAAACTCCAGATAGATTCAGAAGATATGAACATAAGACTTGAAACCACAAAGGAATCAGGAGAGAAAATAAGCAAATTGCTGTCATCGTGGTAGAAAAACAGCCTTTCTAGACACAAAAGGAAAGAAAGGACCTCTGAGAGAGAACGTGCCTGTAGATTACCACCCACAGTGAATGCACTCAATAGTGGATGACAGAAAGCTTTCCCTCTAAGAGCAGGAACACCAGGATGCCCGCGCTCATCACTACCATTCAACACTGCACTGGTAGGCCCAGCCTGGGCAATTAGGCAAGAAAATGAAAGAAAAGGTACCCGAATGGGAACGGAAGAAGTAAAATTATCTCTGTTCACAGACTATATGCTCTTATGTATACAAAACCCTAGAAATTCCACCAAAAAATTGATAGAAATAAGGCCGGGCGCAGTGGCTCATACCTGCAATCCCAGCACTTTGGGAGGCAGAGGCAGGTGGATCACCTGAGGTTAGGAGTTCAAGACCAGCCTGGCCAACATGACAAAACCCTGTCTCTACTAAAAATACAAAAAATTAGCCAGGCATGGTGGTGCATGCCTGTGGTCCCAGCTACTCGGGAGCTGAGGCAGGAGAATCACCCGAATCCAGAGGCAGAGGTTGCAGTGAGCCGAGACTGTGTCACTGCACTTCAGCCTAGGTGACAGAACGAGACTCCGTCACAAAAATTCAGCAATTCAGCAACGTGGCAGGATATAAGATCAACACACAAACAACACTAACAATGAACAATGTGAAAAGAAAATGTTTTAAAATCCCATTTATAACAGCATCGAAAAGAATAAAAAACTTAGAAATAAACTTAACCAAGGAGGCAAGACTTGAACACTGAAAGCTACATAATGTTGCTGAAAGAAATTCAGATATCCATTCCATGTTCACAAACTGGAGTTAACGTTATTAAGATGCTGATGCTACCCAAAGAAACCTGCAGATTCAATTCCATTTATATCAAAATCCCAATGACTTTCTTTTGCAGAAACAGAAAAGTCCACGCTAAAATTCATATGGAATCTCAAGGGACCCTGAATAGCCAAAAATAGCCTTAAAAAAGAAGAACAAATTGGAAACCTCACAATTCCTTATGTGGAACTTACTACAACCTAAAGCAGTCAAAACAGTGTGGTCCTGGCACAAGACAGACATGTGGACCAATGGAATGGAATAAAGAGCCTTGTAATATGGTCAAATGATTTTTGACAGTGGTGCCAAGACCATTCACTGGGGAAAAGAACAGTCCTTTCAACAAATGAGGCTGGGAAAACTGGATAACCGCATGCAAAAGAATGAAACTGGTTTCTTACCTTACACCACAGACAAAAATTAACTCAAAATGGATCAAAAATCTAAAACTATAAAAATTCTTAGAAGAAAACATAGGGGAGAAACTTTGTGACACTGGATTTGACAATGACTTCTTAAATGCAATATCCAAAGCACAGGCAACAAAAGGAAAAACAGACAAGCGGGACATCAAACTTAACAACTTTTGTGCATCAAAAGCCACTATCAATAGGATGAAAGACAAGCCACAGGATGGAAGAGAATATCTGCAAGTCATGTGTCTGCTAACGGGTTAATATTCAGAATATATTTTTAACCTTCTACAACTCAACAACAAAAGGACATACAACCCCATTAAAAATAGGAAGAGGACTTAAACAGTTTTCTAAAGAAGACATATGAAATGGTCAACGTGCACATGAAAGGATGTTCATTATCACTAATCATTAAGGAAATGCAAATGAAAACCATAATGAAATGCCATTTCACACCCATTAGGATGGATACGATGGATATTATACAAAACATTAAAATTGAAAAGAGAAAATAATAAGTGTTGGGATGAGATGGAGAAATGGGACCCTTGTGCACTGCTGGTGGGAATGTAACATGGTGCCATCGCTATGAAGAAAAATGGCAGCTCCTCCAAAAATTAAACAGAATTACTATACAGTGAAGCAATTCCACTGCTGGCTATATTCCTGATGTGGTTTGGCTGTGTCCCCACCCAAATCTCAACTTGAATTGTATCTCCCAGAATTCCCATGTGTTGTGGGAGGGACCCAGGGGGAGGTAATTGAATTATGGGGGCCAGTCTTTCCCATGCTATTCTCGTGATAGTGAATAAGTCTCATGAGATCTGATGGGTTTATCAGGGGTTTCTGCTTTTGCTTCCTTCTCATTTTCTCTTGCCACTGCCATGTAAGAAGTGCCTTTTGTCTCCTGTCATGATTCTGGGGCCTCCCCAGTGATGTGGAACTGTAAGTCCAATTAAACCTCTTTTTCTTCCCAGTCTCAGGTATGTCTTTACTGGCAGTGTGAAAATGAACTAATACGGTAAATTGGTACCAGGAGTGGGGTATTGCTGAAAAGATACCCGAATATGTGGAAGAGACTTTGGAACTGCATAACAGGCAGAGGTTGGAACAGTTTGAAGGGATGAGAAGACGACAGGAAAATGTGGGAAAGTTTGGAACTTCCTGGAGACTTGCTGAATGGCTTTGCCCAAAATGCCAACAGCAATACAGACAGTAAAATCCAGGCTGAGGTGGTCTCAGATAGAGATGAGGAACTTGTTGGGAACTGGAGCGAAGGTGACCCTTGTTATGTTTTAGCAAAGAGACTGGCAGCATTTTGCCCGTGCCCTAGAGATGTGTGGAACTTTGAACTTGAGAGATGATTTAGGGTATCTGGTGGAAGGAATTTCTAAACAGCAAAACATTCAAGAAGTGACTTCAGTACTGTTAAAGGCATTCAGTTTTCTAAGGGAAGCAGAGCATAAAAGCTTGGAAAATTTGAAGCCTGAATATGTGATAGAGAAGCAAAACCTATTTTCTGGGGAGAAACTCAAGTCAGCTGCAGAAATCTGGGTAAGTAGCAAGGAGCCTGTTGTTAATCCCCAAGACCATGTGGAAAATGTCTCCAGGCCACATCAGAGACCTTCATGGCAACACCTCCCACCACAGGCCCAGAGGCCCAGGAAGAAAAACTGGTTTCATGGGCCAGGCCCAGGGTCCCCATGATGTGTGCAGCCTAGGGTCTTGGTGACCTGCATCCCAGCCACTCCAGCCGTGGCTAAAAGGGGCCAACATACAGCTCGGGCTGTGGCTTCAGAGGGTGGAAGCCCCAAGACTTGGCAGCTGCCAGTGGTGTTGAGCCTTCAGGTGCACAGAAGACAAGAACTGAGGTTTGGGAACCTCCACCCAGATTTCAGAAGATGTATGAAAATGCCTCGATGTCCAGGCAAAAGTTTGCTGCAGGGGTGGGGCCCTCATGGAGAATCTCTGCTAGGGCAGTGCAGAAGGGTAATGTGGGGTCAGAGCCCCCACACAGAGTCTCTATTGGGGCAATGCCTAGTGTAGCTGTGAGAAGAGGGCCACCATCCTCCAGTCCTCAGAATGGCAGATTCACCAACAGCTTGCACTGTGTGCCTGGAAAAGCCGCAGACACTCAATGCCAGCCCATGAAAGCAGCCGAGAGGGAGGCTGTACCATGCAGAACCGCAGGGGCGGAGCTGCCCAAGATCGTGGGAGCACACCTCTTGCAACAGTGTGACCTAGATGTGAGACCAGGAGTCAAAGGAGATCATTTTGGAGCTTTAAAATTTGACTGCCCCGCTGGATTTCGGACTTGCATCGGCCCTGTAACCCCTTTGTTTTGGCCAATTTCTCCCATTTGGAACGGCTGTATTTACCCAATACCTGTACCTCCATTGTATCCAGGAAGTAACTAGCTTGCTTTTGATTTTACAGGCTCATACATGAAAGGGACTTGCCTTGTCTCAGATAAGACTGGACTGTGGACTTTTGGGTTAATGCTGCAATGAGTTAAGACTTTGGGAGACTGTTGGGAAGGCATAACTGGTTTTGAAATGTGAGGACATGAGGTTTGGAGGGGCCAGGGATGGAATGATATGGTTTGGCTGTGTCCCCACCCAAATCTCACTTGAATTGTATCTCCCAGAATTCCCACCTGTTATGGGAAGAACCCAGGGGGAGGTAATTGAATCATGGGGGTTGGTCTTTGCTGTGCTATTCCCATGATACTGAATAAGTCTCAAGAGATCTGATGGGCTTATCAGAGGTTTCCGCTTTTACTTCTCTCTCATTTTCTCTTGCTGCAGCCATTTAAGAAGTGTCTTTCACCTCCTGCCATGATTCTGAGGCCTCTCCAGCCATGCGGAACTATAAGTCCAATTAAGCCTCTTTTTCTTCCCAGTCTCAGGTACGTCTTTATCAGCAGCATGAAAATGAACTAATACAATTCCCAAAAGAACTGAAAGCAGGAACTTAAACAGATATCGGTACACCCACAATCAGCCAGAAGCTGGAAGAAACCCAAGTGTCCATCCACGGACAAATGGATACAATTGTGGTCTATCCACATAACTCAGCCTTAAAAAGGAAGGGTATTCTGACTATGCAACAACCTTGAGAACATTATGCTAAGGAAAATAAGCCAAACACAAAAAGACAAAGAATGTATGATCGCACTCATGTGAGATATCTGGAGTCATCAGATTCATGGAGACAGAAAGTAAAATGTTGGTGACAAAGGAACTGGGGGCAGACAGGGACTCAGTGTTTAACGAGGACAGAGCTGCAGTTTTACAAGATTAAAAGAGATCTGGAGATGGATGACAGTGATGGTTATGCAACATTATGAATGCATTTCATGCCACTGAATTGCACCCTTAAACATGGTTAAGATGGAAAATTTTATACCCATTTTACCGCATTAAAAAGGTGGAGGTAATCTCCATCGCCACAGCGCCACTCAAGCAGCCGAGCCACACACTGAGTCTCCACACGTCTGAGAGCTGCACTTTACTCACCTCATATAAAATGAAAAAAAGAGAAAGTTCTGACCCTAGCAGTAGGAAGGGTAGGTCCCAGACGCCCAAGCGAAATCAAACAAAAACTGCAATTGAAATTAAAACAGACAGTAAATCTGAGACCTGCCCAAAAGGCCCAGAGTCACTATGTGTAGCACAGCCCGGGAACACGCACCACAGGCCCAGGGTCACTACGCGTAGCACAGCCCCGCAGGACGCACCACAGGCCCAGAGTCACTACGCATAGCACAGCCCCGGAACACGCACCACAGACCCAGAGTCACTGCGCATAGCACAGCCCCGGAACACGCACCACAGGCCCAGGGTCACTACGCGTAGCACAGCCCCGGAACACGCACCACAGGCCCAGGGTCACTACACGTAGCACAGCCCCGCAGGACGCACCACAGGCCCAGGGTCACTACACGTAGCACAGCGCTGCAGCACACACTAAAGGACAAAACACTGGAAACAGAGGAACAAGCAGACACGTGCAATGCACACAGATGTTAATACAGTTTTTACAACCGCTCTGCATATAAACATATCCCCAACATGTAACACTATTGTTTAACTTGCCTAATGCATTCCTGAAGATGTGTAAGAAATTATATAATTTCTTAAAATTCACAACTGAAATAACAATATAATATCCTAATATGTGACTCAAATTTTATCCCACTGAATGTAAGCACTTTCACAACAAACCACAATATCCTCAATGAAGAAAATGTGGATATAGAAACTTCCCACCACCTGCAGGAACAGGGGAGATGGCCCGAGTCCTTGTGGATGAGCTGACAGACCACATCCAGACACCCTGACACATCTTCTGAGACTGAGAGAAGAGGGAGAGGACAGTAGCACAAACACTGAGAAGAACAGAAAAGGTTCTGTCACTTAGGGCTTCAAATTACTAGAAAATAAACCCTCGGCCATGAAAACACAAGTGCATGTGCATACGCACACATGCGCACACACACTCACACACATGCATGCACACATGCACACGTGCACATACCCATGCACACACATGCAAACACATGCACACATACACACACGCACACACGTACAGGAGCCTGCACACACACATGCATGCATACACATGCACACATGCACACACGTACAGGAGCGTGCACACAAACACACGTGCATGCACACACGCATGCACACACGCACACATGTGTGCACACACGCACACATGCGTGCACATGCGCGCACACATGCACACATGCACAGGAGCCTCCAAACACACGTGCATGCACACACATGCACACACATGCACACACACGCATGCACACACGCACACAAGCAAACACATGGACACACACAAACGCGCACATGTACAGGAGCCTGCACACAAACACACATGCATGCATACACACGTACACAAACATGCACACACACATGGGCCGGGCGTGGTGGCTCACGCCTGTAATCCCAGCACTTTGGGAGGCCAAGGAGGGTGGATCACGAGGTCAGGAATTCTCAAGAACAGCCTGGCCAACATAGTGAAACCCTGTCTCTACTAAAAATACAAAAAAATTAGCCGGGCATGGTGGTGGGTGCCTGTAATCCCAGCTACTCAGGAGGCTGAGGCAGGGGAATCGCTTGAACCTGGGAGGTGGAGGTTGCAGTGAGCTGAGATGGTGCCACTGCACTCCAGCTGGGTGACAGTGCGAGACTCCATCTCAAAAAAAAAAAACAAAACAAAACATGCACACACACGCACACACACTTGGGTGTCCTCTTCTGCCAAGATCAAAGACAAAAAAGAAATTTTGAATGTACATGTGCCAGAAGCTTTTATAAAATTAGACCCTGCCTACCACGACACCCTTTAATTGAGGGCCATTCATCCTGCCCAAACTGGTCTTTACTGGGCCATGCCGCCACGCCGCCATGCCACGTCCATGTAGCTGTCCCACTGGGTGATGGGCACAAACTAGAGAGACTGAACCCTTTCCCAGGAGCAGCTCTGGCAAGAAGTCCTCGGAGGTACAGCCACGTTTGGTTAATGTAGTTATTTTTAAAACCACTGAAGTGAGAGTAAAAAATAAACAAACTAGGTCTTAAAGAAATGCTCAAATTTCAGCCCACAGGCCAAGCAGCTCTGCGTGTGTTCAGCCACCATATGAAAGAAAGCACATGCCTTCTTTTTCTCTTAAACACCCAAAAATTCTTCTCTTGGTCTCAAAGAACAATACAAAAACTATGAAAATATGGGAAATGTTAAAAAAAAAAAACTCATTACTTTCAAATGTGGAACTCTATTTCTGGGAGTCAGTCCTTAAAAAAGTAATTCTAAAGAGCAAAAATGCTCTGTCAACAAAGAAGTTCATAATAGCATCATTTATAAGAGAATTACAATTAGAATACTGCAGAAAAATATTACAGAAGGCACCTCAATAAAGAAAGTTACACAGGGCGTCCACGGAAGGAAAGAAGAGGGAGGAATCAAAAACAAATTTATTGGATAAAACATGACGTGGAGATAGACAGGGTGCCAGTGACAAACACCCCAATGTAGGTAAGGAAGGCACTGAACTACACACTCACCAACAAACACTGGAATGTAGGTAAGAAAGGCAGTGAGCCAGACACTCACCAACAAACACCGCAATGTGGGTAAGAAAGGCAGTGAGCTACACACTCACCAACAAACACCACAATGTAGGTGAGGACGGCAGTGAACTACACAGTTACCAGTGGTTAAAATAACAAGTATTAGGTATATGTTATCAAAGTAAAGATTTACAATGAGCACATAGACATGGAAGACACTTATACTCTAAAAAAATGGATTGAACACAAAATAAATCACACCTCACACAAGCCCCCACCGGCGCGAGCAGCCCACATGGCCACCTGCAGACGTGGCCCTGCAGAAACTGCATGCCCTGGCCCCCTTCCTCGCTGTGGCCAATGCAAAGGCACAGCTGGCCCCTGAGGGTCCGCGGGGACTCCAGAAAGGGTGCCAGCACGTCACAGGAGCCCCTCATGCCGAGCGCTGTCAGCACTCCCAATGGTATTCTCAATAGGAAAAGGGAAAAAGACAGAAAAAAACGCCCAAAGGTTGGAGTGGGTATTTGAGGCAGAGGTATTTCTTTTTCTCTTCTTTATTTTTAACATGCCTATAATCATCACGCATTACTTTCCTATTTTTTAACTCTTAATTTTAAAGGCTTTAGGAAGAAGAAAACAACGAAAGCCACTTTGGCCAGAATGTTAAATAACTGCCTGTCACTAAGAGCAATAACAAAGGGCAAATGGCAGACGGGGAGAACCATGGAGAACCTCATACAGCCTGCAGGGCTGGCAGGGGGACCGCCTACCAGAGAGCTCCAGGCAGGCAGCTGTGGGGCAGAGGTCCCCACCTCAGGAAGAGCTGCTACAACTGGGCCAGCAAAGACAACCACCCAAACACACATGCCACACACGTGCAGGCACACACACACCCACCACGCCACACATATGCACCCCACACACATGCATGCACCACACACCACCCATGCACAGGCACACAAACGCACCCCACACACTCACATACCACACACCTATGCATGTGCATGTGGGCACACCTACACACGCATGCACCACACACCACCCGTGCACAGGCATGCAAACGCACCCCACACACTCACCACATGCCTATGCGTGTGGGCACACCTACACACACACGTTCAAAAACCACCTAGGCCGTTGCTACAGGACTGGCCGGTGTAGATGACGGAATGTTTCCACCGACGCAGGAAGTCTCAGTACGTTCCGCAGTGATGGACACGTTCTAGACCTGCACTAGCCACGTCTGTCCTTTAAATGAGGCTACTGGTGACTGAACAGTTTTTTTATTGCATGTAATTTTAGTTCACTTAAATTTTAATAATCACACGCGGTTAGAGGCTACATTACTACACAGCACAGCTCTAGATCACAGCACAAGAAGGAAAGTTCTAAGTTCCTATTATGAGACAAACATAACATTGGCATATAAACAGGATGAAGACAGCGTATGTGCAAAAGGGAAACCTTCAAACCAGCCTCATGTGTGCACTCATGTGTGTGCCACGACACACACCCCAAAGATCCAGCAGCACGTTAAAAACTTCACACATAGTAAGCAAGCGAGTGACTATTCTATACATACAGACATGGATGATTCACTGTTAGGAAAACTGCTAATACAACTGATCACACCAACAGATCTAAAAAAGTCTAATGATTATCTTTATAGTTCCTGGCAAACTTAAAGAATTCCAGTTACAGTTGCAACATATAAGAGCTTTGAAAATTTCCAAAATTAGTGCCAGACACCAAACCACAGATCCACGAAGCCCAGAGAACATCAAGCAGAATAAATACCAAAAAATCTATACCTAGGCAGATCATATCCCAATTGTAGAAAATCACAAATAAAGAAAATCTTGAAAGAAGCAAGAAAAAAATACATCTTAGCTATAGAGGAACAAGGACAAGAATTAGAGTGAACTTGTCAACAGAAACCACACCAGCAAGAAGAGACTGGAGGGACTACCCCCCGACCCCAGTCATGTGTACAGCAAAATCATCCTTCGAAAGTGAAAGAAAAATAAACTTTCTCACACAAAAAAGTAGACATGCCCTGTAAGTCATGTTGAAAAAGTTCTTCAGGAAGGAGAATATGACACAACTCAAAATTCCGGATGTACATAGGAAAGGAAGAATGATGGAGAAGTAATAAATGAAGGTTAATTTTTTTTAAGTTTACTGAAAAGTTCTTCAATTAAAGTCAACAACCATTTGTCATAAAATTGTAATGCAGGATCCCAGCAGGCCCGCAGGGCTCCCCACGCCCCGGCATTCACATCCAGTGTAATCCCCGTCCTCAGTGCAGGTGGGACCTATGAACCGGGGAAGACGGCGCGCCCATGCATAGGCTGAGGCAAAGGTGAAAGTGTCAGGCAGACATAATGAAGCTCCATCTCCAGCTGATCTTAGGTTAATCAAAAGGGAGATAATCCTGGGTGGGTCTCATCTTATCGAAGAGCCACTTCAGAGTGAGTCTAAAGGTCTGAGGCTGTAAGCAGAGGGCAGTCTCTCCCCGATAGGCTCTGGCACAAGAAGCTGTGAGTCCTACAACCACAGGGAAATGATATCTGCCAAGCACCTGAGGCAGTCTGAGAGCAGGCCCTGCCTAGTTGGGCCTCCAGATGAGAACACAGCCCACTGAGAACAGGCAACCTGACTGCAGCCGCGTGAGACCTGAGCAAAGGACCCAGCAGGCTGAGCCCTGACTCCACCCTACAGAAGCATGAAACAACAAACTGGTGTTATTTTAAGCCACGACATCCGTGGCCACCTGTTACACAGCACAGAAAGTCCTGCGTGTGCCTCAGATTAGGACTATACATGCCTGTATCAGAAAATAAAATTAATATTATTTTAAACATTTTTGGCCGGACACGGTGGCTCACGCCTGTGATCCGAGCACTTTGGGAAGCCAAGGCGGGCGGATCACCTGAGATCAGGAGTTTGTGACCAGCCTGGCCAACATCACAAAACCCCATCTCTACTAAAAATAGCTGGGTGTGGTGGCGCCCGCCTGTAGTCCCAGCTACTTGGGAGGCTGAGGCAGGAGAATCACTTGAACCCGGGAGGCGGAGGCTGCAGTGAGCTGAGGTCGTGCCACTGCACTCCAGCCTGGGCCACAGAGCAAGACTCCATTTCAAACAAACAAACAAACAAACAAACAAACATTTTTGCCCCACTTAGATTTTGTTTTGGTATAATGTCTATAGTAAGACCCCAATTTAAACCTTTCCCCGAATAGTTAACAAACTATCTTACAATGGATTGTTAAACTGTATGAATCCTCCTGTTCCTCACACTACTATGCAGTCAACCTGCCCCTCCCTCTCTCAGGTAGCTTTACCAAATGTGTGCTTCATTTATGTTTTCAAACTGTTGCCATTTCCTTAATTTGCTGTCTTTCTGGGGTTTTTTTCTGTATTTTATTCAATAATTTTTGGATTTATATAATCCTTCCGTAATTCCCTCATTTATGGCACAGTTCTATACTCTAGCCTTATAAGTGAAACGCTTTGTCTTTTCACTGTTATTATTTCTTGTTTAATAGCAACAACGCTGAATACCACGCTGAATACCACATGAGACGTGGATTCGAAACATCCCACCCCACACACGCTGACACCTCATCCCAGAGCCGGCTCTTTCCTCCTGGGCAAACCCAGTCATTCCCTCGGACAAGGAAACACAGCAAGGGCGCCCGTTACGCCCAGTGCCATTTCACCTGACATATCGGGGGAGGGAATGAGACCCGAAAGGGAACACATGCAGAGGCGCAGCTCCGGGAAAGGAGATCTGAGCTCCCTGCACCTGCAGATGGCGTCACAGCACACCTGGAGGGGCAGAGAAGCAGGCAGAAAAAGGACAGACAACAGGAGAATCCAGGAAAGCAGGAGGTCCTGAAATTAACAGACAAAACAACAGCCATCACAGACACCAACAACAACCAGGCGGAAGGCCTGCTGGAAGAGAAGGCCCGCTTCCAATGCAACAAGGAAAAAGGTAACCTCACAAACGACCTTTTGCATATGTGAACATTGTGTAAGAGAAAAACTTTAAGACATTCCTGAAGGAAACGAACAAAAGCTTTGAGTCCATGAAAAGACCTCTCTTGTTTCCAGGGACCATGACTCGGCGCCATAGAGCTGTCAGTCCTCTCCAAGCGAGCGCAGAAATAGCCCTGGCCTGTCCCACAGCCTGCCAGCGGCCCGCCCCGCCCAGCCCAAACCAGACAAGGTGATTCTAAAGTTCATATGGAAAAATAAACTATGACTCAAAATCCAAACACAATCCTTAAAAAGAGTGAGTCAACTCTAACTTTTTTTAAACTTTGGCATGGCAAAATCAAAAGACAAATGTCAAACTGGTTGAAAATATTTGCAATATATATCACAGATAATTAATCTTCTTGCAATTGAAAGAACTCTTAAAAGTCAAGGGAAAATACAAAACAAAACAAAACTGATGGAAAAACGGGCAAAGGACCCATAGAGGAGTCACAGAAGATCCCCAAATGGCGTCATACATGAGGAGCCTCCTCCCGCCAAGCTGGGAGTGGGGCGATGCCACCTTCCCTGTGACAGCAGCCTGGGCCCCCAGAGCTGATGGCACAAGAAGCGCCCAAGCTCACCTTGGTAATGTTCCTGCCCAAAATCTCTAAGTGAAAACCATGGAGCAACCAACTACCTAACTAACCACGGACAGGACACAGCTAACCACGGAGCGAGCAATGACCACAGTGACCCACACGGCAGGCTGCCCTAAAGACAAGTGGGCTAGACTCTTTCAGATGGCAATGCCAGAAAGAGCAAAGCAGGGGCCGAGATGAAAAGACTCAAACACTCACGACCTCCAAAGACGGCACGTGGCCCCTGTGTACATCCAGGAAGAGGAAGAGGGGACTCAACGCTACCGAGGCTGTCTGGAAGCAACGGGGTGCGGTGATTCTAGACGCGACGCTTGAGATCACTGCACCGAGGACCCATCGCTGGAGGGTGCGACCAGCATGGTGGTCGGAACATCCTCGAACGCAGGCCCCACTGACATCTTTACACGTGTCGCAATGTCCACACCTGTGTTCCAACAGTGTCTCCCCCACACTCCTCTGTGCCCCAGGAGGTGTTGGACACAGCCAGCCTGACTTCCCAGCCTCCCTGCCGGCAGACAGCTGCTGGAAACCACCTGCACTCCTAGCGCGGACAGTGTGGGGGACATCATGGAGGCCGCACTGTCCCTCCCCACACAGAACGGCATCATCACAGACGGAGACGATACTGTCAGTCCCCACACAGGACGGCGTCACCACGGATGAAGGCCACACTGTCCCTCCCCACAGGACGGCATCTGACCACTGCAGGAGGCCCCATCCCACAGGACGGCATCTGACCACTGCAGGAGGCCGCATCCCTGGCGTCCCTCGCCAGCCACATACCTTGACCAATTATTTCAAGCCAACTTCTGGAAAGCCCAGGTGCCATAACTCTCAGCCACCTTCGAGCCTCCACTTGTAGACCGTGTCCTTTTCCAGCCGTGTTGACAATGTGAAACCATCCGTGCAGGAGCCATGGGTCTCGTCGAGGGGCTCCCCGAGGCCTGGCATGGCATTGCACATCGGTGCCCTCCCACCACGCCCTGCTCCAGCCTCCTCTGTGACCTCCCTGTGCTGGCGCCAGGCGTGGCCCTGGGTGGAGGCTGTGGGCTCCCTGGCATGGGATAACCTGCGTCACCCCCTAACCCCACAACACCCCTCGCACTGCTGGTCTGCACAGGGCGAGAGTGGAAAGCCAGGAGCGTCTCTTGGAGTCCGAGGCCACCTCTGGTCTGTCTGCTCTCTGAAGGCCATGAGACAACACCGTTTGGGAGGACAGGGCAGCAGGGCCATCCCTCTCCCACTCACCAAGCACTGCCTGGGCCCTGGCTGGCAGGGAGCACTCGGGGTTCTGGGACACACAAGACCCACAAGCTGTGCAGTGCACACCGGCAAGAAACCTCTACAGGCAGAAGGCTTCCCAAGGCAGGACTCCGTCCCAACAGGAAGAAAATGCTGGAAGCAGTGGAGGCTGTGGCCAGTGGGGCCTGAGGAAGGACAGGAGGGGCGAGTGCCTCGGCTTGGACCGCGGCCCCTACCGGAGGCCCTGGCAAAGGGACCCTCAGGGTTTGGAACCAGGTGCCCACATTCTGACCCACCATCCAGGACCTTCTGCAAACTCCACCTTCCCTTTGCCTCAAGAACCCGCACAGCAAGCCTAGTGGGAAGGCACTCCCACAGCTTCCTCGAGCCCGCATGCGCACGTGGCCCTGCAGGGTGTGGGTGCCGCCTGTCAAACGACCCCAGCGCTCCCTCAGCAGGCAGGCAGAGTGAACGCCTGGTCAGAAGGACTAGTGGGCTTCAGAGACTGGGCAGGAACCCTGCACGTGGCGCAGATGTGGATTCCAATCCACAAAAGCCGGGAGGCCTGGGCAGCAGCCCCCACACCCTGGACCACACCCCACACTCCAAGAAACAGTGACCACTGATGGCGACACACACCAGAACGTGGGACCACACACCACACTCCAAGAAACAGTGACCACCGATGGCGACACACACCAGAACGTGGGACCACAACCCACACTCCAAGAAACAGTGACCAGCGATGGCGACACACACCAGAACGTGGGACCACATCTCACACTCCAAGAAACAGTGACCACCATGACAACACACACAGAACGCGGGACCACACCCCACACTCCAAGAAACAGTGACCACTGATGGCGACATACACCAGAAAGCGGGACCACAACCCACACTCCAAGAAACGGCAACCACCGATGGTGACACACACCAGAACGTCAACTCATTTCCTTCCAAAGACTTCCTTAAAACTTTCAAATACAAGTCATTTAAAAAAAAAGCACTGTGGGTGCCTTAACCCTGTAGACGCAGCACAGGCTAAGGCCTCCTGGGGACACAGGGTGGGCGCTGTGCTGGGGGGTGGGAACCCAGGGCCGTGCTGCTGATTCCTCAGGAAATCCTGCCCCGCACGACTCGCTTATCCCTGTGGAAAAGCATTTCCTTTCATGAGAAAAGTCCTCTTGTCTGTGCAGCCATAAATACATTGCAGCTAAAAATAGTTTTGTAAAAGGAAGTAACGACTGGGCCTTCCACCAAATGAGAAGCACAAACTGTGTCCAGGCGGTGCAGGAGGAAGGCCCGTGAGAAAGGACCCAGTCTGCAAGCTGCGTCTCCCGAGTAGGACAGAGAGCTGTCTCGAAATTCAGTTTTCTCTCAGAATATTATTCCTGTTAGCTGAACCTCACAGAGCAAGAGAACTATAAAAGAAAACGGGGACACAGAGGAACAGATACCTTCTGATGAGAGATAATTCAGAAATATCCTCCTCTTTCATCAAATACAGAGACAAAATCAGCTTAAGTCTACACATGATGGCAAATTTCTCCAAAAGATGTCTGCTAGCAAACTGAATCCACTGGGAAAAGGGCTGCATACCCTAGAATCTATTTAAAATGACAACTTATCATTAGAGAGGATCAAATCCTTTTTTTTTTTTTTTTTTTTTGAGATGGAGTTTTACTCTTGTTGCCCAGGCTGGAGGGCAATGGCGCCATCTTGGCTCACTGCAACCTCCGCCTCCCGGATTCAAGTGATTCTCCTGTGTCAGCCTCCTAAGTAGCTGGGATTACAGGCGTGCACCACCATGCCCGGCTAATTTTTTGTCTTTTTAGTAGAGACGGGATTTCACCATGTTGGTCAGGCTAGTCACGAATTCCTGGCCTCAGATAATCTGCCCGCCTCGCCTCGGCCTCCCAAAGTGCTGGGGGATTACAGGCATGAGCCACCATGCCCGGCCAAATTCTAAGAAACAACACAAGTATAACTTTGAAATCATGGCATACACAAAACGCAATTATCTACAGGCCCCGTTTCTGAACGGAATCCTCTGGCTAGCTTCTGAGCACGGCATACAAACAACAAAGAGGGAGAGGCTGGAGTTCAGGCAGGTTTAAACATTGGCCCAGAAATTTCGCCTGCTCCCCGCGTCCCAACAGCTCTGGTTACAGGGACCCTGTGGACAAAGGTTCCGTCTGGTATGGCCGCATCCTTTCCCCGTCATGATTTCTGACCTCGAATCACACAGGCCATGCCAGGATCCCTGCCAGCCCCACAGAGCACACCATGGGCTGTGCTGGCAGCAGCAGAAGCAGGCTGGGCCACCCAACTGCTCCTCAATCGGACCCCCTGCCACCCCTGTGAGGATGTACCAGCCCCTCCTGCCCAGACACGGCCCTCACTCCTGCTGCCAGCAGGTAACAGGTGAGGAACGGGCCCAAGCTGCCCTGGGTCCATCTCCTGTCCGCCCTCTGAGTTCTGTGGACACTGTTCATTGCCTACTGTTTTCACACTGGCTCTCTTGTTTTTTAAATGTGTTTGTATTATTTTTTAAAACTGAAAAAATCAAGTCATAGCACACTACATGGCTCAGCTGTGACTGGAATACACGCAGTCCTAGTGACAGTGATCTTGCTGATGACAGCGTAACGATGGCGGGGGAGGGGCCACCCAGGGGACGGGGAATGATGACATTGGTCTGCAGAAGCCGACAGATGATGAAAAACTAGCTCCAGCTCCGACTCCGACTCGCTATTTACAAACACAAAGTGGGCACAAGCAGAGAACCACAGCCTCGCCGCGCTGCGCCGCCTTCTGACGCGCAGGAGAGAACCGTGGCCTCGCCGCGCTGCGCCGCCTCCTGACATGCATGCATGTTTCTTTCTCTGTTCAACTTAAATGGAAATTGCTTTTCAAAAGTCAATCATACTTGTTTCAGAAATTTGGGGAAATTCAGCGGGAGGGAAGCACAGAAGAGTTAAAATCACCAGCAGCGCCATCACCACGAGGCTCTGGCGCACGTATCCGTAACCAGCCATTTCACTCCAGATTCCAGTGACTTCACAGGAGCCCGTCGTCACCGGCCACCCTTCCAGGCCACCCATGGTGACCTCCAGTCCCCCATGCCAAGTGACGCCTCCAGATGTTCCGCAGCACCAGACACTCGGCTGACCACTTCCCACAGAGGAAGTCAACTGGGTTTCTGGGGAACGGCGTGTCGTGCCCACCCTGCCAGCCATGCGGCACTCTGTGGGGAAGGGTGACGAGGTCGCCACGGAGCTGTGAGCCCCTAGGGAGGCAGCCCCGCCCATGGTCCAGAGAGCCCCCTGCTCTCCTCACAAAAAACCAAACGTGTGCCAAGTCCCCGTCCTGGAGGGTGCTGGCTTCTGTTCTGCTGCTGACAAAACCCAGCTGCAGTAACAGAGTCGGAGGTGGGGGAGACGTGGAGAAGGCCCGAAGTCTGCTTCTCCTGACAGAGAGCCACCTCTGATGGCCCAGGAGGGTCAGCACCCCAGAAGCACAGGGCGCGTCCAGCCCCAGCTGCACGAGGCCAGTCTCTGCCCGGGTCTCCAGAGGCACACCCATTTCCCAAAGGGCAGACGTGTCCCTAAGATCACCTGACCACTGGCCCCCGGACAGAAGCGCTGGCCAGGTCTCAGGGACAAGCGGCGAGGTCCAGGGAGGCCTCCAGTTCCAAGGAGGTGAGGCTGCTTCACAATGACCCAGAGGGAAGCCCAGACACACACAGCACCCTCAGGGTGGGATCCACGCTTGGACAGAGGCTGCAGTGTCATCTGCTCCTGCTAGCAGGAACCAGCAGTGGACACCCGAAAGGACACTCCACCTGCAGGGCAGCCGCTGACGACACACATCTGTGGGGAGCGTCACACAGAAAATGAAATAAGACAGGGGCCACCCCAGAAGCAGAGGATGTGGAAAAAGAATGAAGTGCAAGAAAAGGATGAAGAAAGAGATGGTGGTATCTGAGGCTCCGTGAGACCTGGGAATCCAGGGTTGTCATCATTGCTCCTGGCTTTGCCCTGGTAATGCTTCTCACCATTGTGGAGCTTCCAGTCCAGCACACAGGCATCCCCCGTAGCTGAGGGGACACATTCCAAGACCCCCCCAGTGGACGCCTGTAACGGCAGCTAGTACCAAACCCCATATACACCATGGTTTTTCCTATACATACATACATATCCATGATAAAGTTTAACATTAGGTACAGTAAGAGATAAATAATAACTGATAATAAAATAGAACAACTAGGACAATATACGGCAAAAGAAGTTACATGAATGTGCTCGCACTCGCGCTTTCTCTCGCTCTCTCAAAATATCTTACCTAGTTTCTGACCGCAATGACATAAGGTACCTGAAACCATGGATGAGGGAGGACTACTGTACTTGTATACAAATGATTTCATTTTATTTCATTTTTAAGAACATATTTTATTTAGGTACCTGTTAATAACTTTGTATAAAAAAACTTTTGGCTCAGTTACATGACTTCTAATTTCATTTTATTGTATATGTAGTCAATGAATTTTAAAATTGCTTCCCCAAAGCACACTTTTAATCAAAACCTGGAATCAACTGCAGTCCTGTTAAAACTGCGACCTTCTAGAAGCCCCTGAAGGTCTGATTAAACAAGTTCCTTGGAAATAACTGTTCCATGTCACCAAGAAAACAGAAAACAGAAAAATCCCAGCACTTTGGGAGGCCTGAGGCCAGGAAAGACCAGTCTAGACAACACAGTGAAACCCCCATCTCTACAAAAAAATTAAAAGCTTAACCAGGCTTGTGCCTATAGTCCCATCTACTTGGGAGGCTGAGGCAGGATGACTGCTTGAGCCTAGGAGGTTGAGGCAGGGAACTGTGAGTGGGCCACTGCACTCTAGCCTGGGTGACAGAGGGAGACCCTGTCTCAAAAATAAGTAAATTAACACAAAAACAGACAATTTTAAAAATTAACAATTTTTTTTAGTTCTTAAATAGATTAGCAAAACTAATAAGCCAGTAGGTAGAATGATCAAGAATAAAAGACACAAATTACCACTATCAGGAATCAAAGAGGGGTTATCACTATAGACATTAAAAGAATAATATGAGAATATGTGAACATTGTATCAACAAATTGATAATTTACATGAAGTAGACTGATCATTTAAATAATTTTTAAGTTTATGTTTTCCTCAGAAAATAAATTTAAAATATATTTATTCCTTAAAAAACAAAACTTGGCACATAATGAATAGAAAACTTTTATCTATTAAAGAAATTTGAGTCATATCAAAAACCTTCCCACAAAAAAAGGCACAGATGGTTTCACTGGTAAATTCCATTAAACACCTAAAGAAGAAACAGCATCAATCACAGATGGCTCTTTTCAAACACAGAGGAGGGATGACACTTTCCAAATGGTTAGTGTTTTCCAAATGGTTGGTGGTTAATCTCTGAAGCCAGCATAACCCCAACACCAAAACCGGCAAAGGCATCACAGAGGCAAGGCAAAGAAACAACATTACAGGTCAACAGCTCTCACTGATGTGTACACAAAGCAAGGGCAGAAATGTTTGTTTGTTTGTTTGTTTGTTCTGGAGACGCAGTCTTGCTCTATAGCCCAGGCTGGAGTGTCGTGGCGCAGTCACAGTTCACTGCAGCCTCTACCTCCTGTGCCCAAGGAATCCTCCTACCTCAGCCTCTGGAGTAGCTGAGACTACAAGCACACACCACTGCAACTGGCTGATTTTTTTAATTTTTTGTAGAAATGGGGTTTTACCACGTTGCCCAGGCTAGTCTTGAACTCCTGGGCTCAAGCTATCCGCCCCCCTTGGCCTCCAAAAGTGCTGGGATTACAGCAATAAACCACTGTGCCTGGCCCAAAATAGATTTTTTAAAGGAATATAATGTGACCAAGTAGGGGTTAGCCCAGAAACACTAGTTTCGTTTAACTAAACAGCGATGTAATTTACCAAGTTAGCCAAATAAAGGAGAAAGTGTGGGGTCACGTTAGCACATACAGAAAAACCATCTGAGCACATTCGACATTCCTCGACGGCGAAAACGCTCAGCAGAGTATGAAATACAAGGAAACCTCCTCCCTTTGATAAAGGACATTTTTTTTTTTAAAGGAACAATGACAAAAACACTCCAGATACTCACATCCTTACTGGTGAACCACTCAATACTTTCCCCGAAAGGAAGAGCATGGCAGAAAGGCCCAGCTCCCCACGCCGACTCACCCGATGCCAAAGGTCCTGACCAGCCCAACGAGGCAGGAAAAGAAAGGAACGGCCTCAAGCCTGGAGAAAAAGGTGCTCACATGGCTCTATCTGCAAATGCCAACTGTTTACAACTGTCACCCACGGCTCCACAGAAGCTACGGTTCAGAGGGGCCATAGGACACGAGATTAGTACACAACCATGCATCTGCATCTCCATTCACTAATAGTAAACAACTGGAAAATCACACGTTTAAAAATACCATTTATAATGACATAAAAAACATAAACTACGTAACAATTCATTTACAAAAGACACAAAACCACTACACTGAAAATCACAAAATGCTGCTGAGAAAAATTAAAGACACCCTCAGTAAATGAGGTGACAACCATCTTCATAATCAGAAGACTCAGCATTGTGAAGACATCACTCCCCCGCACACTGATCTACGATTCCAAGCAATACCAGCCAGAAGCTCAGCAGGCACTCTGCAGAAATTGACAAGATGCTCTAACATCTATGTCGGAATGCAACAGGCCTGGAATATCCAAAGCAGCCTCTGCAAGAATCAAGTTAGGGATGTGCACTGACTGTAAGACTTACTCTAATGCCAACACAACTGAGGCATGTGGACCTGGAATAAAATTCAATGGACTGATGGAGCAGAATAGCGAATCCAGAAATAAAGCACACTTATACCTGGATTTTCAACAAAAATACCAAAGCAATCCAATGGAGAAAAACAAAGTATCGTGCCTGTAAACCCAGCACTTTGGGAGTTCGATGCAGGAGGGCTGCTTGAGCCCAAGAGTTTGAGACCAGCCTGGGCAAGATAGTGAGACCCCATCTCTACAAAAATTATTTTTAAAAGTAGCTGGGCATGGTGGCGCATGCCTTTAGTCCCAGCTACTCAGGAGCCTAAGGTGGGAGGATCGCTTGAGCCCGGGAGGTCAAGGATGCAGTGAGCCGTGTTGCCACTGTACTTCAGCCTGGGTGACAGAGCAAGACCCTGTCTCTTTAAAAAAAAAAAAAAAAAAAAGTTATCAACAAACAGTGGTGGAACAGCTGAATTCCATATGGAAAAAATAATAATAAACTTCAACCACTATCTCACATCATACACAAAAATTAACTTGTGATAAGTCAAAAACCCAAATGTAGACAGTAAAAGCATATAGCTTCTAAAGAAGGCAAAAAGGAAGAAGGTCTTCATGGCCTGGCAGTGAACACAGATATATTCTGCCTCAGAAAGCGAGAACCATAGAAGAATCATAACTAAAAACTGCTGCTCATGGAAACTGCCATTAAGAAAATGAGGCCGGGCGCAGTGGCTCATACCTGTAATCTCATCACTTTGGGAGGCCGAGACGGGCAGATCATGAGGTCAGGAGATCGAAACCATCCTGGCCAACATGGTGAAACCCCCGTCTCTACTAAAAATACAAAAAAATTAGCTGGGCATGGTGACAGGCACCTGTAGTCCCAGCTACTCGGGAAGCTGAGGCAGGAGAATGGCATGAACCCAGGAGGCAGAGCTTGCAGTGAGCCGAGATCGCGCCACTGCACTCCAGCCTGGGCAACTGAGCAAGACTCTGTCTCAAAAAAAAAAGAAAATGAACAGGCAAGCCACAGACTGGGGGAAAGTATCACAAAATATACATCTGACAAAGGACTGGTATCCAGAGTACATAAAGGCCCCCTGCAACTCCCTAACGAAAACAAACAACTCAAAAAAAATGGGCAAAAGATATGAACAGACACTTTGCAAAAGAAATACATGAATGGTCAATAAGCAGCTGAAAAGATGCTCACCTCCTTAATCCTCAAAGAGATGCCAATAAAACCTACAGTGAGGTCCCACTGCACACCCGCCAGAAGAGCTAAAACTGAAAAAACAAGAACACCAAATGGGGGAAGGGTGAGGAGCAGTCAAGGCCTCCACGCACTGTCAGAGGAAGAGACCAGCAGAATTGGCCTGGGAAAGTTCCAGAGCCTCTGATAAAACTAAATGCACATCTACTCCAGGACATTGCCACTTCACTCCTAGGTAGAATTGCCTAAGAAAATAAAAATAGATGTTCACAAAAAATGTGTACAAGAATGTTCATAGAGTCTTTGCTCATCATAATTAAAACATGCTATCATTGTAAGTTTCCTGAGGCCGGACAGGAAACTCCTGTCGACAGGAGAACAGCTAAATGTGCTATGGCATAGTCATACACTCCCACAAAGGACTACTATTCAGCCATGAAAAGGAACAAACCTCTGGTTCGGAGAAGAATATGGACCCATCTCAAAAATGTCTGGCAAGAGACTGAAGCCATATGGAGAGAGGGCATCTGTGAATGTGGCGTCCTCCGACAGGCGAAGCTACGTGAGGGAAAACCCACAAGAGCCACCTCCCTGGGAGGGCCAGGGAAAGGTATGGGGGAGGGGTCTTGGGTGATGGTCAAGCTTTGTGTTTGTTTTGATAACAATTTTGGTTAAACAGACACGTCAAAACTCAGCAAATGTGTACTTAGGATCTGTATATTTTGCTGTGTATAATTTTTATGTCAAAAGAAAAACATTAAATACTGAGCTCTAGCTAGTGATATTCACACAGAAGCATTTGGGGGAAGTATGCTGATGTCAGCAATTTACCTGGAAATGCATCAAAATCAACAATGACTGATGGACAGAGGAAAATGTGCTAAAACAAGTAGAGTAAAACATTAATGATAGAATCTAAGTGGCAGATAAACAAGTGTTAGCTATAAAATTCTTTCAGCCTTGTAAGTCAAAATTTTTATAAAACAATCTCACATGTGTCTTTAAGAATCAAAAATAAAAGGGCTGAAGTTGATGATCTCTAGGGCCCTTCCTGTGACTCTTTCCCCTAAGCATGGCCAATTCCAGGACAGTATTAGTCCGTTCTCACACTGCCATGAAGACTTACCTGAGACTGGTAATTCATGGAGAATAGAGGTTGCACTGACTCACAGTTCCACAGTCTGTACAGGAAACATGGCTGGGAGGCCTCAGAAAACTTACAATCATGGCGGAAGGTGAAGAAGAAGAAAGCACGCCTTACCATGGTGGAGCAGGAGATAGAGTGTGAAAGGGGAAGTGCCACACACTTTTAAACAACCAGATCTCACAAGAACTCACTCACTATCACGAGAAATCGGCCCCCAGGATCCAATCACCTCCCACCAGGTCCCTCCCCCAACACTGGGGTTACAATTTGACGTGAGATTTGGGTGGGGACACAGAGCCAAACCATATCAGGGACCCAGCAGGCTTTCTTTTCCTTCTTAAACAGAACCCACTGCAAGTTGCCAAATAATTCTACTCTCAAGCCACCCAGATGCAGCCCCTGGAACCTTCTGGGCAGATTATTCAATGAAAACTCAGCCCTGGGAGCTGCCAGCAAAGCCCCTGCCAGCAGTGGGAGGAAGGTGGGCCACAACCCGGGGGCAGACTCCACTCCAGTATCGGGAGTGGACCAGCCTAGGCAAGATAGCAAGACTCCATCTCTACAAAAAAAAAAAAAACTTTTAAACAGGCAAGGCATGGTGGCTGAGCTTCAGGTTTGCAAAAGGGGAGCACCAAGAACCAGGCGCCACGGAGAGGCAGGTGGATGACGAAGCAGGGGTCAGACGAAAATAGGGCCCTGTGAATTAAAAACCTGCTCAATCTTCCGGGCTTCTCCTCTCCTTCACCCCATCAATCGCTATGGGAGGCCAGCCCTGGGCAGCACCAGAGTATCATCTCCCAGCCTCACTGAGGCCCCACCTACAGCAAAGGGACAGGGCAGGATGGCCGGGGAAGCAGGCCCCACCACCGCAGGGCAAGGCTGGAGCCAGCCGCAGAAGCACAGAGCTTCTGGAGAATGGAGCTCACCCTTCTAGTGTCCCTGGCCCACAGCAAGCATCAGCCCAGTTCATCCTCACACAGACCATTGGGATGCCCAGAGTCCACTCCTTGGCTCCGGCCCCCTCTCTGCCCCTTCCCTGCCCTGCACAATCCCACACCCCTACTGCTCCCACCAGAGCCACCGGTGCAGCTGCTTTCACCACAGTACTGGGGCGGGGGGACTCAAAAGGAGGAAAACGGAGTTCATGCCCTCACTTCCCAACAGGTACGCCTCACTCAGGGGCACGACAGCCACCCACAGCTGCAGCCCCAGACACCAGGAGCCCCACTCGCCACCCCGCCCCGCGGTCCCCTCCGTCACCGGCCCACAGGCTCCACCTCCCCCCACACTCTCCTTCCCCCGCCTCCAGCTAGCCCAGCTTGGAGCCCGCAACCGGCGCGGCTCTGCCTCCCTGCCACTCAGAAGCCCAGCTCATTTCACAGCTGCCCGGCACGCACCAGCCTTGAGCCACACAAAGGGGCATCAGGCCCCTTCCTACATCACCGCAACAAGTTCAACCATACAGGTGTGGAAACCGAGGCACAAGAGGACGAGCAGCTTCCCTAGGGCCAATGAGAGGCAGCTCCAGCACTTAAACCCAGAGCCTGTGAGGCCCGACCTCTACCCTGCACCACAGAAGGCAGGCGGACTGAGCACCTCTGCAGTGCCTGCCACCCTCCCTAAGACTACGGCCGCAGCCCCTCTGCTGGCACCCCCTCCAGCCACCATGCCATTCCCTGGGGCTGCCCACCGTCGAGAGTCTCCTCTCCTCTCCTGGAGCCCAGACCCAGCCCCTGCACACTCTCCTGGTGTCCTGGAGCCTGGACCCAGCCTCCACATACTCTTCTGGGTGTCCTGGAGCTCGGACCCAGCCCCCACATACTCTCCTCCCCTGAAGCCCAGACCCAGCCCCCGCACACTCTCCTGGGTGAGACGCCCCACACACTCTCCTGACAGAGCCCCTCCAGCCCCCGCACACTCTCCTGACAGAGCCCCTCCAGTCCCCGCACACTCTCCTGGATGAGACTCCCCGCACACTCTCCTGACAGAGCCCCTCCAGCCCCCGCACACTCTCCTGACAGAGCTGCTCCAGTGCAAGGTCTTGCTCACCTTCACCTGCCGGGGACTGGCACGGGGGCGGCATGCAGAGTGGGCACTGAATGCCGGCCGAGGTGCTCCACATGCACCCAGTGGAGAGAACCAGGGTCTTTGATAAGGCTCGGGCTTGTGCTACAAAGATCCCCATAGACAGAGCACCACACAGCCACAGGGGCAGAGGTGGAGCGCCTGGACCCTTGAACCTTCAATGCCCAGATTTATATGGCACTGAGCTAAAACCAGACACAAAAAAGGAGAGGGTTCATTTTTATTGCTGTCAAATCAAAGTTCTGCAACACTTTCTGTAGAGAGCATAATAATCTCCCAATGGTGAAATAACTTCCCCTCACACGTTAATTTTAGAATCCTGGTTTACTTCATTCAATGCAGTTCAATACTGAGCCTAATCTCAAAACAAATTTTGAGTGAGGCCAAATTGCTGACATTTAGCAAACATGCCTACAACTAAAATAACCCAAGAAATACCAGTGTCACGGCTGTCCAGCTGCCAGCTTCATGGAGCACCCCCAAATGGCACAGCTGAACCCCTCGAGGACAGGGAGCCCACACTCCCTTCTCAAACCAGGAGTCTGACGGCTGCCGAGTAACCAACGAGGCTGGAACCGAGAGCAGCGCCCATGGGCGAGAGAGGCTGCTGTCCAGTGACCAGGAGAGGTCACTAGGAGGCCACGAACCACCGCTGCCCACAACACCCAATGCCTCCCTGAGACAGGCATGCTGGCTGCACTTTCCCACCTCATCCATCTCCTCAGGGGCCCTCCTGTCCTTCCTTTGGGTCTCAGTGTCACCTCCAAGGGTCTCAATGTCACCTCCAAGGGTCCCTATGTCACCTCTAAGAGCTGCCACTTTCCACCTGACCCCATGGGGGGCTCAGGCCCCTCCCTGATGGCCACCAAAACAGGGGCCACCAAAAGATGGGCCTCAAGACAGCAGGGGCCCACTGTTTTCATGGCCATGTCCCGTTCCCTGGCCCGGGGCCGGGCATGCGCAGCCCGAGATAAACGTGTGAACAAAAATCACAGATACAGGAATGCCACCTGTAGGATGCCAGGTACCCCACCACCTTTTGACCCCATATCTCCTGTGTAAACTTAACTCAGATACCAACTAGGATATGCAGGCCGGCTTGGAGGATGATCAGAGTCCCGTCCTGAAATGCTCAGGAGCAGACACTGCAACAGAACGTGATGCACCACGGGCGGCGTGCCGGGGGGGAGCAACCCACCTGCACTCAGGGCACCACGACCCAGTCTTTGCCTTCCAGCTTCTCTCC
Organism: Homo sapiens; assembly: GCF_000001405.40. Taxonomy (NCBI): domain Eukaryota; kingdom Metazoa; phylum Chordata; class Mammalia; order Primates; family Hominidae; genus Homo; species Homo sapiens. Next base: position 132,577,164 of record NC_000010.11, on the reverse strand, counting down.
AGGTGCAGCGGCCCTGCCTGGGGGTCCCTCTGCCCCCTCCACTCCTGGCCCCTTCATTCTGCTGAGCCTCAGCCAAAACCCCTTCCCCACAGTCCTGCCACCTTTCAGAGGTCCCTCAGAGTTTTCTGGAGCCCAGCACAAGCCCTCTCCCCATGGGTCAGAGGCACCACAGGTGCGTTCAAACCGTGGCACTCAGCCCACCACTGGGCTCACAGCAATTCAGCGGGTGTGACCAGCATTCTGGGAACAGGGCAGACACCGGCAGAGCACATCCTGGTGGCCCTCGTCAGTCTCACTCTAAAACCCGGGTTCTGGGGTGTGAGTCTGGGTGCGACCCTCGGCTCCCCATCCCAGCTGGGGACTCTCCCAGGGTCTGTGGCCGGTCAGCACAGGCAAGACGCTGGGTGCATCAGAGATCTGCTTAATTCAGAAGGTAAAATGAGGTGACAACCATTTATTTAAGAAGGTAAACATTTAATGCTTGAAAGTAACATATGCAAGTTTGTATTCCAAGATCATTTAGAACACTCTCGTTTGCATCCTGTTAGCTGGTTGGGAAAAAAGGTAATGAATGATATCATGTGCAGTTTAGGCCCCAGAGAGGGTGGATGCAGTGGGGGACGCACACTGGGGACAGGAGCAGAGGACCCCTCCCAGCTGCAAGGCCTCAGGGAGCCACCACAGCCCAGAGCCCAAGGCTAGATTCTCTCCCTCTTTCCATCCAGGGCCAGGACTGTGTGGAGAACCCACTAGAACCTGCAGCCCCACACCTGAAAGGAAAACCCGCTCGGGGTGCCACCCAGCACCTGTCCAAGCCCGCATTCTGAACCTCTCCATACTCTCCTCTCCCTGCAGACAGGAGCTGTGCTGTGAGCCTCAGGAAGCAGACAGAGAAGTGCTGTCCTGGGGGCAGGAGGGGCACACCAGCACCTCCCACCTCTGGCAAGAGGGCTGGAGAGGAGCAGAGCCACAGCCCCGGACCACGGCTCCCTCACCTGGCCTCAACCTGGAGCCTGACCTGCACAGGGAGGGCCCAGGGCTGGGCCGTGATCTCAGAGGCTCAGCACACACACTGGCAGGGAAGGGCAGAGTCTGGTCACCAAGGAGCTACAGCAGCCCAGTGGGTAGCTGCAGGTCAGGTGGCATCTGTGGTGGAGGGATGTGGGCAGGGGGCAGTGGGTGAAATCATTTCCCCAGAAAGTACTCGTGGTTCAGGAGGAGAGGGGAGCCACCAGCTCCACAGTCCACAAGAGCCGCGATGTCAGTGGCATCAAGCAGGTCCTTTGGCAGGGAGTGTGAGAAGCAAACAATCATAAAGAAAGAAAACAGCCACAGAGCAGGCGGTGTCACTAGGGGACCACACACTCCCCACTGCCAGGGCCCTGGGCCGCACACACCACGCGGGAGCCCACGGCCAGAGGGACACAGGGAACCGGGGAAAGGCTGTCCTGAGGGCCAGGCGCTGAGGCGTCAGGAGTTCCTTGTCTAAGCTGGTGCAGGATTCCTCCTCGCCAAGATAAACACTGTTTACGGATTTCAAATAAACGCACTTCCACAGAGAAGCCAAGAAATAACTGGCTCCGCTGCTTGTGGTTGGGTTAGGGAAGTAGGATAGTGCTCATTGCTTTCCCCTTTTCACCAGTTTCCAAATGATTGTGAATGTGGTTAGATCGGTTTGGTTACTAATTTTATGATGTTTAACCAGACTGACAGTGACGTGCAGGCCCCTGTGGTGCCTGGTGCCTCAGCCTGTACTCCCCTCCCATCCTGACCCTGTGAGCTGCGGGGGGCTGGGAGCAGGCTAGCCACATGTCAGTTCTGCACAAGCCTTTCTGGGAGCTACACATCAGGTAAGAGGACCAATCCCTCCCTCAGGCAGAAACCAGGTGTCGTCCAAATGCCAAAAGCAGGCAGACATCAGGCGGCCGCCCTTCAGCACACAGGTCAGGGTTGCGATGTGTCCAGGCCGGTGCAAACGCCAGCCTGCGGAGGAAGAATGCAGCATTCAACAGAGTCCCAGCGGCTGGACAGGGAGCCTGAAGGCTGGGTCACCTGTCACCTGTCACCCTGTGGACCTGGCATCATGTGTTTTCCACGGACACCCCGAATCCGGAGCCCCCGGGAGGACTCCGCAGACCATATGCTGAGGTGTGCTTTGCGTTTCTATCGTCAGGTGGGCTGCAGGCTTCCAGGCTAGACAGCTCCTTACCACCAGAAGTCCGTGCCTACCAGCTGCCTCACGCCCCAAGGCCCAGCAACAAGGACAAGCACCTCCCCAGAGCTTCCGGAAGGCTCTCACAGAAACCACATTCCAGGCCTTTTAAAACGAAAAACACCCCCCAGCTACTCCAGAGGCTGAGGCAGGAAAATGGCTTGAACCCAGGAGGCAGAGGTTGCAGTGAGCCAAGATCCCACGACTGCACTCCAGCCTGGGCAACAGAGCGAGACTCTGTCTCAAAAAAAAAAAATACTGAGACCCCATCTCTACAAAAAATAAAATAAAATAAAATAAAATAAAATAAAATAAAATAAAATACAAAATTAAAAAAAAAAGAAAAAAAAGAGAAAAACACCCTCCCTAAGACCTCTGTTCACCCCTCCCTGTGTGAGGCCCAGGAGGCATCAGTAAACAGAAACAAGGCCGGCCCTCACACAGCAGGTACACCCCAACATCTCAACAAAACCTCACACAGGACACACACCCAACATCGCAACAAAACCTCACACGGCACACACACCCCAACATCTCAACAAAACCTCACACAGGACACACACCCCAACATCTCAACAAAACCTCACACGGCACGCACATCCCAACATCTCAACAAAACCTCCCACGGCACGTACAACCCAAAATCTCAACAAAACCTCCCACGGCACGCACACCCCAACATCTCAACAAAACCTCCCACGGCACGCACACCCCAACATCTCAACAAAACCTCCCACGGCACGCACACCCCAACATCTCAACAAAACCTCCCACGGCACGCACACCCCAACATCTCAACAAAACCTCCCACGGCACGCACACCCCAACATCTCAACAAAACCTCCCACGGCACGCACACCCCAACATCTCAACAAAACCTCCCACGGCACGCACACCCCAACATCTCAACAAAACCTCCCACGGCACGTACACCCCAACATCTCAACAAAACCTCCCACGGCACGTACACCCCAACATCTCAACAAAACCTCACACGGCACACACACCTCAACATCAACAAAACCTCACACAGCACACACACCTCAACATCAACAAAACCTCACACGGCACACACACCCCAACATCTCAACAAAACCTCACACAGCACACACACCCCAACATCTCAACAAAACCTCACACGGCACACACACCTCAACATCAACAAAACCTCACACGGCACACACACCCCAACATCTCAACAAAACCTCACACGGCACGCACACCCCAACATCTCAACAAAACCTCACACGGCACGTACACCCCAACATCTCAACAAAACCTCACACGGCACGCACACCCCAACATCTCAACAAAACCTCACACGGCACGCACACCCCAACATCTCAACAAAACCTCACACGGCACACACACCCCAACATCTCAACAAAACCTCCCACAGCACACACAACCCAACATCAACAAAACCTCACACAGCACACACACCCCAACATCTCAACAAAACCTCACACGGCACGTACACCCCAACATCTCAACAAAACCTCACACGGCACGTACACCCCAACATCTCAACAAAACCTCACACGGCACGCACACCCCAACATCTCAACAAAACCTCACACGGCACACACACCTCAACATCAACAAAACCTCACACAGCACACACACCCCAACATCTCAACAAAACCTCACACAGCACACACACCCCAACATCAACAAAACCTCACACAGCACACACACCTCAACATCAACAAAACCTCACACAGCACACACACCCCAACATCTCAATAAAACCTCACACGGCACGTACACCCCAACATCGCAACAAAACCTCACACGGCACACACACCCCAACATCTCAACAAAACCTCACACGGCACACACACCTCAACATCAACAAAACCTCACACAGCACACACACCCCAACATCTCAACAAAACCTCACACGGCACGTACACCCCAACATCGCAACAAAACCTCACACGGCACGCACACCCCAACATCTCAACAAAACCTCACACGGCACGTACACCCCAACATCTCAACAAAACCTCAGTATCTACAAAAAGTAGCTGTGTATGAAATAAACCGAGCTGATGTTTCTTTAAACAAGTTCTTTCAATGGGATTCCAGAGGCCCAGGTCTTGCATTTCAGCAATCAGCAGAGCAAGGGAAACACTCCAAGGCACGCTGCAGACAGACGCCCAGCAGAGGCAGGGCCAGAAGCAACACCAGGTTAAGTGGCACAAACTTTCCCTCAGCAACAGTGTCCTCTGAATCCTGTCCTGTTATAAACGCTACCGAGTAAAGCCAGAACAAGCACACTAGCCCATTACCAGGACTAGAGCATGAGAACCAGCAGTACCAAAAACACTTCCCAAGGGCTAGACACATGAAAAAGAGCAAACGGCACATCCCCACCAAGAGCCCTGGGTCACGCTGCTTCACAGGGAAAGCAGCCCTGGGCAGCCTCAGCATCCCTCCCAGGGAAAGCAGCCCCGGGCGGGCGTGCTCAGCATCCCCCTCCCCCAGGACAGCACCAGCACAGCCCTACGAAAGGCCCCACCCCCAGAAACCACGACTCCTCCCAGGCAAGCTGTGCAGCTCAGGCACCTCCCTGCAAAACAGAAGCTCAGGGAAGGCCTCTGGTCCAGGTGAGGGGCCCCACACCAGGGGCATCTTGCCACCAGGGGCATCTTGCCACCAGGGGCATCTTGCCAGCTGAGAAACTCCGACATTCTTCTGAAGGCCCCCCCATGGGCCACAGGCGTTTTCCTCTGAGTATCACAATGGTCCCTCCGGCCAGCCTCTCGGCACACCTGGGCCAATACCCTGTGGGTTTCCGGCCAGGCTCTTGGATGAGTCACCTTTTCCTAGACTATCTGCGGTGCCAGACATGAGCTGTCAAATCCCCAGTGTGTAAGTCCCAAGAGGGCTCTGCAGGCTCGTCCTGTGCTGCATGCTACTCAGCAGGCCTGAGTCTCTTCTAGTCAGGAGGGACCACAGGAAACAGTGAGACAGAGGGGCACAGCAGTGGGGGACAGAGGTGGTGGTCAGGGTGCGGCCCACTCTGCCTCTAGCCCAGTCGGTCGTTAACAAGCTCAGATGCCAGAGCCAGCCCCAGCTCAGTTCACACCCTGCCCCCTCCACCTGCTACCGCAGGGCCTCACACTGGCTGCTCACTCGCTAGCCCCTGTCTTTCCATCTGTGCAATGGAGCAACACAGCACAGGCATCAGGGCTGTGGAGATGATAGGTCTCCCTTCAGACACTCGAGGTCCTTACAGCACGCACGTCAGGGCTGCGGGGATGACAGGTCTGCCTGCAGACACTCCGGGTCCTTACGGCACAAACGTCAGGGCTGACATACCTAGAGACACACCACATCCTTACAGCACTATCTGGCACATAAAGGACATAAATATCAGCTGCACTTTTTTTAAATTTAGCTAAGCTCCTTAATAGCTCTGTGTAGTCCAAAGTTGGTGGTTTTGATTATCAGTGGTCCTGAGTGACCCAGAACCACACACAGCGGCAGGAGCTGGGCCTCTGTGTTCACCCAAAGGGAACTGAAAGAAGCCCTTCCCCGCAGCTGGGGAGGACAAGGCCCAGACAGGCCCATGTGGCAGAGCCCGGCGTGCCAGCAGAGAGGGTAGGCAGGTCCCAGCAGTGTGATGAGGGATGGGTGTGTCCTTGCGCCAATGGCCCTCCTCCTCTGCTCGGCAGGAGCCTCTGGCCTCGCTGCTTTGCTAGGCGATCTCTCCTTTTCTCCCTCTTGCTGTTCACCTCATTCAGCAAAAGGCACCTGCCTCATGCTGCATTCCCAGGTAGCTGCTGTCAGGGCCAGGGAAGGTGTCCAAAGGGCCCAGGGCGGAGCCCACGGTGAGGAGGGCCCAGCAGGTGGGCGTGCACTGTGCCCAGCTGGACCTGGCCAGGCAGCAGGAGGGGTTTGGAGAATGTTCCAACGCCCCGAACCCACGGGAGTAGGCTGTGGTGGGGAGGGAGTGCCTCGTTTTCATCCCTCAGCCCCCACCCACCAGGAGAGCCAGGCAGGCTGCTGCCGTGTGATGCGCCGCTGTGCCGATGAGAGGCGACCTGAGAGCAGCAGCGGCCGGAAGGACGGCCCTCTATCCACATCGCAGCACGAAGCTCACTGGCACAGAACACCCCCACCTCCTGCTGTCCTGGCAGCCCAGAAACACCCAGCACCAGCCAGTCACCCAGAAGTGTCACCACCGTATGGGTGTCCCCAGCCACCACTTCCAAATGGCTCAGTTGGTCCCTTGGTTTTATTGTTGGTGCACTGGAATTCTTACAAAAAAAAAAAAGTGTTTTGGTACTTAGAAACACAAGAGCTGAAAACGAAATATTCAAAGCAAACACCCACAATGAAGATTCAGTGGCCAAGTTGCCCAGTTCTCCCATGAGTCTGTGTGTGGTCAGCACCAGCAGCAGCACCAGGCCAGCGGGGGTTCAAGGACCCAGTGACAGCTAGAGAAGCCTTGCCACCCCTTTCTCCCCTCCCCAGACAGGATCGCAGAGGGACTCCACATACCTCGTCGGAAGGAAAACCCTCCAGCTCCACCCGAACTCCTCCCGCTTCCCAGGGCCAGAGATGAAACTGATGGATACGAAGGTGCCCACGGGGCATCCACAGAAGGGCTACAGTTAACAGTGAGCCCAAATGGTCATCTGGTTCTATGAGAGCTCACAGCTCAAGGCAAACGTGCAGTCACCAACAAGAAAATATCAGCAGAGCGCAGGCTCACACCTGTAATCCCAGCACTTTGGGAGGCTGAGGCGAGTGGATCACCTGAGGTCAGGAGTTTGAGACCAGCCTGGCCAATAAGGCGAAACCCCGTCTCTACTAAAAATTCAATTAAAAAAAACAGTGGGGGCCCAGCGCGGTGGCTCACGCCTGTAATCTCAGCACTTTGGGAGACTGAGGTGAGTGGATCACCTGAGGTCAGGAGTTCGAGACCAGCCTGGCCAATATGGTGAAACCCCATCTCTACTAAAAATGCAATTTAAAAAAAACAGTGGGGGCCCAGTGCGGTGGCTCACACCTGTAATCCCAGCACTTTGGGAGGCCGAGGTGAGTGGATCACCTGAGGTCAGGAGTTTGAGACCAGCCTGGCCAATATGGTGAAACCCCATCTCTACTAAAAATTCAATTAAAAAAAAACAGTGGGGGCCCAGTGCGGTGGCTCACACCTGTAATCACAGCACTTTGGGAGGCTGAGGCGAGTGGATCACCTGAGGTCAGGAGTTCGAGACCAGCCTGGCCAATATGGCGAAACCCCATCTCTACTAAAAATTTAATTAAAAAAAACAGTGGGGACCCAGCGAGGTGGCTCACGCCTGTAATCCCAGCACTTTGGGAGGCTGAGGCAGAGAATCGCTTGCACTCAGGAGTTCGAGACCAGCCTGGGCAACATACTGAGACCCCGTCTCTACAAAAAATAAACAAAATTAGGCGGTCATGGTGGCACATTCCTGTAAACCCAGCTACTCAGGGGGCTGAGTTGGGAGGATCCCTTGAGCCTGGGAGGGAGGTGGAGGCTGCAGTGAGCATTGATCCCACCACTGCACTCCAGCCTATGCAACAGGGCGAGACCCTGTCTCAAAGAAACCAAAAACAAACTAACAAAAAAACAAGCAAAATGCAGAAACATTTACAAGACCATGTCAGCTTCATATTAACAGAAGAAACCATGTGAGATAAAATTTTTATTATTTTTAACCAAAAAGAATTGACAATCCAAAAGAAAAACATGTAGAAAGTATAAGAACTTAACACTCTCTGCTGTATGGTGAGAATTAATCAGATGCTCAATGTTTAAAATAATTTCAAAAAAAGAATACCAGTAAGACCAACATGGAGAAACCCTGTCTCTACTAAAAATACAAAAATTAGACAGGCATGGTGGAACATGCCTGTAATCCCAGCTACTCGAGAGGCTGAGGCAGGAGAATCGCTCGAATCCAAGAGGCGGAGGTTGTGGTGAGCCGAGATCGTGCCATCGCACTCCAGCCTGGGTGACCGAGCGAGATTCCGTCTCAAAAAAAAAAAAAAAAAAAAAATGCCGGTAAGAACATATTGTGATCTATGTTGCCTTGCTCTTTGCAAATATATGTAGTAAACTTACATAGTTTTGACAATACAATTTCTGTACTTATTCACTAAGCTTCAATTGTCTCAAAAAAATTCTTTTTTGTGTTTTGTTTTGTTTTGTTTGAGACAGAGTTTCACTCTTGTCGCCCAGGCTGGAATGCAATAGTGCAATCTCGGCTCACTGGAACCTCCACCTCCTGGGTTCAAGCCATTCTCCTCCCTCAGTCTCCTGAGTGGCTGATATTACGGGTGCCCAACACCACGGATGGCTAATTTTTTTTTTTTTGTATTTTTAGTAGAGATGGGGTTTTACCACATTGGCCAGGCTGGTCTCAAGCTCCTGACCTCAGGTGATCCACCCACCTCAGCCTCCCAATTACCAGCCTCCCAGTAATCCCAGTAGCTGGGATTACAGGCGTGAGCCACTGTGCCCAGGCCACAAAAATTCTTAATTTACAAATGGAAAACTTGAGGCTTTAATTGAAGGCAGCTTAATAATTCTGTTATCTCATGGAGCCATTAAGGGCAACTTTTGAAATATTAAAACAAACTTCGCTATCGATACACATGGAAATGGCTTCCAGAGAAACACATAGGAACCCTTAGCCGGGTCCTCCACAGGTGGTACCAGGTGAACACCAGGAAAAATGTCTGGTGTTTCAGCCAATTTTTTTTTTTTTTTTTTTTTTTTGAGACGGAGTCTTGCTCTGTCACCAGGCTGGAGAGCAGTGGCTCGATCTCAGCTCACCGTAACCTCCACCTCCTAGGTTCAAGCAATTCTCCTGCCTCAGCCTCCTGAGTAGCTGGGACTACAGGCACGCACCACCACACCCAGCTAATTTTTGTATTTTCAGTAGAGACGGGGTTTCACTATGTTGGCCAGGATGGTCTTGATCTCTTGACCTCATGATCCGCCCGCCTCGGCCTCCTAAAGTGCTGGGGTTACAGGCGTGAGCCACCGCGCCCGGCCTCAGCCAATATTTTTTTTTAATTTTTTGCCAGATGTGGTAATTAAGCACTAAGTTATATGATCATTCAAAAAGGAAAGCATATAATTCAGTATAATTCACATTAAATCTTTTCTGAATAAGCTTTATATGTAGAGAACATTAAATATGTTTTAAATAACCAGATATTGGAATAAAAAGCTGGAATCGTTGGACTTCAGGCCACAGGGGCAAAAGCAGCTTTGGAAATCAGACCGAGCCCCGCATCTTCACCACAGACACGTTTACATGGAGCGGAAAAGGGAGGTGGGTGGAAAAACTGGTAAAACCCAAATAAAGCCTGTAGTTTGGTCAACAGTAGTGTCCCGTGTTACCATCCTGGCTCTGACAAACGAAGCATGGTTATTTACGATGTTCCTATCAGGGGAAACATAGGAACCAAACCTAAAATTATTCACCATACAAAGGTTTTTAAAAGTTGCCCAAGGGGCTGCGCCCAGCAGCTCACACCTGTAATCCCAGCATTCTGGGAGGCCGAGAAGGGAGAAGTGCTTGAGCCTAGGAGTTCAAGACCATCTTGGGGAACATAGTGAGCCCCCATCTCAAAAAATTAATAAATGAAATAAAAGTTGCCCAAGTAAAAGAGAGTTATTTTGTTTTGGTTGTTTGGGTATTTTTGCGTGCTTCCTTCCTGCTTCTGCAGAATGTGGGATGAGAATCTGACAGTGGCATCTGAGAAGGACGGTGTCACCTGCACAGGAGGGTGGCCGGATGGAGACAGGGGAAGAACTGGTTCCTGGTGACATCACTGAGCTGCTTGCCCACCCGGGAGCCTCCCTCCTCCAGACATTCCAGGGCAAATGACACCACCGTCCATGAGGGGTTCTGTTACTGCAGCCTACAGGAGCCGGACTAATACCCTGTGCCTCCTGAGAGATCAGAGCTCAAGATTAGCAACAGTTACTATTTCTCCATAAACCACTATTACAGGTTTTCAATAGATTCTCTTGTGTTTTCCAGATGCACAATCATATTTGCAAGTAACGTCTCTCCATTCTAGTATTCAATATTTACATTATTCTTTCTCTTGTTAAATTGTTAATTTCACTAGCTAGAGCTTCTGAAAGTATATTACACAACTGTGGTTACATGGGGTGTCTTGTCCCTGACACTAGTGGAAATGCCTGATTCTGTGTTTTAAAATTATATTATGGAAATACATGTTTTAATTTTATTAAGAATAATCATTTTTCAATCAAAAGTAGGCATTTAATATTAACAAATACATTTTCAGCATCTATCGAGATAACCTAACAAGGTTTCTTCTACTGATGAACTATTAACTTATGAAAACAGGGAATTACATCCCTCAACCTTTTGGAACATGAACTTATCCTTACGTTTCTAGTATGAACACATTGGATCGAGTTTATTTGCTATTGGGTCCTAAGCCGAGATGGTTTCACTCACAAGCAACAGCAAGACAACTGCACAGCTGTTTTCACGGTGCCACCTTCTGTCGGGCCTCCGTATCCCTGCATTTTCCTTCTGTCTGATAAGCTGGCTGGTTGAAAGGGAACTGGGGCCGGATGTTCCTCAACAGTTTGGTAGAATCCACTCTGGAAACACCTACATCTGGAGCTTTTTTGGGACAGCAACTTTGACAAGTCGATCAATCTTTTTAATTTTTTTCCTAATAACTGGTCAATTTAGTGTCTCCCTCTCTTCTGGAGTCAGTTTCATCATGCATACCTTGCATACATACCAATTTTTTCAAAAGTATTTGAACATCGTTGAGCAAATTAATGTCTTAAAACTGTTTTAAGTTTGACAGGTTTCCTTGGAGAACCAAGGACGACCACACATGTGGCCAGGTGTGAGTCACACCCAGAGAACACTCCTGAGGCTACAACGCCTCCCCGAGACCGACCACAGGGCTCTCTTGTCTACGACTGCTCCAGGCTACGAAATTGAGCAAAGTGGTCTTCACTCCTGCAAGACTCCACTGAAGGTACCTCCACACACAAGCCTCCAATTCAAAGAGACTCAAAACTAGGAGGAAATGGCACACACAAACACACACACACATTCACATACACACATGCACACATACATGCATACACAGAGACCCACACACACATACTCACACGCATTCACATACACACATGCACGGAGACCCACACACAACGGCGCACACACACACACACACACACAAACTCAGGCACACATTCACATACACATGCACTCACACAAACACACCCACACATAGACCCACATACACACATACACATATACATACATATACACACATACACACATGCACACACAGTGACATACATGCACAAATGCACATGCATACAGACATACGCACACATACATATATACACACACACAGGAAGGCTTTTGTCTTGCCTGTTTTAGACATCTGGGCCAAAAGGTAATGCCTCGGCCTGGATCTGTTCCACTGTCTAAACACACAAATCCAAAGCTATCTGGGAAGGTTGTGTTGAGGTGGGCCCATAAACTCCAAATACCTTACAAACTGTGCACATCAGGGAGTGTGTTGCCACAAACTATGGGGTTAAAAGTGACTGGATGAAAGTGCTTCAGAGAAGCCTTTGGCTTATTCCTTGAGTTGTTTAGGGTCAGACTTAAAACTGGCCAGGTGTGGTGGTGCATGCCTGTAATCCCAGCACTCAGGGAGACTGAGGCAGGAGGATCCCTTGTGCCCAGAAGGTCAAGGCTGCAGTAAGCCGTGACCATGCCATGCACACCAGCCTGGACAACAGAGCTGAGACCTTGACTCGAAAACAAAACAAAACAAAATTTTTTTAAGAATTAAAATAAATCTTTAGATATGTACCATCTCACTCTATAAAATACGCAGGGACATTCCAAACTCTCTATTCAGCACAAACGTCGTAAAGCAGCGCTGTGAATGGCTTGTTGGTGTTGGTACTGCTGCTGTGGGGAGCGGGGTGGCAGAGGCTCATACCAGGTGACCCAAGCACAGCCCAGAGCCCATGGGTGGAATTCTCACGGCCAGCACAGGCCCAGGCATACGGGGGCATGCAACAGACACGTGCTGCATGAATAAGGAGCCCCAGGTGACGCCATCCCACTGACCAGAACTCCCAGACCTCATAGAAGAGCCCATCTGCCACCAGGAGCTCCAAACAAGAGCTGGGCCCAGCGGCCACTGGCAGGGCCTGGGCACCCAAAAGTCACACTGCACACTCCCGTCTGCCCTGCACTCACTGCCATTTGGCAAGGTCTGTTTATTTTTAATAGTAAATTTTCATCCAGTTAAAATACACTCTTGTTATATAAACTTCTACTCCAATAACACTGAACTGTTGGAAACGACCCTCCATTGCCAGTGCTATTTTCACGGCCACCGACTCACAGTGAGCTGAGCCCTGGGCCGGTGACTCTGAGGAGGAGGAGGGGCCGCACAGCCCAGGGAGGCAGCCAGGGGCTCTGGGAGACCCTGGCTACCATGAAAAACCATTTGTCACTCACCCATTGAGCAGGTCAGGGCCTCCAAGCCCACCAGAGACGTGCTCACAACCCTCTTCAAGAAGCGCAGTCCCTGAATCGGGGTGGAGGGAGAAGTCCAACTCCTCCATAAGATCCGTAAGAGGTCCCCTGGGACCCTCGCCTTCCCTCCCCAGGATCATGTGTCACCCCAGGGACCAATCATGGTCTCCCCACTGATGGCGGTGGCCATACCCACAACGCGCACGCCACATTTCCCCAAACAAGCCGAGACAATGACAGCAACGAGCAGGACAAAAAATCGTGAGGTGAGAAGCCCAGGGGAGCAGCAGCAGGCTCCTGAACCAGCTGCTGAAACTGTCCTAACTGAGAAGGCATCCTCACACCTATCCTTTGTGGTTAAAAGATGCCGAAATGGCTTGGTGAGTTTGCAGACCACAGCCGCGGCCGGGCCTCTCGGTTCAGGTATGAACCAGGACGACTTTGCTCCCGCTCTGCCCTGACTCAGCCGCCAGGGCTCAGGGCTCAGAGTAGAGTGGACATGAGCCACCATGGAAGTGAATACGCCTCCCTGGCAACCGGCCCCCACTACAGGCGGCAAACCACCAAAGCAGTGAGAAGGCGAGTTATAAATCCCCCGGGGCTGTCTCACCAGCAAGCGCAAGGAAAACCAACAACCAATTTGCTTGTCGGGGTGAACTTATGGTGTGCTTTCCTTTCTTTCCTTTCCTTTCCTTTCTCTCCTTTCCTTTCCTTTCTCTCTTTCCTTTAATTTTTCTGTAGGACACCCACTCGCACTTCGTTTTTCAGCAGCAGTCCTGAGAGAGGAACCCTTTTGATTTTGAAGTTATTCAGTGTAACAGGCAGTAATGATGATCTTCCCAAACACACCTGCTATTTTCTGCTGCTTTTCCTACCCTGTATACATTCTAAATTCACCTAATAAGACATAAAGCAATAGGTTTTTGTGAACTCATGAAGATGACGGCGCTGCTGTTCACTGTCCTTGATTTAATCACAGCTGGTGCTCACATTTGCAGGACCCACATCCCCACAGAAAAGGCTCCCGCAGCACCCGGCAGACGCTGTGCTATCCACACCCCAGAGCAGAGCTCGGCCCCGGAGACCCCACTTCCCTAACAGATTGGCCAAGACCCTCAGCAATGCCAATGCCACCGCCAGCCCCCAGGGACTGTGAGGGTGTGCAGGGACCTGGCACTCAGCAGGACCCTGAGGCCAACTCACAGCCGCCAAGTGTGGCTGCTCCAGGGCCCAGCTCCACAGCCTGGAATCTGAACAGAATGTCAGTCTCTCCCAGCCCCTCCCCATCTGGTCTCCTCCAGCACCTCGCAGTCCCTCTGCCTGGGCGGGGGCATGGCACCTCCTCACCTCCTGCCAGTTCTGGCCCATGAGGGCACCTCCTCCCCGCGCCCTCCCCACAACCCTCCCTGAAGCCCTCTGCAGAGCAGCCGGCATGGCCAGGGAAGAGCATACAGGGAAGGGGGCACCAGGGAGCAGACAGGACCTGAGATACCAGAGCAGGGGAAGGAGGGCACCACCGCCCCGAGCCTGCGACTTCACAGAGCTCCAAGCTCAAGGCTCTGTCCCTCTCGAGGGGCCTCTGCAGCTGCCATCCATCCCCACAGGCCTGCAGAGCCAAGGTCTGGTCCTGGGCGTGGGGTGACTTTAATTCACCCTCGAGATGAGCCGTGGAAGCATGCCGCTCCTCACAGTGCCGTGGGCTCTGAGGGAAAGAGAAGCCAGCAGGGCTTTCTCCACCTCAAGAAAACCAGCTCCAGTTCATACTGGCCACACTCGTGCCGTGTGTGCAACACGCACCATGTTTCACGTGCTGGGAGCCGCAGGCGGCAGCCACATCCAGAACGCAGTCTCTGCCTGTCATGCAGAGGTGTGACGGGTGTGCAGGGAGCCGAGGCTGCACCTCGCTGTGACCCGACGAGCTGCTGGGTGCACACTCCTCACAGGAACTCTACGCACCTCATGGGGGGAGCCACCCCCAGGCCCAGGTTCACCTACGTGTCCTCCCACCTCCTGACAACACTGCCAGGTCTGTGCCCACTTCCAGAAGGGCTGCAGACAGGCAGCAGACAGGCCAGAGGTGGCGAGCGGGCCACGCAGAAGGTGCCTCCCAGGTTCCCTGGGTGCCAGGCCTGGCCCAGCCGTATCAAGCCCTGGACACCTGTGATGTGCAGAGGTCATGCCTGGCACCAACTGGGCGAGGGCGGTGCAGCAGGAGGAGGACGCCAGGCCCCAGAAGCCGCAGGTGAGCCTCACGGTGCACAGTGCAGGTGAATGCACCCCTCTTCACAGGAGGCCGCCAAGCCTGGCTCTTCGGCCCTTCCTGGGCACCACCTGATGTTTTGTGTTTTTAAACTTCCTTTCCTACTTAAACTGCAGACATGAGTTTGCCCATCATAACTAGAACCCTGAAGCTGACAAACCCACAAGGGAGGCTTTAAAATCATCTTGCCGGGATCTCCCAGCCACATCACATGCCCCTGAGGACAGGGCCAAGCCATCTGCTCCCCTCCCCAGGACCAACCCCTATTAAGTAAGAACTGCATCTACAGATCCAACGCAACCCCCAAAATTCCACCAGGGTTGTGTGTGTGTAGATTCCAGCAGGGTGGTGTGTGTAAATTCCAGCAGGGTTGTGTGTGTGTGTGTGTGTGTGTGTGTGTGTGTGTGTGTGGAAATTGACAAACTAATCCTAAAATCAAAACAGAAATGGAAGGACACCAGAATAGTCAAAACAATCTTGAATAAAAGACAACAAAGTTGGAACTCTCACTTTCTGATTTCAAAACCTACCTCAATGCTACAATGATCAGGTCTGTGGTACTGGCATAAGGACAGACACATAGATAATGAAACAGAATCAAGAGTCCAAAAATAAATCTATATATTCATGGTCAATTAACTTCCAACAAGGATGCCAAGACAATTCAATGAGGAAGAATAGTCTTTTCAAAAATGGTACCGAGACAACCAGATATGGATATGCAAAAGAATGAAGACCCCTACCTCACACCAGATACAAAAATTAACTCAAAATATTTCAAAGACCTACATGTAAGAGCTAAAACTATAAAAATCTAAAAAGAAAAAATAAGGGTAAATTTTTGTGACCTTGATTAGGAAATGGCTTCTGGTTATGATAGCTGAAGCACAAAACTTAAAAAAAACTAGCCAGGTGTGGTGATACAAGTCTGTAGTCCCTGCTATTCCAGAGGCTGGGGTGGGAGGATCACTGGAGCCCAGGAGGTCGAGGTTGCAATGAACCACGATCACACCACTGAACTCCATGAACTCCAGCCTGGGCAACAGGGGAAGACCCTGTCTCAAAAAAAAAAAAAAAAAAAGTGCTTCAAACGACACTATCAAAAAAGCGAAGACAACACACAGAACAAGAGAAAACATTTGTAAATTACATATCTATCTAATAAGGGTCTAGCATCCAGAATATGTAAAGATCTCTTTAAACTCAACAATTAAAAAAAAAAAAAGCCTGGGCATGGTGGTTCACACCTATAATCCCAGCATTTTGGGAGGCCAAGGCAGGAGGACTGCTTGAGGCCTACAGTTTGATACCAGACTACAGCATAGCAAGACCCTGTATTTACAAACTAAAACTTTTTAAAATTAGCCAAGCATGCTGACACACACCTGTAGTCCCAGCTACGTGAGACACTGCTGCTTGGGAGGTGGGAGGATACCTTGAGCCCAAGAGGAGGCTGCAGTGAGCTATCATCGCACCACTGCCCTCCGGCCTGAGCAACAGAGCGAGAATCTGTCTCTTAAAAAAAAAAATTAAAATGTGCCATGGATTTGAATAAGCGTTGCTTCAAAGCAGATCTACAAATACCCAGTAAGCACACGAAAGACACTCAACATGATTACTCATCAGGGAAATGCAATTCAAAGCCACCAGGAGATACCACTGCACACCCACCAGGACGGTTACAGTAAAAAAGATGGACAATCACGAGTACTGTTCTGTGATGTTGGAAGTCTGCAGCCCTCAGACACTGCTCACAAGAACGAAAAATGCTGCAGCTGCTGTGGAAAGAGTCTGGCAGTTCCTTAAAAAGTCAGAATTATCACGTGACCCAGCAACTCCACAAGCAGGTCTACACCCAAGAGAGCTGAAGACACATCGTGACCCAGCAATTCCACAAGCAGGTCTACACCCGAGACAGCTGCAGACACAGGTTCACACAGCAACTCCACAAGCAGGTCTACACCCAAGAGAGCTGGAGACACATGTTCACACAGCAACTCCACAAGCAGGTCTACACCCAAGAGAGCTGAAGACACATCGTGACCCAGCAATTCCACAAGCAGGTCTACACCCGAAAGAGCTGGAGACACATGTTCACACAGCAACTCCACAAGCAGGTCTACACCCAAGAGAGCTGGAGACACATGTTCACACAGCAACCCCACAAGCAGGTCTACACCCGAGAGAGCTGGAGACACAGGTTCACACAGCAACTTGCACATGGACACTCATGTCCATCCACTGATGAACAGATACATGAAATGTGATCTCCGCACAATAAACAGCATTCAGTCATAAGGAAGAAGCACAGGTGAGCCCAGAACACACGTGCTGAGTAAGTGGAGTCCCTGGAACACACATGCTAAGTAACTGAGGTCCCTGGAACACACGTGCTGAGTAAATGGAGTCCCTGGAACACACGTGCTGAGTAACTGAGGTCCCTGGAACACACGTGCTGAGTAACTGAGGTCCCTGGAACACACGTGCTGAGTAAGTGAGGTCCCTGGAACACACGTGCTGAGCACGTGAAGTACGATGCGAAGGCCACACGCTGTTTGATTCCATTTGCATGAAACATCCAGGTCAATCCACAGAGACAGAAGTGGCTTCGTGGTTGGCGGAAGGGGGGAAAGGAGGGTGTCATCAAATGGGTACTGGGTTTCTTTCAGAGGTGATAAAAACATTCTGAAATCAGGGGCGAAGGTCACACGACCTTGTGAACACGCTAAAACACTGAACTGTAGGTTTTATGGTGCCTGAATTTTGTCCTAATTAAAAGTAATATCGACAACAATAAATGCAGCCAACACAGGCTTCCCCAAATGACAGGACTAACCCCCCACTGATGGGGCAGATTTACCACGTGTGCGCTTCACTCAGCAGGGCCGGGGAGAGGGGATGGAGCTGGCCCTAAGAGAGCTGCCACAGCTCCGAAGCCACCGACGGCCCCGAGCGGCGGGCAGCCTTCCTCCAGAGGCGAGCACACCACCACGTCTGTGTGTGATCAAGGACCATGAGGCAGTGAGTGGCCAGCCGGGCAAGCTCAGGGACCCTCAGGAAGCTGGCTGGGCAGGAGGCGGGGACAGAGAGGGCATGGGCCAGAGGACGGGGCTGGACTGTCCCGAGGAGGCCGATGGGTCTGGGAGGAAGGCTCCAGCTGGCTGGGCTCGACCAGGGTGGGCACCGTGAGCAGAGGACTTCCCTAAGGGGTGTGGAGGGAACGGCAGCTCCCAGAGCCACACACCCATGGCCCCGGAGGCTGCAGCGCACAGCTGCCTGAGGGTTCCACCTGGGAATCACCACTGCAAGGCGACTGCCGGCTTCAAAAGCCACATGGAATATCCTGGTCCCACGCTGACCCTGAGGAGTTTAGGCAAAGGATGTCAAGAAGCTGGTCAACTGCATGCGATGGCAGCGAGGCTAGGCTAGCACTGAGCCCAATGCTGCCAAGGCTACCGCCTCCCTACCTGGAGCGTCCCCCAGCTCCAGGGAGAAGGAGGAAGGGCTCCTCCAACAGCGCTCCTCATCGGCAGCTGCAGCTGGCCTCTCTCCACACCTGGAGCTCTTCCAGCCACAGGAGACTGGACATGAGGGACAAGTGGACCCCATGCATATGGACCACCCGCCCCCAGAGGGAGCCTGATGGAGACTCCGGTCTCTACTGCACAGGAGCCGACGTGGACGTGGCTTCAGGAGGCAGAAATACCAACACACCATGCAGCTGTCAGGGCCTGAGGAGGGGGACTGGATGTCAGGCGAGGATCATGTGGGATTAACCATGATTAGCCCCGGAGCGAGTGGCCTCTCAGGAGAGCGTGGGCCGGGGGGGAGAGCCCCAGAGCGTGCTCAGCGCGTGGGCCGGGGACACCCGGAGCAGCTTGGGGAAGTCGCGGCTCTGCGTGGCCCTTGGCACACCCCATCACATGCGCAGCTGGCGGGAAGGCTATCAGGACACAGAGCGCCCCTTCCCTGCTGACACCTCCAGGTACTCTGACCTGCCCTGCGGAGCCTCCACCTGGACAGCCAGGTGGCTTTTACTACCAGTTAAGAAGACACGGTGGCCATGTTTAGGTTCTACAGCAATTTAATTTTTCATGGGTGAGAATCTTCTCACTTTCAACAGTGAAAATGACCACAGTCCAGCCCCCAGGTCCACTGGGAAGACAGGGACTAGAATTCTCGCAGCAGGAGGCGGGCACGCGGGACAGACTGAGGGAGCACAGGGCCTCACCTGGCTCTGTCCAGCCTGGCGTCACTCCCGCCATAAGCCGTGGCTGCCACACTCTGAACAGAGACCCAGGGTAAGATGCACACTTTAGGCTATGGCCCTCCCCGCCCAGGCCCAGAGGCATTCAACAGAAAACTATGGTAAGTACCTCCAGGACTCACCTCCCTGCAGCCCGAGACACTCGGGCCCCTTTTAACCCAAATATGGTCTGACCCCTCAAAATGACCTCACAACCTGTGGTTACACCCTAAGTCTGACAGACATCAATTCCATAGGCACCAGGTTCAAACCAGCACTCAATGACCCTCTGCACTTGCTGGCATCAACATCAACTCAGAAAAGAGGCAAGAAGAAAAAATTGACTCGGCCCTACACAAAAATGAGCAGCTGAACCAGCAGCTGAGAGCGGCCATTTTCTTCTGATTTCTACGCAGGTCTCTTGTTGGCATTAAGCAGTTGGGGAAACCCCCCTCGTGACTCTGCATGGGGGCTCCTCTGCAGCACGGTGACACTGCGCAGGTGTGGCACAGGCCAGGTGCCCGCGTGCTGCAGGAGGGCACTGCTGCAGGAGCCCACATCTGCCCGGCACTGAGCACTGTGACCCGTGGCCTAACCGGAACAAATCCCAGGCTCCATGGGAGTCACAGTGGCCCCGGGCGAGGGTGCCTCAGCCTGGACTCCATCCCTCATGTGAGACAGTCGGTCACAGCGGCAACAGACACCAAAGGATACCCCTCTGCAAGGGAAAACCTTCTCCCCAGAAAGCCGGGCCCGTCGGCCTTTAGGCGGAACTGACCAAATCTCCACTCAGACCTACCAAACCGGTGTCACAGCATACAAAAGAAACACACACACAAAGGCCACAACATGTGCGTACAATGAGACTCAGGAAGAAAACTTTCAGCCAAGAGTGCCACAGAAAGTGACCTCTCTACACCCATCAGTAAACACCGTCCTGAGAAGTCACAAGCCTAAGTCACTCAGCATCAGGGAGCACAATGACAGAAGTGTCTATTCCACAAACCCTACAGTCACTGCCTCATCAAATAACTTATCAGCAACCTAAATACAAGATCTGCAAGGGCTCCAAAGTTCTAAAATCAAAATCATAGAAAACCAAAAAAAAAAATCCCCAAAATGATAATACAAGTAACCAAGGCAATGCAAATTAAATTATAACAGATGCCATTTTACACATCTAATAGGTCACATTTTAAAGCCTGACCACAACAAAAGTTGTCAAGGATGTGGAATATCAGGGACTCTCCGACGGCCTGGTGGGAGTGTGTGATGAGCATGTGTGTGATGCACATGTGTGTGCCTATGTGGTATGCATGTATGTATATGTATGTTGTGCATGTGTATGGTGTGTACATATGCACCTGTGTAGTGCATGCTTGTACATGCATGTGTGTGCCTGTGGTGTGCAAGTGTGTGATGTGCATGTGTGTACAGAAACTTGGCACACTGGAGAGCAGCTTCCACCAGCCCCAACAGGTGCCCAGATATTCTGGCCCTGGTCCCCGTGGAGGTGCACGGAGAGGGCTCGCCGCATCAGCCCATGTGACAGCCGAACAGGAAACAGCCTCAGTGTCCACTGTGGGTCTGTGGATGCATTCTGGTGTGTTCACTCGGTGGAGCAAATTTCACAGCAGTTAAAATGCTGCATGACCTCACAATGCCTGCAGGACAAAGCCACAGGAGGACACAGGTGGCATAGTGACAGCCCCCGGAGCGTGCCATCAAGGAGGACCTATACATCTGGCAACTTCAGCACGGGGGCTGGGCCAGGCATCTGCACAAGGAAGGGAGCCCACAGGCTGGGACAGATGCCTGGGTGAAGGCGGCTCCTCCACTTCAGGGGCCGGGCAGCCCCCCGAGACACCAGGGCACGGCAGACCCCAACTCAGGTTCCACCCAAGTCTGGAACTGAATTTTCTCCATCAAAAGCACCAAGCGCTGAGCCAAGGTGAATTCCAGCAGGTGAGAGGCTGTTCATCCTCTTACGAAAAGGGGAAACGCGTGTTTTTCATCTGTGACGCAGATTCCTAATGCAGCAGCTGCCATAAAACGCTGAAGTCACCCCCTGGTCTGTCTGTGCAGACCACACGTGCTGAGGGCAACAAAACACCCTGCAGAGTGTGACAAGGTGTGTCAGTGTTGTGCCTGTCTGGGTCACTCTGCACGAAAACTAAACTAAAATTGTCAAGGTTATCAAAGTTCATAGACCATTTTTCTCCAAGACGCTAGGATACACTTGAACTCTCTCCCTGATAGGATAGAAGCCCCAAGTGTGTGCATTTGAGTTTGTGACCCACGGCTCTCAGGAGGCGAGTCAGGACGGCCCCACTGTCCAGAGGCTCCTGGTCACCCCGTGCACTTTGTGAGCACACACCAACGGCGCCAGGTCCCCTGAGTCACTTCAAGCTCCTCATCCTCCCAGCGTGGCCACGCCCCAGCCCAAGCCCCCCTTCTTCCCCTTCCGGCCAGGCAACTTATCAGAAGTTCAAAAAAACAGATAGGCCCCAGCAGCTCCACTGGGCCAGCGCCTGTAAAATGGGGTGAACGTACTCAGGGGACAACAGCCTCTCCTACGACATCTTCTCACTGGTCTCACAGAGGGATCAGGAGCGCCCTTCCCCAGCACGGTGAAGGAACAGGGGCCTGAGCACCATCACATATCACCACCCAGCCTGCAGCACCTGGTCCTGCCGCTTGCCATCCACACCCCCCCACCCCACCATGCCATCTATGCCACCCACTAACCACGCCAGCCACACCACCTATGTCACCCACAGCAGCCATGCCACCCACACTGCCCATGCTACCCACATCAATGCCAACCACGCCACCCATACCAATCATGCCACACACAATACCATGCCACCCATACTACCCACAGGGACCAACCACGCTACCCACATCAGTGCCAATCATGCCACCCACATGGACCATGCTACCCATGCCACCCACACCAACCATGCCACCCACACCATGCCACCCATACCACCCATGCTACCCACATCAATGCCAACCACACCACCCACATTGATCACACCACCCACACCGATCATGCCACACACAATACCACGCCACCCATACTACCCACAGGGACCAACCACGCTACCCACATCAGTGCCAACGACGCCACCCACACCAATCATGCCACACACAATACCACGCCACCCACATTGATCACACCAACCACAGCAATCATGCCACACACAATACCACGCCACCTATACTACCCACATGGACCAACCACGCTACCCACATCAGTGCTAATCATGCCACCCACATGGACCATGCTACCCATGCCACCCACACCAACCACGCCAACCACAACCCACAACACCCATGCCACCCACATCAACCGCACCAACCACGCAGCTTCCCAGGCAGGCTCAGCACCTATTTCCCGCCTCTCAGTAGCCTGAACAGCTGCCCCTTCCTTATTCTCCAGTTGGCTCTGATCCTCTGAAGCCCTCAGAACCCAGCCCCGCCACTTGCCCAGGAGACCCTCTGCGGTGTCCACCTGCACTGTGGACTCTGCGTGCCCTAAGCCACCCTCCAGCCACTGGACAAATCCCTCATCTCCTGCTGGAGCTCAGAAGCCAGGGAAGCCGGTGACCACAGCCGTGGAGCCAGGCAGCACAGTACACTACCCCTTTGCCCTGTGAGCACAACAGGCTAGTGAGGCCCTGAAAGTGACAACAGATATTCCAAATACTTCCTATCTGAATAAATATTTAACCAAGGCTCTGAGGAGGCGCCCTCGAATCCTCCCTCCCTATCCCACTCAATATTCCACCAAGGCTCTGAGAAGGTGTTCACCAGTCCTCCCTCCCTGTCCTACTCAATATGCCACCAAGGCTCTGAGAAGGCGTTCACCAATCCTCTCTCCCTATCCCACTCAATATTCCACCAAGGCTCTGAGAAGGTGTTCACCAATCCTCCCTCCCTATCCTACCCAATATTCCACCAAGGCTCTGAGAAGGCGTTCACCAATCCTCCCTCCCTATCCTACCCAATATGCCACCAAGGCTCTGAGAAGGCATTCACCAATCCTCCCTCCCTATCCTACCCAATATTCCACCAAGGCTCTGAGAAGGCGTTCACCAATCCTCCCTCCCTATCCTACTCAATATTCCACACCAAGGCTCTGAGAAGGCGTTCACCAATCCTCCCTCCCTATCCCACTCAATATTCCACACCAAGGCTCTGAGAAGGCATTCACCAATCCTCCCTCCCTATCCTACTCAATATTCCACACCAAGGCTCTGAGAAGGCATTCACCAATCCTCCCTCCCTATCCCACTCAATATTCCACATCAAGGCTCTGAGAAGGCGTTCACCAATCCTCCCTCCCTATCCCACTCAATATTCCACACCAAGGCTCTGAGAAGGTGTTCACCAGTCCTCCCTCCCTATCCTACTCAATATTCCACCAAGGCTCTGAGAAGGCGTTCACCAGTCCTCCCTCCCTATCCTACTCAATATTCCACCAAGGCTCTGAGAAGGCGTTCACCAGTCCTCCCTCCCTATCCCACTCAATATGCCACCAAGGCTCTGAGAAGGCGTTCACCAATCCTCCCTCCCTATCCTACCCAATATTCCACCAAGGCTCTGAGAAGGCGTTCACCAATCCTCCCTCCCTATCCTACCCAATATTCCACCAAGGCTCTGAGAAGGCGTTCACCAATCCTCCCTCCCTATCCTACCCAATATGCCACCAAGGCTCTGAGAAGGCGTTCACCAATCCTCCCTCCCTATCCTACCCAATATTCCACCAAGGCTCTGAGAAGGCGTTCACCAGTCCTCCCTCCCTGTCCTACTCAATATTCCACCAAGGCTCTGAGAAGGCGTTCACCAATCCTCCCTCCCTATCCTACCCAATATTCCACACCAAGGCTCTGAGAAGGCGTTCACCAATCCTCCCTCCCTATCCTACCCAATATTCCACCAAGGCTCTGAGAAGGCGTTCACCAATCCTCCCTCCCTATCCTACCCAATATGCCACCAAGGCTCTGAGAAGGCGTTCACCAGTCCTCCCTCCCTGTCCTACTCAATATGCCACCAAGGCTCTGAGAAGGCGTTCACCAGTCCTCCCTCCCTATCCTACCCAATATTCCCCCAAGGCTCTGAGAAGGCGTTCACCAATCCTCCCTCCCTATCCTACCCAATATGCCACCAAGGCTCTGAGAAGGCGTTCACCAATCCTCCCTCCCTATCCTACTCAATATTCCACCAAGGCTCTGAGAAGGTGTTCACCAATCCTCCCTTCCTATCCCACTCAATATGCCACCAAGGCTCTGAGAAGGCATTCACCAATCCTCCCTCCCTATCCTACTCAATATTCCACCAAGGCTCTGAGAAGGCGTTCACCAATCCTCCCTCCCTATCCCACTCAATATGCCACCAAGGCTCTGAGAAGGCATTCACCAATCCTCCCTCCCTATCCTACTCAATATGCCACCAAGGCTCTGAGAAGGCGTTCACCAATCCTCCCTCCCTATCCCACTCAATATGCCACCAAGGCTCTGAGGAGGTGTTCACCAGTCCTCCCTCCCTATCCCACTCAATATGCCACCAAGGCTCTGAGAAGGCGTTCACCAATCCTCCCTCCCTATCCCACTCAATATGCCACCAAGGCTCTGAGAAGGCATTCACCAATCCTCCCTCCCTATCCCACTCAATATGCCACCAAGGCTCTGAGAAGGCATTCACCAATCCTCCCTCCCTATCCCACTCAATATGCCACCAAGGCTCTGAGAAGGCGCCACCAATCCTCCCTCCCTATCCCACTCCAACTTCACCAAGGCTCTGAGAATGCGCCCATAAATGCTCCCGAGTGAATGGGAGACAAGGATGCAGGAGGACACAGCCTCACACAGAAGCTCTCCTGGTCCTTGGGCCTCCTGCTCCACCAACAGACTCAGCACAGCAGAATCAGAGGACACCTGGACCCCTGTGTGGGGGGTACTGCCAGGTTGGGCCGCAAGGCAGGCAGAGCTCCAAACCCCAGGGACTCCCCGAGCAGAACCCAGTTTAATCGTGCAGCCGACTATTCAGAGAAGACCCCGGCTGGCTCTTCTGACAGTCTTGGTCAGTCCTGCCTCTGTCCCCCTGGGTCCTGCCTCTGTTCCCTAGCTGGTCAGGCCCATTCCCACCCCACGTCCCTCCAGCCTGGGCCCAGGCCTCCACCTTCCACCTGTGTACGACGCACACACTGCCCACTGCAGCAGCGAGGGAGGCACAGCCGTTACAGCAAACAGGAAGTTGCAACAGCTCTGAAAAACCGTAACGGTGATGGAGAAAATTAAAGCAAGTCATATGTCCCCACAAGTCTGTGTGCTACTTGGACAGATGTCTTTCTCAAGAGAACCAGCTCCTCTGAGAGTCCCACCCAAATCCCCCCACATGACCCACAGTGGCTGGTCCACTTTGCACCCAGGCGTATGGCAAACACTTGCTGACCCAGAAGCCCGGTGTCCCCCGACCACCTGGAGGGACGCTGCAGGCAGATGACGGTGGGCTGGCCTGTCCCCTAACTAAGGCACTCTTTGCAAGAAACAAAGCAGCAGGCAGTCAACCCAGTTCTCAGCTTCACACTCGCAGGCTCATCCATGTGGTCAGAGTGCCAGGGACCACAGGAAGGGGCTCCCCACTCAGCTCTGCAGTCTAACATTCACAGTGCCAGCAGGTGGCAACTGACAGCCGCTCAGAAGCCTGAAAGGTAGGCAAGGGAGGGTGCTCAGGGATAAGGCTCCACAGCTGCCCACCAGGCTCGCACTCTGGGCCTCATCCCCATCATCTGCTCAGTGGGCTCAGGCAGGAACCTGGACCAAGCAGCGTGTGGCTACTGAAGCCACTGGCCCAAATGGACCACAGTGCAGCCCCTTTCAGGTGGACCCCTTTCCAGGTGGCCTGCAGAGTCCCCACCACATGGCCCACTGTCACCCAAGGATGGCCAGGTCCACCCTAGAGAGCCACGCACCCAATGACCACCCTGAAGGCCAAACGCCATAGGGGCCAGTTGGTGGCCAAAGAGACAACAGCTATGTCTGGCAGAACCGCCCCTGCAGTGCCAAGGATCTAAGACAACAGGAGGCGAGGTCAGCGACCATGGCCCCTCACACTCTGGCGGCTGCCACCTCCACCGTCTTCCATGAGGTCAGGCGGGACCAAACTAGTGTTTCCACTTGTTTTAATAGTGAAATAGCCAGACACCCCCACTCCCAGCTGTCCTACAGTGGACGTCCTGTGGCCAGCGAGCCCAGCCAGAATGCCGGCTTGGCCACTTGCATTCAGAAGGTTCGTACCATGCGGCTCACAGCCAGGCCCTCTCAGCACGTCAAGGGACACAGCTGCCGGTTCACGGAAAAGCTCAGCCCAAGGGTGTCGCTTCCCTCCTCTCACGGGCGCTGCTCCAGGTGTGGTGAGGTGCACCTTGGAGTGACAGCAGTGTCACAGGTGGCACTAGCTATGCAGAACCTCAGAGTTGCTGCTGAGACCTGCACCTGGACTCCCAAAAACCACTGACACCCAGGAGAGAGCGGTCGCTGGAGAGGACAGGGACTACTGGCCAGAGGCCTGAGACAGCCCCCCGAGCAGCCTCATTACATCCCTGAGAGGCTGGGTGAAGTGAATTAACCTGCGGGACCACTCTGACCCTAAACAGTGGCAATGTGGTCTCCTAAGCTCTCTCTGCTCTCCCCGATAAATACTAATAACTCAAGACTGACCCCATCTTCTACTGCCTGGTTAGTAACTCGAGCCTGACCCCATCCCCTAATGCCCGGTTAGTAACTCGAGGCTGACCCCATCCCCTAATGCCCGGTTAGTAACTCGAGGCTGACCCCATCCCCTAATGCCCGGTTAGTAACTCGAGGCTGACCCCATCCCCTAATGCCCGGTTAGTAACTCGAGGCTGACCCCATCCCCTAATGCCCGGTTAGTAACTCGAGGCTGACCCCATCCCCTAATGCCCGGTTAGTAACTCGAGGCTGACCCCATCCCCTAATGCCTGGTTAATAATTTGAGGCTGACTCCGTACTCTAAGGCACAGTGACTCAGACGTCACACCAATCCTGTAACAGAGACACACCAACCCCACCATTCAGACCAGGGGCAGAGAGTGGGGGCTGCAGGAACCCAGGCTGGGCTGGGTGGCCCCGACCTGTGTCACAGAGCCTCACGGAAGCCCCGGCTCCCGCCCTGCAGCTGCAGAGCTCCAGGACACGCACCTGTCTGCTCCTGCTTCACCTGCACTCCCCATGCTCATCACACCTGCCACCTGCCAGGCAAGCGGGAGCCTCGTAGCAGAGGCCTCGCATCCCACAGGCCCTCCTGGAGGGGTGGGCAGAGGGCAGCCCGCCAACACCGTCTGTCATCCAGCTGTCAAAGCCATTACCAACACGGCAAGATAACCATCCTTGTGGGGAATTATTATTTGGAAGTAGGACCAGAAATGCAAGTTAAACCGCAAGATGCCACCACACAGCCATAATTAAAAAGACAAATGCCACCAAGTGCTGGCATGATGCAGAAGAGCTAGAGTCCTTCCACACCACTCGACGGGGCACGAATGGGGCAGCAACTATGGGAAGAATTGAGCAGCTCCCGGAAAGACAGCCACAGAGTGACCACTCGGCCAGCCCTAGAGCAGTGACACCCTCGTCCACACAGGCACGTGCATATTCACAAACAGTACACTAGCCACGATAGCCCCGACGTCCATCTGTGGGCGACTGGAGAAACGAGGTATGCCTCCACTCAGGGGACACTGCTCAGCCATGAAACAGGGAAGACAAGCCCAGGCGCAGTGGCTCACACCTGTCATCCCAGCACCTTGGGAGGCCAAGGTGGGAGGATCACTTGAGGCCAGGAATTCGAGACCAGCCTGGGCAACATAGCGAGACCCCATACCTACAAAAAATTGTAAAAGCCTGGCATGGTGGCCGCGCCTGTGGCCCCAGCTACTCAGGAGGCTGAAGCAGGAAGAATGCTTGAGTCCAGGAGTTTGAGGCTTCGGTGAGTGGTGACTGCGCCACCGCACTCCAGCCTAGGTGGAAGTGAGACCCTATCTCAAAAAAAAAAAAAAAAAAAAAAAAGCCAGATAAACTGCTGATATGCAAAGCATATCAATACAAACCTTGAAACGCTGCGTTATGCTAAGTCAAAGAAACCAGACGCATGAAAACAACACAGCCTGTGGTTCACGATACAGTGCCCTCGGCGCAGGCGAAACTGGCGGGACAGAAAGCAGTTGTGGCCCAGGGCCGGGAGCAGGGACTGAGGAGGGAAGTGTCTCAAAACTGGGGTGCGGTGATGGTTACACACCATAAATATTTTCTCAAAGTCAGTGAACCATACACTCACATTGGGTGAACTGCATGCTATTCAAATCCCGGGTAAATAACACTGTTAAACGCGCAAACACAAAAGCCAACCAGATCTCGGAACACCCCCAGGCCGGGTGCGAGGCAGAAGCAGAGTCGACTCCCGGGCCACCGGCAACGGGCAGCAGAGGCCTGGCCTGGCCTTTGGTGACTTCAACACCCCTTCCCCTGGCCCCACTGACCTCCTGAGCATGGCATATGTGGCCGCAAACACCACCACGGTCCGGGGACTACCGGATCCACAGCTCCTCCAACTCCCTTCCAGCTGCATTGGCCCCACCCCACCCCTCCACCCATTTGAGCAGAACCCGAATAAAGACACCATGGCCGGGCACGATGGCTCACACCTATAATGCGGGCAGATCACAAGGTCAGGAGTTCAAGACCAGCCTGGCCAATACGGTGAAACCCTGTCTCTACTAAAAATACAAAAAAAATTTAGCCGGGTGTGGTGGTGCACGCCTGTAATCCCAGCTACTAAGGGGGCTGAGGCAGGAGAACTGCTTGAACCTGGGAGGCGGAGGTCGCAGTGAGGTGAGATCACGCCATTGTACTCCAGCCTGGGTGATGGAGTGTCCATCTTAAAAAAAAAAAAATTAAAAAAGACACCATGGTCCCCACCCCAGACGCTGCTGCCAAAGGCCAGCACACCTGAGTGTGACGCCACAGTCACGGTAAAGCACAGTATGACAGGAAGGGAGCTTGGGACTCACTTGGTGAGTCACCAAGAGCGCGTCACAGGGCTGGGGGCACGCGGGCTGTCCCGTGAAGGAGGAAAACCCTGCTTGCCTAGGCGAGGCGTCCCGGAGGAACCCTTTGAAAAAAGAGCCCCTCAAGCTGAGGCATGAAGGCCTGAAAAACCAAGTCCTGTTCAGGCCACGGGCGCTTGGGTAGAGAAGGAGGAGATGGGAGGTCAGCCCAGGGCGACGGCGAGGGTGCAGGTGCCCGGCCTCCCGGGAACCCCAGATGCCAGGCAGGTGGGCAGAGGCGGGCACTCCCTCCCGGTTATATTCACCACGGCAGCTGGGCCCGGGCTCACAGAACCTCACACCACCTAGGCAGCCGAGTGCACTGCTCAGCCTGGGCCACGCGCCCCGGACAGAAGCAAAGGCCAGGCTGTTACCGAGAGGCCGCCGAGAACACCTGACGCCAGGAAGAGGATGGAGAGAGCCCCTCCAGGGACCCCTGATGGCAGTAACGCCTCACTCAGCCCAAAGGCTGACAGTCCAGAAACCATGTGACAGCCACGCCCTCCCTGACCACCCTGAGCCACCATGCAAGGTGGGATTCCTACTCCCTGGGCACAGACAGGCTGACAGGTGAAACACAGCCCAAGGCCGCACATGCGAGGAGAGGTGGGGCCTGCCCCGCATCCACGTGAACCTGGACTGTGGCCTGGCACCTGGCACTGAAGGCGGGATTTCCTCTCCACAGGGACTTGGGCCAAAGCCAAGTCTCGGGTTCTTCAATCTCCTCTGGTTCCTGGAATGAGGACCAGTCATGCGGGACCCCGAGAGGGGAGGACGCAGAAAGGAAGGCTGTCTGCGGCAGATGACACAGCCTGCTAACCAGGGCCAGGCCTGGGCTCTGCTGAGCAGGAAACAGAGTCTGCCCCTGCCAGAGTGCAGTCCTGGTGCCTACAGGACCAAAAGCAGGGCCAGGCAAGACCAGCCAGGCAGGCCCAGGCAGAAACGAGAGGGAAGGGCCAGGGAGAACAGTGGCTGGGCGGTCAGGTGGGGACAAGGGGACAGGCCAGAGCCCAGGGGGCCCGGGGTATGCAGTGCACCCAGGAAGAGGGGCAGTTCAGTGCAGGCTACACAGATCTGCAGGAGCCAGGAGACCCCACACAGAGACGCCCAGGACAATCCAGAGTGGGAAGGAGGCGGGGAAGGGGCCGGGGAAAGCTGCCCCAGCAGCCGAGGCAGCCCTACTAAGCCCTTACACCTTCCAAGAGAGAAGGGGGAGCACGGCCCCCCGACACAGCAACCAGCTGGTCCCCAGCAACCCCTGAAGAGGAGTCTCACACTCCTGTCGGAGAGAAGGATCAAGAAGACAACCGGCTCAAGGTCACCGAGACCCACCAGGGGCTCAGGGTTCAAGTAACAGGCTGATCCGGAGGCCATGCTCCTGGAGGTGGGGCTGTTCTCACTCACAACGGGGAAAAACCAGAAGCGGCATCTTCTGAACCTGGAGCGGCAGCAGAGGGCCTTTTCCCAACACTCAGGGCACGCCGCTGGGAAACCACTTCTGCGCCAACGCCAAGACCCCCGCGGGCTGGGAGCGCCATCACCCTAGACCTGCCCCAGAAGTGGTGTCCAGCCCCAACCCACCCAGGACGACTGGTGGCTTCCACATCCTCGGAAGCGTCCTCGGTCACATGAGCACATGGCGTGACACGGCCAAGGGCTGCAGGCTCCAGGACGTCCCCAGACGCCTCGGCCACTCATCCCAACACAACGGTGCTGCCGGCCCCCGTACACAAGCAGGACCTGGTGGACGCTCCTCCAGAGCCACTTCCACGTCTCCAAACACACCATGAACATTAGAGCCTAAAGAGTGGACACAGTGCAGGTGCCATCCACACTCTCATCACCTCAGGCCGAGCGGAGGCAGCAACCACGATTGAGGCAGTCGGCCTTCCTGAAAGCCGGCCTGGAGCCAGCGCTCAGAGCTCCACAAAGCAGGGGGAGCTTGGAAAACGCCAGATCTGAGCCCATGGCAGCACCAACCAGACCTGGTGGGGTGCGACTTGGGGCTCCAGAGCCTCTGAGCTCAGTTCCTGGTTCCCACCGGGCTCTGAGATTCCCAAGTATCCCAATTAATGAAACCGAGCAAAGGAAGGGGGAACTTGACAGCACTTTCAGGTCCGCATGGGAACAGCCTGCCTGTTCCGCACCCTCTTCCCCTAAGGCCCCCACAGGTATTTCACTGGAGTGCACTCACATCAGAAGGACCCGCCCAGGAGACAGCGGGAACACCCCGGCAGGGGCAGTGGGGCACAGAGTGGCATGTGGAGAGATGCCCACCCTCCTCCGCCTGGACCCCATTCCCGGATGGAGGCCACCTTCCTGGAGGCTGTCCCTCCGTGAGCCCCACAGCTCAGAGAGACCTGCCGTCTCCTGCCGTAGGCAGCCCCCTCAGCCGCCCCGATCTGGTCAAAGTCTTCCGAATGCCCCTCTAGCCCCTGGACAGAGGGGCTCTAAATTTGATGCTTCACGGTGGGGCAGGCCTGGGTCTGGATTTCTGTAACTTCTGAATCAGACCCAACAAGTCCACGGAAACACCCCAGTACCAGCCTCTTCCCCCAAAATCAGACCCCCACCGAGCACAGCCATCCCAGAGCCGTGCGGGGCCCTCTGCCCTGCTCCACCTGCCCCACAACTCCACACGGACAGACACTCCTCAGTGGTGCTGGTCAGAGTGGGGCTTCTCGGAGCAGCGCAGGCAACAGGGACGGACGTGACCACGCCTACGTGCAGACATTCTCCCAACACTGCCCGACAGGTCGATCTGGGTGCTTACTTCAAAACATGAGGAATCGTTAATATTTCAAACCAAAGAAGTCCCACCACCCCCACCCCTAACCCGGGTGATCTAAACTCTCTCCTCAGCAACTCTAGAGACTGATAAAAAAACAGGAAGTAAACGGGGGATGAAAGTTTGTGAGCAGAGAGAACACCGCCGGCCGTTCTCAAAGGCTGAATCAGTAACAATCCAAAGAGCACAGCCTGCTGCGTCCCAAATGCCAGGGCCGGAGGGAGAGGGGCATGCAGAGCTGGCAAACGGAGAACTGCCAGGCTTATTCCAAAAGTCTAAAAATCAAGGACCGACCCGAAATGATGCTGTCTAAGGTAAGGAGGTGTTCAAGATTTAGACGTGGTTTCCTGAGGTGGCAGAAGCAGCTCCCGTACCCTGCAGCCAGGGCCGGGACCACAGTCATATTTAACCCTCCCTGCCCGGCAGACAGACGATCCTGCCGCTTATGAGCCCTGGCAAACAGGTCATAATTCTCCCAGGGAAAGTGCACCGAGATCTTGGGTCAGAGACAGCAACCCAAAAAAAAAGACTGCTGAGACACCTCCAGCCACGCCCATTGCCGCACCGGGGCAGGGAGGGCACCTGCAGACCACAGGCCGCCCCCATCCTCTGTGCCCGGCACACAGGTAGGAAGACAGCTGCCTCCGAAATGAGGACGCCCCAACCTCCTTGAGAGCTGGCACTCTGCTCTGGCCGGAGCGGCAGAGCAGGGCCCCACCTACTGCAGGCTAGCATCCTGGTTGTGCGCTTCTCGCTGGGAGTGGGCACCCACACAGAGATGGCACTTATGGCTGTGCGTCTAGATGAGGTCCCAGGAAGGGAGAAGGGTGGCCAGCCTGAGCCCAGGGGCGCCAACACTGAGAGGTGCAGAAACCAGAACCCTGGGAGGGATGTGACATGGGGCAGCCACCATGGACTGCCTGACAGGCCCTCAAGGGTTAAATACGAACTCACCACGTCACCCAGCAATGCCAAGACTATGCACACCCAACAGCACTGAGAACGCATGTCCGCCTAGGGACGCCTGCAAAGATGCACACAGCAGCACTGTTCACCAGAACCGGAAGGCGGGAACAGCCCAAACATCCACTGTTCACCCGAACTTAAAGGTGGGAATAGGCCAAACATCCACTGTTCACCAGAACCGGAAGGAGGGAACAGGCCAAACATCCACCAGCTGATGAACACAGAAACAAAACTTGGTGTATCCACACAATGGAATATTATTCAGCCATAAACAGGAATAAAGAGACTTGGCACTGTGGCTCATGCCTGTAAGCCCAGCACTTTGGGAGGCCAAGGCCAGGGGATCACTTGAAGCCAGGACTTTGAGACTAGCCTAGGCAGCATAGTGAGACCTCATCTTCTCAAAAAGTAAAAAGAATTAGCTGGGCATAGTGGTGCATGCCTGTAGTCCCCGTTATTCAGGAGGCTAAGGCAGGAGGATCACTTGAAGCCAGGAGGTCAAGGCTACAGTGAGCTGCGATCACACCATTGCATTCCAGTCTGGGTGAACAGCAAGACCCCGTCTCTGTAATTTAAAAGAAAAAAGAAAGAAAGGAAGAAATGCAGGACTGACGCACGCTGCAGCATGGACACTTTTACATACGCTCAGTGAAAGCAGTCAGGTCAAAGGGCAGACCGTCTGATCCCATGTATGTGAAACGCCCGGGACAGGCAAATCCACAGAGAGGAAAACTGACTGCAGGGGGTGGGGAGGCTGGGGGACGTGGGGCTTGGGTGCTAATGCAGCTTCTTTTTGAGGTGATAAAAATGTTCTACAATTGCCTGTGGTGACAGCTGCACACCCTGTGAACATACTGAAAACCAGTGAATTGTACACCTCATATGGGAGAAAGGGCTGGGTGTGAGGGCCCACACCTGTGATTCCAACACTCCGGGAGACAGAGATGAGAGCACTGCTTGAGCCCAGGAGTTTGAGCCCAGTCTGGGCAACACAGCAAGACCCCATCTCTACAAAAAATAAAAATAAAAAAATCAGCTGGGTGTGGTAGCGTGCACCTGTGGTCCCAGCTACTTAGAAGGCTGAGGCAGGAGGATGGCTTCAGCTCACTTCAGCCCAGGAGTTCAAGGCTACAGTGAGCCACCGCACTCCAGCCTGGGTGACAGAATGAGACCCTGTGTGAAAACAAAAAAGAAAAGGAAAAAGAAATGGGTGAGGGGCATGGTGTGCGAATTCTGTCCCAGCACAGCCATTACCAAGTGAAACGTCCCTGAAGAAGAAGGAGGATCCACAGAGGGAGCAAAAATTCTGGCTAGTCACTGCCAGCTGGGTACAACCCGCACCCAGCCCTGGGCCCTGCTGTGCAGGAGTGCTGGGGCAGAGGCCTGGAGAAGGACATGGAGGGGAGACCCCCCCACCCCACTCGAGGGCTGCCACGGTAGAGAGTCAGGATGCCCCGCAGTGGCTGGAGGAAACATGGAGTTCAGAGTTTTCAAGGTGGGAGAGAGGGCAGTACCTTTGGTGTTGCCAGGAACCACATGGCAAAGAAGGCAATGCTGATGCTACCAGAGAGAGACGCCAGCCTGCACCACTGACCATCACCGACTCCATACCCACAGCAGCTCCGCCACCTCCACGCTCTTCCAGGGCTCTTCAACACCTGCTGACTGCAAGGTGCTCAGGTCCCTGCCAGCGAGCACTTGCCGAGCCCACTCTCACAGCCGTTCTGCAAACCCGGGTCTGGGCAGAGGGACAGGGCTGCCCGGGAGCTGACTAAGCAAAAAGGCAAACTGGCTCAGAACTGACTTAGCTGCGAACAAGCAGCAGGAAGGGCCACCAGGCAGATACCCGCCAGCGGGCTGTGTTCTCAGGACCAAACAGCAGCCTGACCATGCAAGGGTGGGACGCCACAGCTGGCAAGAATTCACCTCCTCAATTCCCTTCTCATAAAAATGGAAGGAACCAAAAGCCAGAAACCTCACTTGTCAAAAAACCAGCCACATCAAAGCAAAACAATTAAATATGGACCCCTGGTCACCTCTTTCCAAGCAAACCAGTAGTGACAGCAGGAGTCCAATCCAGGAATTAAAGACCAGCTGCAGGGCTCACCGAGGGTGATCTGGCAGTCTGCATAAGCCTGGGAAAGTCCCAGGCACCCCAGCCACCTGGCCAGAGACAGGGGTGCCCATGACAGTATGGGGAGGGAGGACTGGGCTGAGGAGGCCTTTTCACAGGTTGACTAGGTCAACACTATTTCCATAATACTACAAAATGACTCCTCTTTCCATTCTCACTGTCTCCTAGGGAAGAACGGCCAACACCTGAGGGGGTGCCTGTGATGTGGGATGATGTAATCGCTCTGCCAGCTAGTGCAGTGAGCTATGTATTCTCATGCAGTCTCAGCTCCCAATATGAGAAATATTGGTAGTTATAACCAACATAAACAAGAACTCTTTCGGGTCCTCCATAATTTCTAGGAAAGTGAGGGATAAGGGCTTGGGGACCGGTACACTGTAAGGCATTTACCGCAACACTGTCTGCACAGGGTCAGACACAACCCCAGTGGGGACAGCCCCGCAGCCCGCAGCATGGCCAATCTGGGGTCACAAAGATGGAGTAGTGATGAGCAAACAGGGGCTGCTGAGTGAGATTCCGTGTGGATCCCAGGATGCTACAAACCACAGCTGAAGTGGATGCACGCAGCGTTTTGAGAGGGGTGACCTCTGGACCAGGGACAGTGGCTCACACCTGTAATCCCAGCACTTTGGGAAGCCGAGGCAGGTGGATTGCTTGGGCCCAGGAGTTCCAGACCAGCCCGGACAACACGGCGAAACCTGGTCTCTACAAAAATTAGCTAGGCATGGTGGCATGTGCCTGTGGTCCCAGCTACTTAGGATGCTGAGGTTCACCTGAGTCAGGGCGGTCGAGGCTGCAGTGAGTTGTGACCGCACCACTACAGCACTCTAGCCTGGGCGACAGAATGAGACCCTGTCTAAAACAAAAACAAGAGGGGGAGGAGGAGGGGCCTTAAGAGGGGAGACTTTCAAAACTGCAAAAGCAAAAGCAAACCACCTATCACTTGTGCACAAAAGGAAAACAGAGTCCGCCACAGTCCGGGATATCTGCTTCAGATTCAAACACCTTCCTCCTCGGAACTGTGACCGGCTCCAGCACTGGTCACAGACGAGCTTGGCTTCCAACACGGTGAGACTGGGCGAGAAAGATTCCTTCACAGCCTGAGCACTGCCTGCAGGGTGCGTTCGTCAGCACGGGACGGGCTGCACAAAGGCAAACAGAATCTCAAAGCAGGTCCCCTGAAATCCAGGACAAACCAAGAAACCAAAACTTCCTTCACTCATGAATTTCCTTCCACCGGCCAGGCTTCTGGCCCACAAGTACCACACCCCAAACCTCAACCAAGGAAGGGGGCCTGGGAATGTGAGTGCCTGGCTGGTTTCCACTGAAGGAGACTGGGTCTGGCCCCCGGGGACTGAGCTGCACACATTAAGAAATCTTCAGACACGGACAGATAAGTTTCCACTCAGCCCTGAAATCACAATGCACCTTTCAGAATTAACCTATGTACTGTTGACCTAAACAAATGTTCCTTCTAAACATAAACATAATGCAAAATTCCACATAGCCTTTAAGAAAAATGAAAATTCAGAGAGAATAGGTTGCTAAACAAAAGTGAATTAAGTTACCCAATTTAATATCAACAGAGATAAATACGTGTATACAATTGAAACACAACAAAAATGCTAGAACTCAGAATCAAAGATTACTGGAAAGAATGTCTGCACAGTAAAACTCGTTTCCCTTTGAGACTAAAATGCCCCAGCAAGCTTAATGCTCCTGACATTTCTGAGGCTTTGAAGCCGCAGCTAACGGATCTGAATCATCTGAACAAAACCATGCTATAGTGACATGTTACTGGAAAGCCTAGAATAGAACGCCAAATATACAGACACACACCCATGCCAGGCACTTTTGTAGAAAATGATCAAACATAAACCTAGATGAAGTTGTTAATAATAAAGTGTGAGGAAAACCAGTTCCTCCCCAGCAGGTCAGTATAATACATGGGCACCTGGAAGTTAAAATAAGAAAAACAGAAAAACAGCGCCTTTTGTTAATAAAAACCAAACCTAGCCTGTGCATGAACTGAGCTTCATCAAACACTTCACCCATGCTTGCTGCCAGCAAAGACACAAGACCTCCTCCTGAAATGGAAACCACGCGTGCATCAGTGGCACACATCCGTCATAAAGCTGGTGCGGTGCCCCACTGTTCACCTAGGGAGGGAGGGAGGGAGGGAGGGAGCGTCCGTGGCTCCACGGCCTCCATCTGGGCCACTTGGAGCCTCACTCTGCTTTATTTGGGTTGGCAGCAGGAGTACCAACAGCAGGGTGGCACCGTGGCTGAAACGCCAAACTAGGTCAGACCGGCCTGCCTCTGGGGAGCTCCCAGTGCGCCCTGGGCCTCAGCTCCCTGGTCTCTCCAGAGATGGGGGCACCCTGGGATCCTGGGTGGGAATGAGGCTTGGGTGGGAGGGGCCCTAGAAGGTAAAGGCCATAGGCAGTCAGCATCCCCTTTCTGGCCCTGAAGAGCTTCTCAGCATCTTTTTCTTCAATAAACAAGAAATATAAAGTCCTACAGTGCTTTACAGACTTCCCTTATTTACGAACTAAAGAGATACTAAGTGGCAGGGTTAAATGGGGGCACCCTACCCTCTGGCCCTGCAGGGACAGACAGACAGTGAGGCCGGCACCCAGGCATCCAGGAGCTGGGGCTGACAGCCAGAGTGGAGGGCCTAGGCTCAGAGGACAGGGGCCAGGGGTGGGAGTCAAGGGTTAGGGTTTGGGAATTCTGCAGGCTCAAGGCCCAGGCTTTAAGACCAGGATTCAGGATTCAGGATTCAGGGGCAGGAGCTTGTTGGAGGAAGGGGCCAAGGATGGGATCTAGGAACCAGAGTTAGGGGCAGGGTCCAGAATTGGGTTTGGGGCCTGATTCTGGAACCAGGGTTCCAGGTTCAGGGGTCAAGGACAAGTGTTCAGGGCCATAAGCTGGGGCCTGAGGTTGAAATTCAGGGTTCAGAGTCAGGCTAGATTGGCTTTAGAGGCAAAGGGCCACAGTATGAAGGCTGGGATTCTAGGGCTAGAATTCAGTGATTGGGGAACAGGGACAGGAGGTTGGGGCCACAGCCCTGTGTCAGAAGTTCCTGGGTTAGGGTTTGTGGTTATGTTTCAGGGTTTGGGGTCCAGGGCTCAGGGACCAGAGACAGACGTTTGAGAGCAGGTTCTGTAACCAGAGTTCTGCAGTCAGGATTTGTGGTTCCAGTGACCATGGACCTGGGGTTCAGGGCCAGGGTTGGGGATGGGCATTCCAGGGCCAGGGTTCTGAGGATTCGGAAATCAGGGCTGGGGCTGGGTTTGGTGCGCACAGACCCGGTTTCTGGGGTTTGGGTTCCAGGAACTGTTAACAGGGGTTCTGACAGGGTTTTAATATTGGAGTTTCGAGGTCAGGATTTGCAGACAGGAGTTCAGAGGCAGGGTCCCAGGGTCAACGGTCAGCTGCTGGAGTCTGGAGGATGGGGTTCGGGGATTCAGGGCCCAGGTCTTCAGGTCTCGGGCTTGGGGATCAAGACAGGGGTCTGGGCTCCCAGACTTGGGAATCAGGACAGGAGTCTGGGGTCCCGGGTACAGGGATCAGAGTCTGGGGCCTCTGGGTCTGGAGGTTCACGGTCCAGGGTCCAAGGCTTGCAGTTCGGGACCCCGGGGTCAGGGTCGGGGGTTCCGGGCTTGGGGCCTGCCGCCGGCACGGGGGACTTACGTCGTCGAAGAGCGAGCCCACGTTGGCCGTGACCAGCAGCACCGCGGTGCCCGGGGCGGCCGCCTTCCCCGCCATGGTGCCCGGGCGGCGCGGGCGCTGGGCTGGGCGGCGGCGGCGGCGGCCGCTTCCTCCGGGACCGGCCGGCCGGGGTCTTCGCGGGGCCGCGGGGCGTCAGCTGCGCCGGGGGGCGGCCCCGGGGCGCATCGCGGGCTCGGCGGGTCGGCCGGGCCTGGCCGGGGCTCCGGCCTCGCGCTCGCTCGCTCGCTCGCTGCTCCGCGGCCCCGCGCCCGTCGCTCGCCGCCGCGCCTCACAGCGGCCCGCGCGCAGCCATTAGATCCGCTGGGAAAGTTCCCGCAGCCGCCGCCGACTCAGGCTGAGGGCAAGTCCCGCCCCGCGGAGCCGAGCCCGGGGCGGGGCCTGGGCGGGGCGGAGCCTGACTCGGGGTGGGGCCTGTGCGGGGTGGAGCCGGGCCTGGGGCGGAGCCTTGCTGGGGGCGGAGCCTTGAGGTGCGGAGCCTGAGTTGGGCCTAGATCTGAACAGAGTGGGGCGGGGCCTGCGGGGGGCGTGGCTTGTGCGGGACTTGGTGTCCTTGTGGAGGCGGGGCCTGCCCCGGGGCGGGGCCTCCTTTCGGGGCGGGGCCTACGCGGGGCGCTCTTGCGACCGGCGGCCTAGTACTGGTCGCTCCCGGAGGGCGCTCCTGTCAGTCAGGCCCGCAAGAACGCCGCGCCCCCGCCCCGCCCCCCGCGCCGCGGCTGCGCACAGACTCCGCCCTTCGCACTTCTATGACGTCACGGCCCTGCTCCGGCGGCGCCTCTTAAAGGGGCCCTGGGTTCCGGGCGCCGGCGGCGGGTGCGCTCTCTTGCGGCTCTGAGGGGATGTTCCAGCCCCCGCGCGGCCGCAGTCGTCCAGCCGCGTGCCGGGCGTGCGGGGGAGGGGAGCCCACCGGGGCGGCGGCAGTCGCGCCTGCAGGGGCCGGGCCACGCGCGCCCGGCTCTCCGCGCAGACGGAGCGTGGACCGTGCAGCTTCCCGGCGCGTCCACCCGGCTCCCTGGCCGCGACCTCACTCACGAGGAGCGGCTGCGGCCCAGAGAAGACGGAGGGGAGGCGGCGTGAGGCCAGGCGCATCCTGACGTCGCGGAGGGCTCCGGCCCGGGCCAGGCTGGGTCTCAGCGCGGGGCGTGCAGGGAACCCTCGCAGGGACGAAGGGGGCTCCAGGGGAGGGGGCTGGTGCGGGCCCAGGAGCGCAGAGCACGGAGGAGCAGCCGGCTCGGCGCGGGCCCCGGGGCAGCGATGCTGATCCTGGCCGCCGGAGGGGCCAGAGCATGGGCTGGACCCTGGGTCTGAGGCCGCGGGGACACAGCCGCCGTGAACCGGGACATGCCTGTAGATGGAGGAGGAGAACCACATTTGTCATCTTAAAGCTTCCAGTAGCTACATTTTTTAAAGGTAACAAGTAATAGCCAAAGTTAACAATACGTTTTACTTAACCCAATAGATAGATACATCATTCAACATGTAACCAGAATTTAACAACCTCAGTGAGATTCCTTCACAGGAAGGCTTTGCACGGGCACCTGCCTCTTGGCAGCAGCTCACAAGGCCGCTTCCAGTGCTCAGCAGCCCTGTGTGGCCAGTGGCCACCATGCGGAGCAGGCACTCCGGAGGATTTTGTGGACACAGATTTAGGGGCGGTCAGGGCCTGGCAATGGGCTCTAGCGAGGCTAGCCTCCAGCTTCTGAGTAAACCGCCAAGGCAATGCCCAATGACATCAAAAGGGGCTTGTTCTGTTCTAGGAAGACACCTGCTGCCAGGGCGGGGCGGCAGGAATGGTGCTGCAGGCTCGGGCCCCAGGCCTGTGCTGAGGCCGCATCACTGGCTTGTGTTAACACCCCCAGGGTTCCTCCTTACGGCCACCGCTGAGCAGGACTCCAGCAAAATCCATTTGATGTATAAACCAATGTCTACTTTAGTCAGTAGGTGCCTGCTACAGACTGAATTCCGCCCGCCCCACCCCACCCCACCCCGCAAATTCATGGGTTGAAGCCCTAACCTCCAATGTGACTGTATTCGGAGGTGGGCTAGCGGGGGTAATTAATGTTAAGTCGTGCAGTAGGGCTGGTGTTTAATGTTAAGTCGTGCAATAGGGCTAGTGTTTAATAGAAAGGGCTCAGTGCTGTCCCCACCCTTACATGTGCAAAAGAAGTGGCAGTGTGAGTGCACAGTGGGAAGCTTCACCCCAGCCAGCCACAAACCCTGCACCAGAAATCCAACGCTGCTGGAACTTGATCTTGGATTTCCAGCCCCCAGAACTGTGAGAAGTAAAAGTCTTGTTTCAGCCTCCCAGCCTGTGATATTTCGCTACAGCAGCTGAAGCTGACTGATGTAGTCGCTTATTTTTCTTTTTAACAAAATCAGCACATGCTAAGGGTACCCTTAGTAGAAACCAAATGTGGGGGTGTCACTGATCCCTGGAACGTGCTTTCTGAGAAGGGACATTGCCTCCTCACTTCTCCCCGCAGGCTGTGCCCTCACACCCGGCTGAGGCAGCGTCCCCCACCCCTTGTGCCCTCCCTGCTCCCCCCTCCTCCTCTCCTCGCCAGCCAGCTCCTGCCATGCCTGGACGTTGGCCTCTGCCCTTCCTCCAGGCAGCCACCTCCTCTTTCCCATGCACCCCTCACCCACCACAGGTTCAGCCCCTCACAGTTCTCCTGCCTCCTATATTCCGTGCTCATTACCAGAACCTCCAGAACCCAAGGGGGTGCGGCCTGGACCTCCCACTTCTGCATCCACGGCCCTGGGCATAGCCTGGATGTTCTCATCACCAATGACCACACCAAGGCCGAATCCAGGCACCTTGCCCTCCCCACCACCTCCTCTCCTTTGGTTTCACTTCCGTGGGACCTCATGGAAACCTACAGCCCATGCTGCTCCCATGCCTTCGTTAGCCACCGCCACACGTGCACACCCACACAGAAACACATGCACACGCATGCACTTGCACGCACACACATCTGCACATGCGCATGCACGAACATGCACACGTGCACACATGACCACGCATGTGCACACCTCTTCTTCCTGCCTTACTCTGCTTCTCTCTGAGGGTAGAATCACTTTGTGTACCCACTCCCTCCCCTCTCCCTGCCCCCCAGCACTCACCCAGCTGGCCCCCAGGACTGATTTACTTGCTTACAGTGAACCTGCGCCCAAATTAGAGAAAACTAAATTGGGGGAAAAACTAGACAACACCTTATTTCCATGCCCCTGGCATCTCCCAGGTCTCAGGCACACCCACGTTGAGCACTAGGCCTCCTGGCTCTGCGCATGTGCACTCCACCACTCCAAGAGGCCACTGCAGCCTTCCCCTTCTCTAACCACCAACTACGCTCCCTGGAGGAAACGTTTGCCCTTTGTTGAGGAAGGATTTGCAGTCTGGGATTTTCCCACTGTCACCCTAAATAACAGAGAGAGGCTCTCTAAAAGAAAATGAGATTTACTCGGGAACATTCATTGCAATAGAATATGTGTGCCATCGTAAATTGGGTGTGGGTCAAGGAAGGTAAAGGAAGACAAAGATTTTCAAAGGAAACAGGAGGATTACATCATTGTTTTGAATCAATGATCCTTGGCTACAAGGATCTCCAGGAAGGATGGTGCCAGTCTGAGGCTGGACAGGCAGCTACTGGGCAGATGTCTTCCCAGAAGTGTTTGTGTGTGTAAGTTGTGATGGTCTTTGTGCACGGCTGTGATTTTTGCAGTCTTTTGTGATTGTTCTTGCTATCAAGCATGTCTGCATAAGAACCCTCCCTTCATGCCCTTCCACAGTCTATATGTCAGGGTTTTTAATACCAGTGACTCCATTTGGATTCTGACTGTGATCACGCCACTAAGTCAACACATCCAGCATCTGGTGTCTGTCCTGCACATCCTCCATGCTGCTACATGGAATGAGGTGCCTGTCCCCGCCCAAGGCCACCCCCTCCTGGGTCACGTCGGCAGTTCACAAGCATGCTGCGGTCTCTCAGATCTCTGGAAGCCTCCAGCCTGTGCCCCTCCATTTTCCTCCCCCCTCTCTGCTCTCCTTGCTGCAAACCTTGTCCTAAAAGTCTGCCCATCTCTGCCCCGCATGCCAATGGACCACTCTTGTCCAGGCCCTCGAATTGTGCTTCTCATGCCCACACCCCATGGGGCATCCTAATTCAAGGGCCAGCCCCCCAGGCCTGATTGCAGCTGACCTTCCAATACGGTTGACCACTGGCTGCCTCTTGGAAGTGAGCCTTGCCCTGGCATCTGTGGCATTCCTGCTCTTCCCTCCCAACTGCGCTGACCACCCCCAGTCTCCTCTGCTGGCTCCCTTCATGCTCACCTGAGTTCTGGGGCCCTGGGGTCCTGGGTGTGCCCTTCCTGTGTTCACTTTCTCCCGGCTGACCTGGCTGGGCCCTCACCTTAGATCATATCAGCATGCCGACCGCTGCATGGGCATGGCAGACCTGTCACTGTGCCCGGGGCCTGGCTCTCCTATGTTCAGAAAGACATTGGCCACTTGTGTCACCTGTGTTAAAAGCCACACTCATGAAACCAGGTGAGAGGGAGGATGCCTCTCCCTTGTGTGCCCTTCTTCACCCTTGAAATATTGCCCCGTGTATTTGCTCCTTTGCCAAAATAATAATAATAACGAGTTTCCTAAAGACCTACTTACCTGGCTTAAGGAGATCCTGGGCCCACCTAGTCTGCAAGGAGCAGAGAGGGAGATGGGGAGCAGAGCCTGCCCGATTTTCCTCCTCCTACCATGGATGAATTCCTCAGCAGCTGCCAACCCTCTTCAACCTGGTCAGCCACTTGGCCCAAAGCTCTTGTTCTCCCAGGAGGGAAATTCGGCCCAAGACTTTTATTAGACAACAATATATTGCGAGCTTTTTAAAAAGGACAGCACTAAATATCACATTGTTACTTCGTTTAAGACAGTAACCAATTTGCTTATGGATTCATAGTTATCAGAGGCTTCCAGCCAGCATCCCTCATGCATGTCCACAGCAGATTCAGAAGGTGCCCTGCGGCATGTCTGCGTCTAGCACTGCGCAGCCGTAAAGTGCATTTCTAGCGTCTAATAATCATCGCTCTTCAGTACTCCTGCCGGGTGGGTCAGACTTACTCCATTGCATATAAAAACACTGAGGTTAAGTGACTCACTCAAGATAATTGTCTGCAGACAGAGCCTGGCTAGGTGCACAGTGAAAG
This sequence comes from Homo sapiens, assembly GCF_000001405.40. NCBI lineage: Eukaryota > Metazoa > Chordata > Mammalia > Primates > Hominidae > Homo > Homo sapiens. Next base: position 132,532,933 of record NC_000010.11, on the reverse strand, counting down.
GAATCCAGGGTCCTGTCCTCTTTGGGAGTGGCTAGACCTGGTCACTTTAGGCAGAGGTATTTTGCCATTAGTAAGCTCTGACGTCACCCAGAATTCATCTAGAAAGGGAGCTGTTGAATTATGGGGATACTTTCCTCATTAATCAGCTTAGTAACAGTTATCATTTTTCAGGAACCAATTGTGTGTGAGGGGTTTACATTTCCTATTTCTAATCCTCACAAAGGTCTTACAAGGTATGTATGTCTGTTTTACATATAAGGAAAGCAAGGCTGTAGAATTAAGAAGTTTACCAACCTCACACAGCCTCTAGGATACCTAGCGAAGAACAGAGCCCAATCAGGACCCCAAGCCAGCTGGCCCAGGCAGCGCTGTGTGGCTTAACCTCCATACACGCATGCATTTAATTTATTTAATGCATTCTCTGTGCTATGCGCTGTTCTAGACACCAGGGATGAGACGGTGAAAAACAAAACAGAAAGACATTGTCCTCAAGAAGCTGGCATTCCAGCAGCAGGAGCAGGCTCGAAGCAGGTGCAGGGTCATTCAGATCACATGACATCATGCCAGCCTCCTGCATGTTTCCTTGTAAAAGTCACATGCTCATCGTAGCATGATGAGCCTTTAAACTTTTCCATGTAGAAGTCATCTGCTCAACATTTTACAACTACAGAGCAGGGTACAGGGTATTCAGGGAAGAATGTTCACTCACAACTTCACTCCAAATATACCAAGCACTGTCACTATTTTGATAATATTTCTGTCGAGTTTCATTTATGCTTAGCTCTGTAGTGAGCACTCGGATCATTCCGTATACACAACTGTGATGCCTTTTTTAAAAAGCCGACATTAGAACATACATCCTTTCTCATTCAACTGAAAACTCTAAATGTTTTTAATGCCTATGTAGTAGTCAGCTGATAGACGTGGTGGTTTACCTAACTGATAACACCGTATTGTTGTAAGTTAAGGTTGTTTTCAATGCTGCATGATTAGAAAAATGGCAGGATGAACATCTTTGTACTTAAGCATTTTTAGGTCTTAGGATTCTTTTCTCAGTATAGTTTCCAAGAATTAAAATGTTTTAAAGGGTACAAATAAAGAGCATGAAAACACAAAATGTATAAGATGCAGGTAAAGCAGTGCTTAGAGGAAGATATATAGCTTTAAAGGCTTATTTAGAGAAGAAGAAAAAGTGTAAAATAAATGTCCTACAGTTCCAAATTAATAAGCTATAAAAATAAAGCAAATTAAACCCAAACTCAGTACAAAAGAGGAAATAATAAAGTCAAGAGTGTAATCAATGAAGTAGGAAGCAAACAAGACAGGAAATAAATAAAACCTAAAAGCTGGTTATTTAAAATAATCAATAAAATTAAAAAACCAGGCCAGGTGCAGTGGCTTAAGCCTGGAATCCTAGCACTTTGGGAGGTCAGGCAGGCAGATCACTTAAGCCCAGGAGTTTGAGACTAGCCTGAGCAACATGACGAAACTCTGTCTCTACAAAAAATACAAAAATTAGGCATGGTAGCATGCACTTCTAAACCCAGCTACTCAGGAGGCTGAAGTGGGAGGATCACCTGAGTCTGGGAGGTAGAGGCTGCAGTGAGCCATGATTGTGCCACTGCACGCCAGCCTGGGCTGCAAAGTGAGACCCTGTCTCCAAAAAAAAAAAAAAAAAAAAAAAAAAAATTTAATTGATGAATGAAACCAATATCTAGAATGATGAGGGTGATGCAGAAAGGCCAAAACAGAGACATAAGTTACTAATATGTGTAAGGAATGAGAAAGGAGACATTACTACAGACCCTACACACTTTAAAAGGTAGTAAGAGAATAAACAACTTTGTGTTGACATACCAACAATTCAGATTAGAAGGACCAATTTCCTGAAAGACACAAACTACAGAAACTCATTCAAGAAGAAATAGCTGCTCTGAATAGCACTCTATCTATTAAAAATTTTGAATCTATGATTTAAAATCTTCTCACAGGGAAAATTTTAGGCCCAGATGGCTCCACTGGTGAATTCTGTCAAACATTTGAGGAATAAATAGTAACAGTTCTAGACAAACCCTTCCAGAGATTTGGGGGAGGGGTGGACTATTTCCCATTCAGTCAGTGAAGTTAGATTTCTCTAATCCCAAAATTAGACAAAGACAATACAAGAAATGTAAACACCAATATTCCTGATGAACACTATCGCCGAAATCCTCAGGAAAATGTTGGTAAATCTTGTCAATATGCAAAAAGAATAATACCTCATGCCCAAATATGTTATCCAAGGAAGATAAGATTGGATTGAGATCCGAAAATCAATTTAATATATCGTATTAATAGATTAAGAAAAAATATGATCAGGTCAATAGATATAGAAGCGCACTTGACAAAATTCCATATCCTCTTACGATAAACACTCTTCATGAACTAAAAATAAAGGGGACTTCTTAAATCTGATGAAATGCATCTATTGAAAAATTACAGATAACACGGTTAGTGCCGAACGATTGAACACTTGCCCCCAAGGTTACGAACAAGGCAAGGATGTCTGCTGTCACCCCTTGTATTCTACTTGACATTGTACTAAGGTCCCAGTCTGTACAATAAAATGAGAGAAAGAAATAAAAGTCGTACAGATTGGAAAGGAAAAAAATAAAACTGCCTTTGTTTTCAGCAACAGGATGATATGCATAGACTATCCTAAGAGACCTGCAAAACATACATACTACTGGATAAGTGAATTTAACAAGGTCATGGAGTACAAATCAATATTTTAAAAAATGTATTGTTGTATATTAGAAATCAGCATTGGAAAATAAAGTTTTAAATAATTTTCATTTATAATAGCATAAAATTTAAAATAGGAATAAGTGTAATATAAGATATACGAGACTTTTACAAAATCTACAGAACATGGCAGGTTAAAACTTAAGTATCTAAGTAAATGGAGATAAACCATGTTCACAGATTGGAAGACTCAGTGATGTTAAGATGTCAGTTTTCCTCAATTGTTCTATAGGTTTAACATAATCTCAGCTTCCTCCTCCTCCTCCTCCTCCTCCTTCTTTTTCTTTAGAAATGACAGGTTAATTCTAAAATGTAGATGGAAATGGAAAGGTCCTAGAATAGCTAAAAAAGTTTTAAAAAAGAACAAAGATGAGATAAACTACCTGATTTCAGGACTTACACAGCTGCAGTTGAGAGGGTTTGTGCTGGCATAATGGTAGGCACACACGCAGATCAATGGAACAGAATAGAGAAGCCAAAAGCAGACCAAACTGATTTCAACAAAGGTTTCAATTCAGTGGGAAAAGAGCAGTCTTTGTAACAAACGGTGCTGGGGTCACTGTAAATCCATGTGGAACAAAGTGAACCTTGATGTACCCGCAATTCACAAAAATTAGCTGGGTGTGGTGGTTCCAGACCAGTTTGGGCAACATGGACTCTGCCCCCCCAAAAATAAAATTCACTAAATATGGATCATAGTCCCAAACACAAAAGCTAAAGCTAAAAATCTAGAAACGTGAGAATGTTTTTGAGACTTTTGGGCAGGCAAAGATTTGTTAGAAAAGACATCAGAAAACACTAACATAAAAGAAAAAAAATGAATAAAGTGCACTTCATCAAAATTTTAAAACTATACTCTTTGAAAAACACCATGAATAGGCCAGGCATGGTGGCTCACGCCTGTAATCCCAGCACTTTGGGAGGCCGAGGCAGGTGGATCACCTGAGGTTGAGAGTTTGAGACCAGCCTGACCAACATGGAGAAACCCCATCTCTACTAAAAATACAAAATTAGCTGGGCGTGGTGGTGCGTTCCTGTAATCCCAGCTACTTGGGAGGCTGAGGCAGGAGAATTGCTTGAACCCGGGGCGAGGGGTGGGCGGGGTGGCGCGGAGATTGCGGTGAGCCAAGATGGCACCATTGCACTCCAGCCTGGGTGACAGAGCACGACTCTGTCTCAAAAATAAAATAAACTTGAAAAAAGAAATGATTACATCTACAATTCTTACATATAATAATGTAAATCAAAATCCTCTAAACACAAAAATTGTTTTATTTGTTGACATAACCTGAAGTAAGGAAAAATCGTGTCTTTGCGCCTGCACTGAGTGTGGTTGTCCACGTGTGCTGCTTTGGAAACATCGAAACGTGCGGACATACGTGCTGCTGAGGCTGCGTAACAGGTGGGATATGCAAGCTACCCTCTTTCTAAAATCCGAAGGGAAGAAAAACTGAATTCTGAATTACATCTGGCTCCAAGATTTCGCATAAGGAATTGTTGAGCAACATCTCAGAAAACAGCTGCATTCAGACCCGCACAGCTCATTCTTTAGAGAAATCACTCCAAGGGTCAAACATCTGGAAACACAATAGCAAGGTCTGCAGCTGCTTCTCTGGTTCCTGTGCAGATTGGACACTTTGTTTCATCGTCATCCTAGAACCTGCAGAAACGGAGCATCTTGGGGGAGGAGCCTGGAGCAGGACCTGGCACACAGCAGCCTCCCATGTGGACGGAGGGACCCCCAGGTTCCCAGCCTAGGAGCAGCCCTGCACACAGGGCAAGAGCAAAGGCAGCTCGCGACCTGCCTCCCTGCTCCACCAAATGAAATATGATCTTCCCTGGAAGCAAATCACTAGTCAGGGGCTCTGTACACATCTATGCACGTTTCAAAAGTCCCGACAGTGAGAAAGGGAAGCCCCTGGGAAGCACCAGCAGCAGCTGGACCCTCGGTTTCTGCAGGGTTCCCCCTCTGCCCTCATAGGACACCCACAGCTCTTCCTTTTGGTTGGTTCTTGATCAGCACCATAAAATCCATGGCCATCTTTGCCCCCGACAGGTTTGAGGTCAACCCTGCCCAGCCCTGCTTTGAACCTGGGTGTCCCCAGCCAGACACACTCAACCCATGTGACCCTGACACTTCCCATGGCCCCGGGGGGCGGGGGGTCACTGTTGTCATTCCACCTGACTTTGAAGGAAAAGAAATTGTGACTTCGGATTCCTCATGGCAAAAGCCATAGGTTTGCGTCTCCAGTCAGATACGGGTGAGGGAACAGGGCGCCTGTTCTTTACGGTCGGTAAAGCAGTGAGTCCCTCTCTTTTGGCTGGGACAGGTGGTTGACAGCACCAGATTATTGACACGAAATGTACGTGCGTACCGTGAGTCAGGAGGGTAAGCCAGAGGGACGCCAGTGCGCTCTCTGTGGTAGACTCCCCGCTCGGGCAATGCAGCCCCTGCCAGGACACGGTGAGGGGCTAAACCTTGTGGCCAAAAGGACAAATAGCCCAAACCATGAGCAAAACAACATCAGCAAAAACAGACAAGGAAAATCTGTGTCTGTCTTGGCAATGCTCTTTGAAGTTGTCAGAGCTTCTGGCATTCTTTCAGCCTGTTTCAAGGGTCAGGCAAGATTTTCTTCTAATGACCAAGTCTTAGGAAAGGGCCGGGCGCAGGGGCTCACGCCTGTAATCCCAGCACTTTGGGAGACTGAGGCGGTGGATCACCTGAGGTCAGGAGTTCAAGATCAGCCTGACCAACATGGAGAAACCCTGTCTCTACTAAAACTACAAAAATTAGCCAGGCATGGTAACACACATCTGTGATCCCAGCTACTCGGGAGGCTGAGGCAGGAGAATCACTTCAACCCAGGAGGCGGAGCTTGCAGTGAGCCGATATCGTGCCTCTGCACTCCAGCCTGGGCAACAGAGCGAGACTCCGTCTCAAACAAACAAACAAACAAAAAGTTTTAAGGGAAGGCCATCCAGCTCCCATGATCAACATTGCTAGTGCAGGGGATCACTTTTCAGAGGTTCTCTACTCAGCTGTCACTTCTATTTTGCAACTCTGTATTTAATAATTAAGCTTCATAAAGATTCATCTCTGTTGTCCATTGCTCAAATCTTCAGAAGACTTTGAAAGCATCCTTACGTTGTTTTAAAAGGAAGACACCCACAGGAATGTCGGCGTTTCACCAGTGCCTTCGGGAGCTTCGCCTCCTTTCCTCTGGGCTCTGGGACTCACGAAGGCTGCAGTCCTAACTGGCAGCGAAGGGAAGATGAGTCAGCAAGCAAACGTGAATAAATGACTCCACTCCACGGAAATGTTTTCACGAGAAAATACTACTCTAGTACACGTTTATATTATTTTGAATAGTGAGTGGTCTGCTCAAAAGTGAATGTCGGCCGGGCGCGGTGGCTCACACCTGTGATCCCAGCACTTTGGGAGGCGGAGGCAGGTGGATCACCTGAGGTCAGGAGTTTGAGACCAGCCTGGCCAACATGGTGAAACTCTGTCTCTACTAAAAATACAAAAATTAGTTAGGCATGGTGGTGCATGCCTGTAATCCCAGCTACTCGGGAGGTACCACTGCACTACAGCTTGGGTGACAAAGCAAGAATCCATCTCAAAAAGAAAAAAAATCAAGTGAATCTCACTGTATATATACCACATATTTTTGTCTATTAAAGTTTATTTCTCAATGACTTGATTTTGTCAACCAGCTACATTTTTGCTTTGGTGGATGTGGGTAAATAACTCGCCATCAGCCATGTTATTTCCTTTACCTTTTTTTTTTTTTTTTTTTTGAGACGGAGTCTCACTCTGTCACCCAGGCTGGAGTATAGTGATGCGATCTCGGCTCACTGCAACCTCCGCCTCCTGGGTTCAAGCGATTCTCCTGCCTTAGCCTCCCGAGTAGCTGGGATTAGAGGCGCATGCCACCATGCCCAACTAATTTTTTGTATTTTTCAGTAGAGACGGGGTTTCACCGTGTTAGCCAGGATGGTCTAGATCTCCTGACCTCGTGATCGGCCTGCCTCGGCCTCCCAAAGTGCTGGGATTACAGGCGTGAGCCACTGCGCCCAGCCTTATTTTATTTTTTTAAATAAGTCATCTACACTTCTTAAATTTATTTCTGGGTATGTTAATCTTTTGTGTTTCATTGGGAATGGGATTGTTGTCTGCCGTGTATTCAAACTGGTTGAGGTTTATAAATAGAAATGCTACTAATCTAAACATATATTTAATATTTGAAAACTATCACTTCCGGTTTTCTCTCTTTCATGATTTATAGACATTCTCTTACAGTTTTCAGGCGGGCAATCACATTAACACGTTTGAAATGAAGGTTTCCACGCTATTTAAAGATAAATCAAGGTATGCCCAAGAATGAAAAAGACATGGTGACTTTTTTTCAAACCACAAGTACATGTAGTTAAACTGTTTTATTTTTTGAAACGTGAATCCATCACAGTGTTTGCTTTGCAATGTGGACTATCATCATGTATGTGATAATGATGTAACTTGAGGATAAGAGATTTCGAGCAATTCTTTAAAAATGAAAAGCCCACCTTACTCCATAAGGCTCAGCCCTCCCCTCTCAGCACCTCCCCGCATGGCTGCTTTTGCTTTTTGCTTTGCCCCACTCATCCAGTTTCCTTCTGCCAACGCTAACTTGGGCTGGCAGGATTAATCTGCCCAAAATTTATCAGCAAAGTTGCAGATGGTACAATTACCCACTCAGCAGCTGGTATCCCCACCTTTCAACTTTAAAATGAGTCTAGGATCAATTAGTAGAACAGTTGTGTTAATTAAAAGATTCATTCAGAACTCAAAGCCTGCTTAGAAGCTGCAGATTCTGCCTTTTCCAGCCAAAGCCCGAGAAACAAACCGGGAATGAGTCCTTGGTATTTCAGGGAAAACGAAGAACCGGCCTTCTGACCCCATTGCTGGGCACCTGCCCAGCTCGCTTTGGGTGAACTTCTCTCTCTGTGGCCCCTCCAGGCTCTGAGGTTCTTGTCCGCCCCAGGAAGGCATTCCTCTTCCAGCTTGTTCCCAGCCTTGGTCTGTAGGTGACTCTGGGGCTTCCAGTGTCCTTTCTCCACTGAACACCCAAGGCCAGCAGCACCTTGACAAGGGCAAGGGAGGGACACATCCAGAGAGCTCCAGGCAGGCTCCGATCTCGGCCTGGGCAGATTTGGGGAACAAATAGCAGGGGTGGCTTTGGGTAGACTGTGGTCTTCCTGGAGCTCAGAGTCTAAACTTGTAGGAATATACCGTTTGCTCCACTTCTAAACACGCACCTCCAGTGTAGACAAAGTCGAAGGTCCTGGTCTCAGCCGACCCTCAGTGTTTCCTCAGCCGGACTGCTGGGACCTGTTTCCTCATCTCGCCCACAGAGCACGGTCTCCAGAGAAGCTTCTGAGCCTCTGTCCTCCTGGGCCAGAGGAGAGAAGGCGATTCCTTGGTGCAGACAAGGGCTCAGTCCTCCCGCTGGCCCTGGGGAGAGACCAGACCCAGCCCTCATCTCTTCTGTCCTCCATTCCAGGAGTCCACCGGGTGCCTCCCACAGTCTCAGCCGTGAGTGCCCAGCAGTGTTTGTGATGTCCCCCGCTTTGTACGAGCTGCTGTCCTGAACAGCACCCCTTCCACTGCCTTCTGGAGGGGCTGCCCGCAGAAGCGGGCAGCTCAGCTTCATGCCAGGCACACCAGGCTCCCCTCTTCCCTTGGCTTCCCCTCGAGCCCAGCCAGAATCAGCCTGTCTGCTGGATCCCTCTCCTCGGCACCTTGTCCCCACCTTTGCTGGCTCCTCTGGGGCTGCACTGGTCCCTAGGCTGTGTGTGATCCAGGGTGCCCGTGGGGTCCCCTGGGCTCCACTGCCCCAGCTGCTGTGAAGGACAGACTTCAGTCGTCTGGGACCGGGACCTGTGGCAACAGTTCTCCATGCTGGAGGCCCTTGTGGCATGGAGGCAGCTGTCTACAGAAGGAAAGATGACTGTAAGCAGAGAAGCAAGAGAAAGAGACGGGAACAGGTGAGCGGTGCTCCAGAAAGCTGGAGTCTCAGAACAGGGACAGAGAGGGACTGCAGACCCACATGGAGAGAAGACAGAGAGAACCGAGAGGGTCTGACTTCATCATGGAGGCCTGGCCCAGCCCTGCCTGTATGGCCTGGGCCCCCGGGGCCAGTCTGCTGTGGGTGCAGCCGCAGGTCTCCAGCTCCCTTGCAGCTCCTTCAAGCTGGCACCCACCCTGAGGTGCTCTGTCAGGGAGGTCCCAGCCGCCAGGCTGGTGCACTGGAGGGCCTGTTTCCTCATCTCAGCCTCAGATCCTCCACACCCTAACAAGCTGGGAGCAGAGACAAAGACTTCAACCACTCGTTCATGTGACGGTGTGACCTGGCAACTGCTTTTCTGACCCAAATCAGTGAAGGTGGGAGCTGGGGTGTGGGCAGCAGCCACCTAGTGAGAAAGGATGTGATGGGTTTTGGCCACAGGCAGTGTTAATTGCTTATGATGTTAGTTAGGCCCATGAAATGGGGCTGGGGGCAAAAGCTTCTGAGTCGAGGGAGAAAACCTGCTCGGTGGATGCACCATGCTTGTGCCGATTTGGGGGCATAGTGGGTGTGTCTGTCAGCCCAGAAGAGCTTCACTAGGTCCTTCAAGAGCCTTTGCTGAAGGGACATCACCCTCGGTGCAGGCGAAAGCACCAGGGGCCCGCAAGGGGCAGGAGTACGGCCAGGGGTGAGGTGGCCGAGCAGAGCCCAGGGATGGCCTGGTGTGGAGGAGGGCCACCTGCCTGAGAGGGTCAGGACAGCCCAGGACAGGGACAGCCAGGAAGAAGTACCCAGCCATGATCAGGGCCCTCCGGTGGGCTGACCCCAGCTAGAAGTCAGCAGGCCGGTGTGCCTGGGCTCAGCCTCCAGGACCACAGCAGAGGGGACAGGGTGGCGGGACCAGCAGGAGATCAGCTCTGTGGGCATCACCCATCCCCTCCCAGACCTGGGGTCCTCTCAGCTGCTAGCAGCCTCTTAGGGGCAGGGAGGGTCCCCACATTCTGTGTGCTCAGCGCCCCACATCTGAGTGGATGAGGGTGGCCCCTGGGCGCCTGGGCTCTGCAGGCTGCTCTGAAGGTGCTGGGCGGATGGGAGGGCTGCACTGTGGCTGGAAAGGCCTCCCTTCTCCCCCGGAGTCATGGGGTCTGCAGTCCCCTGGGGTGGCCCTCGGCCAGCCAGGCTCAGCAGAGGCTAGTGGTCAGCTGGGAGGTGACTTCTTCTCGTGGGGCAGAATCCCATTAGCCCTGCATGAGATGGGCTAATGGGTGCCTCTGAGAGCCAGCTCAGGAACATTCAGTTCCTGCAGCCCCTCCTCCTAGGAAGTCCAGCAGAGCCAGGGTGCTGCCTCGGAGCTGGCCCAGGGGTGCAAGGTGGGTGACTCTCGTGCTGAGGCCTGGATATGGGCTGGCCAGCCCCACCAGACCGACTCCTGGCAGCCCCCAGCCAGCCCCCTGTACTTGTTCCAGACTGGGCAGAGGCTCAAGGGTCCTCCCTGTCCAAGGACAGACTCCTCCAGGAATGAGGCTCCTTCCAGCCAACAGGGCCAAGCCTGGTTGCTGTAATGTCAATCTGCGTGCCTCTGCCTCTCAGCAGAACTCCCCAGCAACGCTCCCATCCTGGTCCATGGGCCACCTCTCCACATCCTCAGGCTCCAGCAATGCACCCTCAACAGACCCATGGGGGCTCACGAGCTCCCAGCAACGCACCCTCAGCAGACCCACGGGGGCTCACGAGCTCCCAGCAATGCACCCTCAACAGACTCACTGGGGGGTCACGAGCTCCCAGCAATGCACCCTCAACAGACTCACTGGGGGGTCACGAGCTCCCAGCAATGAACCCTCAACAGACCCACGGGGGCTCACGAGCTCCCAGCAATGCACCCTCAACAGACTCACTGGGGGGTCACGAGCTCCCAGCAATGAACCCTCAGCAGACCCACGGGGGCTCACGAGCTCCCAGCAATGCACCCTCAACAGACTCACTGGGGGGTCACGAGCTCCCAGCAATGCACCCTCAACAGACTCATCGGGAGGTCACGAGCTCCCAGCAATGCACCCTCAACAGACCCACGGGGGCTCACGAGCTCCCAGCAATGAACCCTCAACAGACCCACGGGGGCTCACGAGCTCCCAGCTATGCACCCTCAACAGACCCACGGGGGCTCACGAGCTCCCAGCAATGCACCCTCAACAGACTCATTGGGGGCTCACGAGCTCCCGGTCCGAGGCCTCCTTTGGCAGCAGGGACTCAGGAGGGAGAAGAGTGAGCCCTTGGCCACATGGTTGGTCAAATCAACTCCTAGAGGTTGTGACCCTTCTCTGCTGTGGCCTTCACCAAACCACGCATGTTGGGTGGAGGGGAAGTGGCCTCTGTGGCTGCCCCAGCTGGCAGAGTGTGGTCTGTCCTGCTCTAAACTGGGTCCCCAGAAGGCACTGCTCTCCAGATGGGCTGGTGAGACTCCTTGGTGTCCAGCTGCTTATGACCAGCACAGTTAGGGGCTGTCGTCAGCACCGCCACTGGTACCTGCAGAGCCGAGTCCACTCCTGGGGCCGGCTGGATCAGGGTGCAGCCAGGGTGTGGGGCACCAGGGAGCTCTCCGGGACCCCCAAAGCCAGATGCGGCCCTGTCCACTCGTGCTCTGTGGACGGAGAAGGCAGAGTCCCAGGACACTGTGCTCAGGAAAGCGAGCTCCAGAGGAGGCTGAGGAGATTTGGGAGTGCCCAGGACAGCCTGGCCCTGTGCAGGTCCATGGGAAAACCTTCCACTCTCCCCTTTCAGGGAGGTCTGGGGGCTTGGCTGCCTCTCAGCGGGCCAGGGCGACTTCTCATCATTTCCGCAATGGATGCAGCTCTGGCCTGGGGGGGTGGGGAGGAGCCTCCAGCCCTGGCCCCTCCGCCCCAGCCCTCGCTAGCGGCATGACTGTGGGTGAACGGCGGCACCTGAAAGCCTCAGTTTCCCTGTCTGTGAAGGGATGCACAGTGTCAGTTTGACCCCCGGAGGCTGCAGTGAGGACGGGGCCCAGGAGGTCAGGAGAGCAGCCCGTTTCTGGCCAGGGCACCGTGGTGTTTGTGGAACACAGCCCCACTGACTTCAGCTGCTGGGGCAGAAAGAGCCGTGAGAAGAGTCGATCTCCCAGGGGCTTCATGTGTCTTTTTGCTGCATTTTACTCACACACGACCCTCCTAGTCCATGTAAGAGAAGATAAGTTTATGGAACAAACCCAGTATTTACTTAACTTTTAAAATATAAGCTTCACAGACCAGCGTTACATAAAAAGAAGAGATGCTTTCTGGCCAAGCTTTGCTCCTTGCCGCGTTTCCCCCGCTGTCTTCTCATGGAGCTGAGAGCAAACCGCTTCCAACCTCGGAAAAGGTGAAACAGAGGCCGCTGGCGCTATTTTAAGCATGAACTTACAAAGTAAAAGCAGCTGTGACATGAAAGTTTTAGGAACATTTCCATTTCCTGGAGCGATGGAACAGACAGCATTGCCAGCAGGTCCTGAGCAGCCGGAATCAGCTGCTTGGATGAGTGGGGCATCCAGGCCTCCGCAGCCCAGCCTGGCACTGCGAGGCCCCGGCTGTATGTAAGGGCCGAGTGTCAGTAATTCATCGTGGTTGGGGAGATGGGCCAAGGCTGAGGTCGGTGTGTCCAGCCCGGGTTCACCCCCTGGGCCCCATCATATGCTGGGCTCTGAGGGGAGAGGATGGTTTTAACATGGGCCCTGCCTTAACCCTCTCAGAGCCTGTGTGCGTCTGGCCTGTGTGCCCATTCTTCCTGCCTGCTGTCCCCATCCCTCCCTCTAGCTGAGGCCAAAGTCCTTGATGGGGCCCCAGGAGACTCATGGGGACCCCTCTGGCCTTCCTTGGCTCCCTACTCCCAAGGTTCCCAAGGTGCCTGCCCAGGAGGCCCCCAGGGGCTGCAGTGGGGGGTGATGACTCCATGGGATCCAGGCGTACATGGCTGCCTTGCTGTTGCCTGTGGGCTGAGCCAGCTCCGGGGCCTTCACCCCCATCCTGGGCTGGAGAGGGTCCCAGGGATCACCTCAGCGGCGCCCGCCTGGGGGCCCAGAGGCAGCAGCACTTGGGCTTGGGGCTGCGTTTCCTGGGGGCGCCCACGGACAACACTGCCTCCTGGCCCCGGGGCTGGCGTCCCCTGGGTGTTCACCATCCATGATGGTGTCCCTGGCAGACCCGTTCCAGGGGATATCCTTGTTAGTGTTTGGGAAGTCGAAGCAATCGCAGCTGTGCCCCGCCCAGCACAGGGAAATCTGGGGACAGAGCTGCAGAGGGAGTTGCTGTTTCCCTCCAGGCTTCCTGAGGAACTGGAACCGGAGCCACCCCAGGCTGATCATGGGCCGGAACCCAGGTTACTACAGACCTCACTCTCTTTCCAGAAGGTTCCCGGGATGCCCCGGCTCATGTGCTGTCTGGACCCAGAGGCCGTGTTCTCTTGCACGAGGCGTGAACACCTCCTCAGCACGGAGAGCTGATCCTGCTGTTTGGAGCGATCCCAGAGTCCAGCCCTCGGGGCAGGCTCACCTTTGAGGCCGTGGGAGGGGGTTTGAGGTCAAAACATAGAAGCATCCACGGGGCCTCCTGCCCTCTGACCTGACCTCCCTCCTGGGAGTTAGCACGAGGCCACAGTGTTGTCTCTGGGGCTTCCCCGGGGGAGCTTTGCTCATGGACACGGGGACCAGGCAGCATCTGGGGTCCCCGCTGAACATTTGGTAATGAACATGGCAGTGCTCTTCCCAGCACCCTCCCCGGAGCAGACAGACCAGGAGGCAAAGTCTGGGCATGACAACACTGTGTCCGGACACCAGAGGGGGAGGCGGCTGTCCAGAGAGGCTGCGTCTCCTCCATGGGGAAACAGCCCCGTGCCTGACAACAGCAACACAGCCTCCTGGTGCCGGCCCCACAGCTCAGGTGCTCTCACCACCTGGAGGAGTAGCTGGGATTACAGGAAAGGAAAGAGGAGCCCAGCAGGGGTTAGACAGGGTTAGCGGCTGCTGGGGAGTGAGCTGGCCAGCGGTCTGGGAAGTGTGGCTCGTGCCTCCGACCTTCACCCCGCAGAGGCCCTGAGTCCCTTAGGGATAAAATCTCCACCGATCCTTGTAGGTTTCACAATGTTAAACAAGTGTGCTCTGTGACCTGGTGTCTTCCTCGGGGATTTGTCCAGAAAACAATCAGAAGGTGGGCAAAGATACAGGCCCAAAGGCACCTCGGCTGCTTGTTTCAGCGGCCAAAAAAGCAGACGTGATATAAATGTCCATCGGCAGGTCTGGGTGGAGCAAGTTACGGCACCGGCCCACGTGCCCTTCAATGTAGGCGGGGCTTCTCCAGAGGGAGGAGCACAGAGACACGCCAAGCTGTGCCCGGACCAAATCACAGGTGCACTTGGCCTCACGCCCGCACCCCCGCCTTTTCCTGCGCTGGCCTCCATAGCGGCTGTAGGAACCGCTAGGGAAAGGTCTTGGGGGGACACAACCTGCTTTTACTTTTTTGTAGTTTGTATTTTTTACAAGGGGTATCATTTTTATAATCAGACAATACATGAAGCTACTTTCAGGGTCAACCATCCACACGAACTCTGAGTCTCTGCGTTTGGGGCCGGGCCCTGCCCCCAGGGTCTCTGCAGTGGAAGGACTGGAGCTGTGTTCTGGGTCCCACGGGCTGGAGGCAGCGCTGACTGGGTTGAGCCTGGGGCTTTCTCTGTTGCAAAAGTGCACCCTCCTCAGATGGGGATGGGGAGTGGCCTTCACTAGGGTGGTCCTCCTGGCTGAGCAGGGCCGGCCCAGGGGAGGGCGGGGCCAGCACGTCCCCAGAACAGTGCCTGTCCAGGGGCACAAGGGTTCACTGAAGACTCAGGAGAGGGGTTTAGAGCACAGCCTCCCTCTCCAGGGTCAGGTTCACGGGAGCTGTTGGGGGCTCCTTCCCTCGCAGCAGTGACCACTCCAAGGACCACGGCCTGGACATGAGCGGCAGCGGTGAGCTGGGAGCTGCTGGCCTGGTAGCTATTGTTTCCATGGAGACAGGGTCTCGGCTCAGGTGTCCTGGGGACGGCTGCACCCTGATGTATCTCACACCCCTGCAGGCCCCACGTCAGTGGTTTCTGGGGACAGGGTGCAAGGCTGGCTTTATGGGGGTGCAGCTAGGGCCCAGAGTGGCTGCCCCCAAGGCCCCATACTTGCCCCGAATACTTAGTCATTGTTGAAGGGTGGCCTCGCAGTTTTGTTTTGCACTGGGCCCTGCGTGAGCAGTGGGTACAGAGAGTGAATCCAGAAAAGGCCCCACAGACGTGGGAGACTCCCCAGGGTGGGCAGGGGAAGAAAGTCACCCTCCTGATGGAACAGCAGGTCCTCGCGGGGCAGAAAAACCAGGAGCTGCCCCCGTACAGTGCCTGGTCATCCCTGGGAAGCGCAGGAAGAAGGGGCGTGTGGGTGGGAGTCAGGCTGAGGGCGCAGCCCCTGCCCTGCCCCCACCGGAGGGACCCGGCTTGAGTGTCCAGGGCCTGGTGACCTGGCAGCCCCACAGCCTTGACCGAGCCCCTCCCTCTTCCGGGCTCTGAGAGGAGAGGCCACCCCAGGAGGAGGCCCTGCCGCAGCCTAATAATAACTTCCCGGCTGGTCCAGCGAGCGCCAGCGCAGGCTATTTTTAGAGTCCCCTGGCCCAGCCCCCATGTGACTCAGCCAGGCCAGTGCTGGGATGAGAAAGTCACCCTCTGCGTGGGATGCTCCAGGCGGCCAGTGGGCAGCCCAGGCCCAGGGGGAGGCCAGCAGGACCTCAGGCCTGTGGAACCTGGAACAGCCTCAGCCACCCCGCCCCACCCCCCGCTGGCCTCGGCTCCCTCCTGGCTCCCTGCCGGCTCCTCCCCCAAAGCTAGCTTGGAAAATCTGATGTCAGAATTCCAGCTTCCGCAGGAATGTGGCCCGACCTTCACCTCCCGGAGGAGCCGCCTTGTTGAGGCCTGAGGGGCTGGCTTGGATCTCACCCCTAGGCGTGCCCTGGCACCTGAGAGCCCTCTTTCCAACCAGCTTGGGGCCACCTGCGCCCCCCGCCCCACTGTGGCCCTGGCCAGACTAGTGCCTGCGTCTTGCCCTGCTACTGAGCGCCCCAAGGTGCCACGCGGCAAGTCCCCGGGCTGGTCTCGCCCCAGCAGCCATTTGTCGGGTGCAGCGGTCCGGGGGAACTTGTCTCTGGGACGGTTTCTGGAGCAGGTGACTTGGGTGCCTGTGTACCTGGGAGCCAAGGGGGCGGGTCCCTGCCCCAGCCATGTGTCACTGAATCACATGGGTAGGGAGGCCCCTGATCCTGCCTTTGAGGTGAGGGGAGGGTAGCAGGATCAGGAGAGAGCTGTGTGTGTGTGTGTGTGTGTGTGTGTGCACGCGTTGTGCACTGTGTACTTGCAGATGCATGCTGACGTACATGGTGTGCATGTGTGTACATGCATGTATGAGCACATATTGTGTGGATGTGCACATGTGTGTGCACTGTATCTTATATGCGTATGTTTGCTTGTGCACAGCACACATGTGTGCATTGTGAACATGAACTGTGCATGTATATATACACGTGCGTATGTGGGGTAGCCAGTCCCTTGGGAGCAAACCGTTGCTTCCTCAACGTCTTCTGGTCACAAGGAAGCACTGAGTGATGCGTCTCATGGCCAGGCACCTTCCCACCACAGCCGGAGCCCTGCACAGGCTCTCCAGCCCAGATCCACAATGCCTCCTGTGAGACTGGCAGTCCTCATGCCCCGGGTAGAAAGGGGAAGAGGGAGACCACTTCACAGCCAGGGCCAGCCATAGGGCAGAGGGCAGAGGACAGAGGGCAGAGGGCAGAGGACAGAGGACAGAGGGTGGAAGGCAGAGGGCGGTGGCTCTGCTGGAGCTGGGACACTTGTTTCTGCAGAGGCATGGGCACTGGGGGGCCCCTCCAGAGTCAAGGAGGCTTTGTAGTAGATGGAGAGAGAGCCGACCACCCTGGCTGGAGCTGGGGGTGCAGCAGAGTGAAATGAGACACCCAACACCCCAGTTCTCCCTCACCACTTTCCCAGTGGCTCAAGTGGCTTTGGGCACTGTCCCCTTTGCAAGCAGGAGAACCATGCAGGCAAGAGGTGGCAGCCAGGGTCCCCGGCCTCCCCAGCCTCCCAGCTCTGCCAGAGCTCCCAGGTGCCTTCCAGCTGTGGGACACATTGTCCTGACTGCCCATAGCTCCTGGGTGCCATCCGGCTGTGGAACATATTCCCGTTTATTTCCCAGAACGAGGTCATTCGGGAAGGTGGCCGTTGCTGTGCGAGCCCTGGACTCCCAGCATGGGAGCCGTCCCTGGTTGGTTTTCTCTGCTTCAAGCGTTAGGGTACTTTTATATGTAGACAAGAAAATTGCTTCCTGGGAAGATGGATGATAATAGGAAATTGTACCTTGTAGATCCCACATCTTTTTTTTTTCTTTTTGACTCCTAAGTCTGGCTTTAATGAAACAAAGGAAAATAAAAAGATCTATAAAAAGCGATTCATATTTTCTAGAATGAAAGCATTATGTTGTTTTTCATTAACTTCAAAATCTGTTAGAGAAAGGTTTCTGTTTTAAAGATCAGGCTGGCTGCCCCGGTTGCAGACTTCCTCTTTAAACTGCCCACTGAGGTGCCCCTGGAGACGGGAAAAGCACAAACCCATAACACCTGTGGAGTCCGAGCCCCAGGTCCACCGTGAGACTCTGGCAGGACTTGCAGGCAGCTGCAAGACTGGCGGAATTTGGTGGAAAACATGCTTGGCGGCCCCTCTGCTGTGCCTCCGCCACAGAGGCTGAGGCCAGAAACACAGACGGCCTTGGGCCCACCCCGCTCGTTGCCTCCCATGCAGGAAGCCGAGGCCTGTGTTCATCAGAGCTCCAGTCAGGGCTGCTTTGGGGGCAGCTCTGCCATTTCCCCAGGTGCCTCTTGTGGTTCCACCCCTTCCGAATCCAGGCAGGGATAGTGGCCGGGGACCTCCTCGTGGGGCCACACAGACCCCCTGCCTGAAAGCGTCTCCAGGAGAGGCCTCGGGCCAGGCCAGAGGGAGAGCCTGGGAGCCGTGAACACAGGGCTCTGCGGCGTTTTTGAGTAGGAGCAGACAGAGGGCTTGGAGGACAGAAGAGCTGAGCCAGACATGGATGGGGAGTCCCTGGGAACTGGCTCCCCCAGGGGCTCCATCCAGCCAGGGCTTCCGGAGGGTGCACCAGCCCCAGGTGGGCCCCAGAGGAAGGAAACCCATATACGTGTCCTGTTTTTGTCAAATGCAGAGCTGATCATCTTACACACATGCACCACATACACACACACACAGCACACACACCACACACATACCACACATACACACACCACACATATACCACACATACACCACACACAACCCCACACACCAATACATATGTGCATACACACACCACACACACACATGCACACACACCACACATCCATACAGGACACATTCATACATATACATGCCACAGACACACTCACCACACACCACACACACTCACATACGCACACCACACACATGCACACACAGCACACATCCATACATATACACACCACACACACACCACACACCACGCACATACCATACACAGTCATATACACCACACATGTCACACACACATACTCCTATACATACGTGCACACACCCACCACACATGCACACAACGCACATTCACACAGACCACACACACACCACACATATCACACACATATACCCCTATATATACATGCATACACACCACACACATCATGCCACATGCAAACCACACATATACACACATACATACCACACATACACACATACATACCACACACACACCCATACATACATGCATACACAAACCACACACATAACACACACACACCCCTCATAAGCCCTTCCTGACATCCACACCAGGGAGCTCATATATAGTCCTAGGTAAGAAACTGAAACACCGTCATTCTTCATTCTGATGGAAAAACAGCAATAAATTTTAAAATGCATGGCAAATAGAATCCAGAAAATTAAAGAAAATATAAATAAGCAAAATTATAATTATAACACCCAGGCAATTAAAATATGAAAATCTCAACAAAATAATTTTATAAAAATATAAATTAACAAAATCTCCTCAAGAAGCATGAGAAAAACTAAACAGGCCAATAACAATGGAAGGTGTTTGAAAAATGCTGTCTAGGAATTACCTCTAAATACAGGTTTCATGGATTGACCTTTCATACATTTAAAGAACAAGCAATTCTCAAGCTATGTAAACTTTTCTGATAAGAAACTCCTTTCTAATTCATTTTATGAGGCCAGCATAACCTTGATTGAGACACCAAACTCATTCAAAAGGAAAATTATTGACCACTCAGAAGCAAAAATTATAAATGGAATCCTGGCAAATCAAATCCAAGAAAATAGGAAAAGAATATGATGTCCAAATATGGTTTATCCCAAGAATGCAAAGATAGTTTAATTTCAGGAAATTAATAAGCTCTACAATAGTCAAAGGTGAAAGAAAAAAATCTTATCTCAATGAGTTACAAAGAGGGATTTGAAAAATTCCAAATCTACTCTTAATTTTTTTATTTTTTTTTATGAGACAGAGTCTCACTCTGTCACCAGGCTGGAGTGCAGTGGTGCAATCTTGGCTCACTGCAACCTCTGCCTCCCGGGTTCAAGTGATTCTCCTGCCTCAGCCTCCTGAGTAGCTGGGACTACAGGCATTCGCCACCATGCCCAGCTAATTTTTGTATTTTTAGTAGAGGCAGCGTTTCACCATGTTGCCCAGGATGTTCTCGATCTCTTGACCTCATGATCTGCCTGCCTTGGCCTCCCAAAGTGCTGAGATTACAGGTGTGAGCCACCACGCCCGGCCTATTCTTAATATTCTTAAACAGAATAGAATATGGAGGAAGAAAAAGAGCATTTGCTAGGACAATGGTGACCACAGCAAAAGCTGAACGCCAGGCTGGAGGCAGCCCATTGATATGCAGGTTCACGTGGTGCCAAGTCAGGGAAACCAAGTCACAGTAGCTGGAGCGAGAGAGGGAATTTACCAGAAGGCTGGCTGGGCATCTCACATGTCCAAGAGAAGAGTGAAAGGAGCCATTTGTCTGTGGGAGCCATGAGCTTCCCCCATGGAGTCCTGCTGTTGGTAAGCTCAGCTCCTGGTCTCTGTGTCCCTGAGCTCAGATTCTAGTCTGCCAGCAGGGTCTGAAAGATGGACCAGGGAGCCGAAACGCATATGTGGGAGGCCACCCTTATAGAGGGTGGGGGATGAGAGGAGGGCTTGGGTGGACCTGGGTCATTGGGGATAAGAGGAGGGCTCAGTGGACCTGGGTTGGGAATGACAGGAGGGCTCAGTGGACCTGGGTCATTGGGGATGAGAGGAGGGGTCAGGTGGATCTGGGTTGTTGGGGATGAGAGGAGGGCTCAGGTGGAGCTGGGTCGTTGGGGATGAGAGGAGGGCTCGGGTGGACCTGGGTTGTTGGAAATGAGAGGAGGGCTCAGGTGGAGCTGGGTCGTTGGGGATGAGAGGAGGGCTCGGGTGGACCTGGTCATTGGTGGCACCTACCCAGCTCTGCATCTCTTCCCTCACCTGTCCACCCTAGGAATGGGCAAGTGACCCGGGGTGACAATCAGCACATTGTTTTCCTGGCCACAGGTGGGCAAGAGGTCCCAGGAGACCAGTGAAGCATAATTAGACTTTTTCTGGAAATTCTGGAAAAAATACACACATTATTCCCTTGGATTCATACCCAAGGGGACATACAGTCTAGAGCTATTGCAGCCATCTTGTGACAGAGAGGGGAAGCACATATACACACTTAGAACCTAGGCTGGGATGCTTGATCCAGCCACACCTGAATCTCACAGCTGTGTGTAAATAAGTAAATGCCCTTGAAGCTAATTTGGTTGTTTTTCCTGTCTTTTGTAGGAGTCTAGATGAATATAGGCAGCAGCCAAAGGCCACAGTCACGACAAACCTACACACTCTCACCACTGTCATCTCATATTGTCCTAAAATTTCCAGCCAGTGCAAAAAAACATGAAAAAGAAAAAATACAGCCATTGGAAAAGAGGAAAAGTAATTGTTATTAGCTGATGATGTGAATGTCTTCCTGAAAACCTTAAGAGAACCAACTGGAAAACAACCAGAAATGAGAGCATGGAGTTAGGCAACCGCCGATCTGCTTTCTGTCACTTGGGCGAGTTTTTCCCGTCCTGGGATTTCATATCTCTGGAATCCTGCAGTACGTAGCCCTCTGTCTGGCTTCCTCGCTCCGTGTAATGTTCTTGAGATTCATCCATGCAGCTGTGTATACCTGCAGTGATTGTTTCTCTTGTTGAATTGCTGAGAAGGGTTCCATCGTATGCCTTTTCCAGTTTATTTGTTCATCTGTTGTTAGACATTTGAGTTATTTCCAGCTTGGGACTCTTATGAACAAAACTGCTATAAACATGCATATTCAAGTCTTTGTGGATATGTGCTTTCTTTTGTCCTGGATAAATGTCTCCACGTGGGCTTCCTGGGTCTCACGGTAAGTGTATGTTTCGCTTTCTGTACCGCTTTACATTCTCATCTTCCTCATTCCCCGTTTCCCCGATGACTAAGGACGTCAGCAACTGGTATGGTCTGGATCCTTGTCCTGGCCCAAATCTCATGTTCAGTTGTGATCCCCAGTGTTGGAGGTGGGACCTGGTGGAGGTGACAGGATCGTGGGGGTGGATTTCCCCCTTGGCTACTGTTGTCACAATAGTGAGTTAGTTCTCGTGAGATCTTGTTGTTTAAAAGTGTGTAGCGCCTCCCATCCATCTCTCTTCCTCCTCCTCTGGCCATGTGACGTGCCGGCTCCCCCTTCACCTTCCGCCATGATTGTAAGTTTCCTGGGGCCTCCCCAGAAGCAGAAGCCACTATGCCTTCCCGCACAGACTGCAGAACCGTGAGCCAATTAAACCTCTTTTCTTTATAAATTAGCCAGTCTCAGGTATTTCTTCATAGCAGTGCAAGGATGACAGAATACAGTATCCTTTTGTGTGCTTAGCCATTTGTACATCGTTTCTTATAGTTTGTGTGTTCAACGTTTTGTCCATTTATGAAACTAGTTGATTTGCTTTCTTATTGAGTTGTAAGTGTTTTTTATGTATTGCAGGGAAAGTCCTTTGTCATTTATAGGCATTGCAATTATTTTCTCACAGTCTGTGGCTTGTCTTTTCATCGATTTAATGATGTCTTTGGAAGACAAAAAAATTTAATTTTTATGACATCCAATTTATCAACTTTTTTATAGTAACTGCCTTTTCTGTCCTAAGAAATGTTTGTTAACTCAGAATCACAAAGTTTTCTTCTGTGTTTTAGTCTAGAAGTTTTATAGAATTAGGCTCCACATTTAGGTCCATGATCAGTACTGAGGTCATTTTTAAGGACGTGGTCTGGGTCAGAGCGGCCACTGGGAGGGGCTTGGAGGAGCCGGCAGGGCCCTGTGGGGAGGCCACCCCAGGAGCAGGGTGGCAGCATTCACCCACTTCAGCCCCAACCCTCTGGAGCTTTGCCGCAGAGGGCTCAGGGCCGGCGGCGTCACATCACCCCCGGGCTCAGGGGCTCTTTGCCAGGCCTGGCCTGCCTTGTGCTCAGCCCTCACTCTGGGCATCACAGGGCGGTCCCAGGTCTGCTCTGCGACCGGGTCTGTGCACCTGCAAATAAATGTCCCTCAGAGCCAGGCACGGGACCAGGCCCCAGGCAGCCACACTCAGAAGGGTTTGGATGACGGCCGCTCCCGGCCCTGGCCTGGCTCGAGGGTTTGGGGGCCCCAGGTGGGTGGCAGGAGGATCCTGGTAGCTGCGGAGCTAGGCACAGGCTCCGTGCAGGATGAAGGTGGGGATAACACACAGATCTGGGGAGGGGCCCAGGGCAGGGCTACAGGAGAAAGATGGGCTTGGCAGGAGGCAGGGGGTGGGGTGGGAACCATGACAGGGCCACAGGTTAGGGCTTGCAGAGTCCGGAGACAGGTGTGAGGTCTTCCCCTGAGAGCAGGAGCCGGCTGGGCCCATCCTGGCCTCCCAGGAACTGAGAGTGCATAGGTGGGGCTGTACCCAGGGAGGCAAGGTCCTGTGGCTGTCACAGGTTGTCATTCCCTGGGAAATCCCAACCTCCAGCCCAGATTCAGCTCTGGTGAGGATTTGGAGCAGCAGAAAAATCCTCAATGCCCCACTTCCGAAGGCTGAGGGACCCTTCAGCACTGACCTCAGCTCAGCATGGCTCAGCCCCAAGCTCAGGAGGGCCCTGTGTGGGCGGGCTGACCCTCCCCTGCCCCGCTGGCTTCTTGTTTGATGCTCTCCTTCCAGAGGGTGACAGGGCTTCATTCCTGGATGGAAAAGTGCACGGCACCCCCATCTCTGCCACGACGCCTGGTGATACGGTGACCACCACATCTGAACACAGCGGGCCCCGGCCCACTTGCCGGCCCAGACTTGGTGGGGGCCGCTCCTGGGCCTCTCTCCTTCTCCCCGGCAACACCCAGGCCTCCTTTCTGCACCAAGAAACTGCCCACTTGACCCAGCCCCTGGGCACTGGCACCAGCAGCTCCCTCTGTCTTTGGCCCTTTTCCCTGGATCACACGCAGCTGGCGTCTTGCCCCTCAGTGCCCCCTTGGGAAAGAATTTGCAGGTCAATCCAGTGAGACTCCCATCACATCCCCTGTTTTGTTGCTATCAAAACATCTGCACTTGGTGGATGATCCTGTTTGTATGTTTGCTCACCCACGTACCTTCGATCCTTCCCACTAGAATGTAGGTTCCCAAGAGCAGGGACCCCACGCCCAAGAGTGGCCTTTTCACAGCGGGAGCTGCATGCTTGCTTGCTTGCTGGGTGTGTGAGGACCAGAACGGTCCCCTCCTGCACTCTGCACACCTCAGGTTGGCTGCCCTTTAAGGGTGAGGCAGGTCAGGCTCTGGGACTTCTGGGGGGCTCCAGGAGGGAGAAGAGCTCGATGTGGTGGGGGCTGTTGGCTGAATCCCTGGTTGATCTGGAGGGTGTGGAGCCTGTGGGGCAAGGCGCACCTGCTCAGCAGCCCTGGAGTCAGCTGTGCTCTCCGACCTCAGGAGCCTCCTTCCCCGGGCCCAGCTTTATTCCGGGTGGCACTCAGGGTGGCACTGCTGTTTCCCTGCAGGACCTCACCAGCTGACGTGGCCGGCCCTGGACTTGCCATGGAGAAGGCAGAGCCTGCCTCCCAGTGGGTCCCTGTGAGGAACAGCAGTACCGGCTTGTCGTCTTTCTGGGAAATGCATTTCGCCTCCTCTAGGAACCTCCCGGATGACCCAGAGTGTTCTCCACCCACTTTTCCTGCCCTGTGCGGTCACCTCATTTCTACAGGCTTGGGGAAACAAATGCAAAGTGCTTTCCAGAACGTTTTTGTCTTACACATGACACTTCTATGGAAAAAATGACTTTTTTTCCATTGTTCCTTCCAGAACCTGAGCACATCCCTCTGCTGGGAGGACGCTGTCTGTCCAAATGTCACTGTCCCCCATTTAGGAGCAGCAGCAGGGCCTTGCTTCATGTTCATATGGGTGTTGATTGGGATATGATGGATTCTTCTGTGTACTTTGGAGGATTTTCTCCTTAGTTTGAATAGTAAACTGTAAACTCAGACTCAGGACCTGGCTGGTGGAGAGCTGGGTCCCTGGTTGGGGCTGACCACAGAGGCCCAGGGTCTGTCTCTCCTTGGAAAATGCCCAGGCTGGGCAGGCAAGGAGCTGGGCTGACCTCTGCCAGTGACAATTCCTGGCAGGTACACCTGGCTGGTCCCCAGTGCCCTGGGCCAGTAACCCTGCAGCAGAGAATCTAACGCTAGCCAGGCCTGAGCCGTGGGTCATCTGTGAAGTGGCCTGCCCACTGTCATAAGAGGTGCACCCGTCTGCCTGAAGCCAGGCTCAGCTAGCCGACTGGTGAGCTGCCTCCTGCTTCAGAGCTCAGGCCCCGGAGTTCTGCTGTGGCCGCAGGCATGCACCCTCGTATTGGCCTGCACAGCAGGCCTTGGGCTGCTCCATGCATCACATGTGCTCCAAAGGATCGTGGATGCCTGAGTTCCACCCTGGAGGGACCGGGCATGGCCTGGACATCAGGACGTTCACATCTCCTCAAGGATTCGTCCTCCGTGACCCTGCTGTGGCTCCAGACGGTTTACAAAGGGCACTCACCTGTGCCTGCTCATTGACACTTCACTGTGTTCCCATTCGATAAGGAAACCACGGCTCCAAAGACCAGCTGAAGTCACGGGTGGTAAGAGGCCAAGCTGAGGCCCCTTGCCCCATCCCTGGCTCCAGGCAGCCTTTGCCCCCACCTCTCCCTCACCGTGGCCTCCAGGGTCTCCCAAAGCTTCCTTCCCTCCTTCAAATCTCAGTTTGGTCCGTGGTGAGTCAGGTGTGCTGAGTGGACTAAAGTTCATAGCTCCAGCCAGGTACAGCCCGGGCAGCACCAGCACCTTCAGTTTCAAGGGGTCCTGGGAAGGCTGGCTTGGGAAGAGTTCCGAGCCTGAAGGGTACAGGTGGGTCAGCAGGTGGGAGGAGCTGCCATCATCCATGATGTGTGGACCATGAGTTTCTTCTGAGAGTGAACATTTCCCCAGGCAGGTGTTTTGGGGGAAGGGAATGTGCCCTGCAGGCAGGTGTGGCCCTGGGTAGCTGCATGGTCGGGTGCATGTGGCCCCAGGCAGATGCATGGTGGGTGGTGTGGCCCCAGGCAGGTTCATGGTGGGGGAGATGTGCATGGTGGTGGGGTATGACCCCAGGCAGGTGCATGACCAGGTGGTGTGACTAGAAGGCTTCCTCCATCCTTGCTGGACGGGGGGTCCCACACTGCCTGGGCCCTCTCTTTGGGTCACAGGCTTGCTGCCCCTTTTGTTGCCATTTCTGGGCCTGTGTTAGCCAAGGTGACCTTCAGCAGCCACCATCATGCACAGAGAAGGACCTCTGCGCCTCTCAGAGTCCCTGGCCTGACAAGAAGAAACTGAAGCCAAAGGCAGCCCAAACCTCGGGGCACCATGGGCCCCTTGGCGGCCGCGGCTCATTAAATGCCCTCTTTCTAAGGGTTTCCTCAGAGCCTTCATTCCCTGCTCAGCATTCCAATGGCCTCCTCCGGGATGCCTTTTAATATCCCTGCCAAATTGAAATGTGAGCCACCTAATTACAACCAGAACATCCTGCCCTTGGACGCGCTCACTTGATCCATGGAGGGACTGTTCCCTCTGTTGTTCACGTCCTGACTGGACTTGGAGATGAGAGACTTGAAACCTGCATCTGTGTCTGGTCAGGAAGGACCAGCAGCTCTAGTGACCACAGAGAGCAGAGCCCAAAGCACTGACTCAAGCCCCTGCCAGGTGCAGAGCCTGGAGGTCCCAGAGTGACCACTCCTATCACTGGAGCCAATCCCAGAGTGACCGTCCCTATCACTGGAGCCGATCCCAGAGTGACCGTCCCTATCACTGGCGCCGATCCCAGAGTGACCGTCCCTATCACTGGAGCCGATCCCAGAGTGACCGTCCCTATCACTGGCGCCGATCCCAGAGTGACCGTCCCTATCACTGGCGCCGATCCCAGAGTGACCGTCCCTATCACTGGCGCCGATCCCAGAGTGACCGTCCCTATCACTGGCGCCGATCCCAGAGTGACCGTCCCTATCACTGGCGCCGATCCCAGAGTGACCGTCCCTATCACTGGCGCCGATCCCAGAGTGACCGTCCCTATCACTGGCGCCGATCCCAGAGTGACCGTCCCTATCACTGGCGCCGATCCCAGAGTGACCGTCCCTATCACTGGCGCCGATCCCAGAGTGACCGTCCCTATCACTGGCGCCGATCCCAGAGTGACCGTCCCTATCACTGGAGCCGATCCCAGAGTGACCGTCCCTATCACTGGAGCCGATCCCAGAGTGACCGTCCCTATCACTGGCGCCGATCCCAGAGTGACCGTCCCTATCACTGGAGCCGATCCCAGAGTGACCGTCCCTATCACTGGAGCCGATCCCAGAGTGACCGTCCCTATCACTGGCGCCGATCCCAGAGTGACCGTCCCTATCACTGGAGCCGATCCCAGAGTGACCGTCCCTATCACTGGAGCCGATCCCAGAGTGACCGTCCCTATCACTGGAGCCGATCCCAGAGTGACCGTCCCTATCACTGGCGCCGATCCCAGAGTGACCGTCCCTATCACTGGAGCCGATCCCAGAGTGACCGTCCCTATCACTGGAGCCGATCCCAGAGTGACCGTCCCTATCACTGGCGCCGATCCCAGAGTGACCGTCCCTATCACTGGAGCTGATCCCAGAGTGACCGTCCCTATCACTGGCGCTGATCCCAGAGTGACCACTCCTATCACTGGCGCTGATCCCAGAGTGACCGTCCCTATCACTGGCGCTGATCCCAGAGTGACCGTCCCTATCACTGGCGCTGATCCCAGAGTGACCGTCCCTATCACTGGCGCTGATCCCAGAGTGACCGTCCCTATCACTGGAGCTGATCCCAGAGTGACCGTCCCTATCACTGGCGCTGATCCCAGAGTGACCGTCCCTATCACTGGCGCTGATCCCAGAGTGACCACTCCTATCACTGGAGCCGATCCCAGAGTGACCGTCCCTATCACTGGAGCCGATCCCAGAGTGACCGTCCCTATCACTGGAGCCGATCCCAGAGTGACCGTCCCTATCACTGGCGCTGATCCCAGAGTGACCGTCCCTATCACTGGCGCTGATCCCAGAGTGACCGTCCCTATCACTGGCGCTGATCCCAGAGTGACCGTCCCTATCACTGGAGCTGATCCCAGAGTGACCGTCCCTATCACTGGAGCTGAGCTCTGTACAGGAATGGAGGAAACAAAGGCGCCCGCTGCCTTGGAGGCCCAGCACCTTCGCACCTTCTTCAGGACTTGCTGTTTTCCAGGGCTGTGGTCGGCACTGGGGACCTCTGAATGCAGCCCCTCCCTGCACCAGCAGCCTGGGCCTTCCGCCCTTCTTGGGACATTGGGGTGATCAGAAAACCACAGGCCAGGCCTCCTTCAGATAGTGCTTGAAAAGATCCCAGAATTCAGCCCTAGGAGGGGCTCCTTCTCCCACTGCACCCCTGTCCCAGACAGCCCTCCTTGGTCTGTGGGGGCACCAGGCCTTGGGTCTTCCAAGGGGCCCAGCTCCCCAGGTGTGAGCTCACAGCTGAGAATTGCCCTCCACCTGGCCCGGGGTCTGGCCATTCCAGCGGCTGTGCACATCTGGGGCTCCTGTTCACTGCAGCCCCTCCTCTGTCCTGTCCTCGGTTCTCCCTCCCAGCCTAGAATCCCTACCCCAAAGCATACACTTCCCAGGGAGCTGAAAGGACCTCAGGGTGGGGCCCACCCTGCTGGGTAGAAGGAAACAGCAGGGTGTGTAGGGCAGGAACGTCCCTGGAGGGCTCTCGGGGTGCGCCTGCCATCCCTCTACACCCCTCTGTTCCACCCCCACGCCCGTCAGCCTGAGTGCAGTGGTTAACCGTGGCATTTGGGAGGCCAAGTCTTGGAAAAATCAGGCCATTTTTTGGTCTGTTTGTTTGATATTCTGAGAATTTCTATGAAGCATGAGTTCCTGCAGTCCGAAGGCTGAGAGGTTCTGCAGAAGGGCACAGACCCTGCGCTCCCTCTGCCATCATCAGCAGGAGTGGGATGACCCTGTCTGGGAGGCCGTGGGAGGCAGGACTCGGTCTGGTGCCTGACATCTGGTGCCAGCAGGACTATTCCTGGGGAGGCCTCAGCATGCCACCCTGAGAGAAGGGAGGGTCTAGGCAGGGGGCTGTGTGGGTCCAGAGACCTCAGCTGACCCCAGAAGGAGCTGGCTGCTTTGGCAATCAGGGTAGCCTAAGTCTCGGCCAGACTCAAGCCTCTGTGTCCTGCACTGACTGGACACGGGATACAGGCCAGCCCCAGGGTCCTGGGCAGCACGTCTCCCCAGATATGTCCATTGGTGGGAGCAGCTGTCCTCCAGGCCTTGTGCCGCTCTTACTGAATGGGGCCAACAGTCAGGGCCGCCACCTGAGACCCACACGTTTCCTGCTGGCACCTGGGCGGTGGTGCCCTTTGGCCTAAGCAGCTCCCTGTGCTTGGCTCAGCCTGGCCTGGGGGTGTGGTGGACAGGTGGTGCATTCTGCTCCTGATACCCCTGCCTGGGCAGAGCCCTTCCAAGTGGTGGTCTGGGCTCGTCATGGAGGCTGAGGGCTGGCAGGGCTGGTTCCCTCAGCCATAGAAAGGATCCTCTTGGGGGTTGGCGGGGAATTCTGCAGGAGCCTTTGAGACAGGAGTCCCAGGCCTTGGTACCCTGGCAGGGGAGGCTCTCTGTGCCCACCCCTTCCTCCACCTGGGAGTCCTGCCAGGGGGCCTGCGGACAAGCAGCCCTGGGTATCCCATGCGCTGCTGCTGGAGAGGCCGCCCTTGGAAGCTGCTCCCGAGATGGAGGAGAATGGGGCAAGCAACCTTGCAGGCAAAGAAACTGGAAGCCTCAGGATCCTTATGGATGCTGCTACTTTCTCTTTAACAATTGAGGATTAACTCGCCGATTCCAGGCTCATTTGAGGTGACCCCGAACGATAAGCTCGCTCCGATTGAGAGACTCAGAAAAACAGTCTCTGAGCAGGTCCTTAATAATCGACCTGCCCGAGGCATCATTACAATAGATAAATCTAAATAAAGATTTCCTTTGCCATTGACTTGTCTTGGCCTAAATATCGTGGAAAATTTCCAAGACTGCTTATGCCCGACACACGACGTGCAGCCCAACTGCACGTCGAAATGAAAACTGGGGTGTGGCGAGCCTGGCGGGGCACGCAGAGGAGATCAGGGTACATGAGAGCGCTCCTAAGGGTGCGGCGCAGTGGAGCCAGGAAGGCTGGCGAGGACCCTGCAGGTCAGCGGCTCCCCGGACGCCCTCGTGCACAGTGACCCTTTGGGGTGGAATCCAGTTCCTGGCCTGGGTTGGCCTAGAAACATCCTCTGAGGAAACTCTCGTTGAGTTGTTACCTTTTCTCTTGACACAGCTTTACTGAGGTAGAGTTCACACGCCAGCCCCACATCCCTCTGAAGTGTGCAGTTCAGCGGTCGTTGGTGCATTCACGGAATCCCTCTGAGGTGGGCAGTTCAGTGGTTGTTGGTGCATTCACGGACACGCTCAGTTCAGTGGTCGGTGCATTCACGGACACGCTCAGTTCAGCGGTCGTTTGTGCATTCACGGACATGCTCAGTTCAGCTGTCGTTGGTGCATTCACGGACATGCTCAATTCAGCGGTCATTGGTGCATTCACGGAATCCCTCTGAGGTGGGCAGTTCAGCCGTTGTTGGTGCATGCATGGACATGCTCAATTCCGGACATTTTCATCTTCCTCCAAAGAAACCCCGGGGCTGGGCAGAGCAGCTCGTGTCTGTAATCTCAGAGGAGGGAGAGCAAGGCTGGAGGATCCCTTGAGCACAGGAGTTAGACCAGCCTGGACAACATAATGAGACCCCACCTCTATAAAAAATATAAATATCAGCTGGTGGTGATATGTGCCTGTGGAGGCTAAGGTGGGAGGATCATGTGAGCCCAGGAGGTCAAAACTGGAGTGAGCTGTGATGGTGCCACTGCCCTCCAGCCTAGGTAACAGAGCAAGACTCCATCTCAAAGAAAAAGACAACTCTGTGCCCTTTGGCTCTCGTGCTTGCCCCCAACCTCCCAGATGGGAACCTCAGCGTCCCAGCAGCGTCCGGGAAGCTTTGGGAAGCCCACTGCCTTCCCAGTGGGCAGGGTCAATACACTCACCTTGAGAAGATGTGTTACTAAGTATGAAAATGTGTGCAGAGAACCAAACCCAAAGTATGAATATTTTGTGACAGATTTATGCATGTTTGGTATTTTAACACTATGCAATGCTTCTGAGATTTTTGCTAAAAAACAGGTCACCTGGTGGGAGGCCGAGGCCAGCAGATCACGAGGTCAGGAGATCGAGACCATCCTGGCTAACACGGTGAAACCCTGTCTCCACTAAATATAAAAAAAAATAGCCGGGAGTGATGGCAGGTGCCTGTAGTCCCAGCAACTCGGGAGGCTGAGGCAGGAGAATGGCGTGAACCCGGGAGGCGGAGCTTGCAGTGAGCCGAGATCACGCCACTGCACTCCAGCCTGGGCGGCAGAGCGAGACTCCATCTCAAAAAACAAACAAACAATAAAACAAAACAAAAAAGAAACAAGTCACCTGGGATTCCAACTTAAACAGGGTAATTGGGTAATTGATTTTGACTTTATCAGTAGATACCTTTCCAAATTGATATATAGCTTTGGACACTTACACTTTGAACATGTAAAGATCAGCACATGTGTAAGGTTAACTAGCATTGCAAGTATTTGGGAAAGTCTGTTTTTAGGCAAATAGAGTCCTTTAAAAAGAAGTGAAGTTTTACAGTTTCACAATTTCAGCTTAAAAGGTTTAAAGAAGCTTAGATAAGTTTACAAATGGGACCAAATACTAATCAAAAGTGTTGAAATTAGTTAGGTTTAAAAATAGAATATCATGAAAAAAGATAGAATATGTGGTGTATAAGCTAAGATTAACCCTTAAGAAAGAAATGGTTTGCAGTCAAATGCTCTATCCCTGAACTATATCCCCAAGAAACAGGATTTGCAGTTCTTGTTTTGATAAACTGTACTTTTGTGGGTTTTTTTCAAAGCTTTTATTGTGGTAAGACACATACAGCAAGCAATTCAGCATCTTACCCATGTTCGCATGTACAGTTCCATGGTGTTAGCGTGTTCAGGATGTTGTGACGCCGTCATCACCACCCGTCTCCAGATCCGTTTTCATTGTGGGAAACGGAAACTCGGTCCCCATGAAACACCCACTCCCCATTCCCATCTCCCCAGCCTCAGGGAGCCTCCGTTCTGCTTTCTGTCTCAGTGAGTTTGGCTCCTCTGGGAGCCTCAGGTACACAGAGTCAGGCAGTACTTGCCCTTCTGTATCTGGCTTCTCTCCTTTCCCACAGTGTCTTAAAGACCCATCCGTGTTGTAGCACATGCCAGGTTTTCCTTCCTTTTTAAGACTGAGTTAAAATCCATTCTGTGGGTATTCCACATTCTGTTTTCCATTCATCTGTGACAGACGCCCGTGTTGCTGCTGCCCCTTGGCCATCGTGACTAATACTGCTGTGAACATAGTGAGCAAATATTGCTTGAGACCCTGCTTCTGATTCTTCTGTGCATATACCCAGACGCAGACTTGCTGGGTCCTAGGGTGATTCTATTTCTAATTTTTTGAGGAATCATCATACTGTTTTCCACAGTGGCTGCCCCATTTCACATTCTTACCAATAGTGCATGAGGGATCCAATGTAACCATAACCTCACCAACAATTGTTATTTTCTGTTTTTTAAAAATAGTAACCATCCTCATGGTTGTAACGTGGTATCTCCTTGGAGTTTTGATTCACATTTTTCTACAGATTTGTTATTGTGTTAGCCCGTTCTCACACTGTTAGTAAAGACATATGCAAGACTGGGTAATTTATAAAGGAAAGAGGTTTAATTGGCTGGGGAGGCCTCAGGAAACTTACAATCATGGCGGAAGGGGAAGCAAACACCTCCTTCTCACGGCAGCAGCAAGGAGAAGTGCCAAGCAGAAGGGGGAAAAGCCCCTTATAAAACCATCAGATCTTGTGAGATCTCACTCACTATCATGAGAACAGCAGCATGAGGGTAACCACACCCATGATTCTATTACCTCCCACTGGGTCCTTCCCATGACATGTGGGGATTATGGAAACTCCAATTCAAGATGAGATTTGAGTGGGGATGCAGCCGAACCATATAAGTAATCCAGGAGGATCCAGGCCCAAATTACAATGGACACAGGACCAACCCATGATGGAACCAGGTTCAGCCCATGATAAACCCAAGCTCAGCTCAGGTAGGATCCAGGCTCAGCTAAGGTTGGAACCAGGCTCAGCCCATGATGGATCCAGGGCCAGCTTAGGTTGGATCCAGGCTCAGCCCATGATAGACCCAATCACAGGCCACAGTAAACCCAAGATCAGCCCTCAATGGACCCAGGCTCAGGCCACAGTGGACCTAGTATCAATCCAGGAGGGACCTAGGATCAGCCCAGGATGGATCCAGGATCAACCCTGGCAGCTTTGAAGGAGGAAACTGGGTCACAGTAGATGCATCTCATTCTGGACTCCTGGCGTCTGGGAGCTGTTTGATGATAGAATGATAGGCTTTAACACTGAATAGAATTACATCCTGCCTGTCTTCAAGTTGCTTAAAAGAAGCATTCTCTCACCTTTCCTGAGATCAGTGGGAACGTCCCCAGGAGTCAGTAGGTCTGTGTTGGAGATCAATGCGCTGGAAGCTGAATGAACTCTGCCATGCCAGAAGCCCCAAGCACACAGCAAAGCTACCCGGAGGGAGCGTAAACACACAGGATGAAGCTGGGCTAACGTCCCTCAGCCCAGCACCTTCCACTGTGCCACCCACAAGGAAGGTGCTGTGAGGGACACGGCCTCTGCCCTCAAGAGGCTATCGCCTCCTGTGGTCCCGCGGAGCCCCACCCTCGCCTGCTCACACCACCTGCTGAGGGTGGGCCACCTGCTTCCTGCCAGGACAGTGACCCCCTCTAGACTTGGATTAGACCATCTGAGCAATTGCAGAGAATTCGGGGGCAAGTAAGGCCTCTGAGGGAGCGGACATCCCACCTGGGCCCCTGTGTCCAGGTGGAAGATGCTGGTCTTGTCCCACCACACTGAGAGCTCTACCCCCGCCAGCCTCCTGTCGCTCAGGCAGAGATGCCAAGGAAATGTCCTGGAACGCAGCTGTCAGTGCCTGGCACTTTCCAAGCTAAAGCTACATTGCCAAGGGACTGAAGACACCATACAGTTTGCAGGCCTTTTTTTAAGAAGACATTGGGGCTGGGTGCAGAGGCTTACACCTGGAATTTCAGCACTTTGGCAGGCTGAGATGGGAGGATCGCTTGAGCAGGAGAGTTGGAGGCTGCAGTGAGCGGTGATTGCACCATTGCACTCCAGCCTGGGAGACAGAGCAAGGCAGTGTCTCTTAAAAAAACAAATAAAACTTTGGGGAACACTGCGATGGAGCAAGACCATGAGGAGCACAGGAGAAGACGCTCAGCCCGACGCAGCCGTCCGTGTGGCAGGAAGAATGCTGTACATCACAGCTGGCATGGCCGCCCGTACCCTCTTCTTCACGCTCTCATGCCTCCTAGAGCTTAGGCTCCAGGACCTCTGTCCTGACCTGGCCCTGGTGTGTGTGTGCATGTGCACATGTGTGTGCATGTATACATGTGTTTGTGTGTGTGCATGTGTGTTTGTGTGTGTGCATGTGTGTTTGTGTGTGTGCATGTGTGTGCATGTATACAAGTGTTTGTGTGTGTGCATGTGTGTTTGTGTGTGTGTGTGCATGTGTGTGGTGTATGTGTGGTGTGAGTAGAGGGGCTGGTCGGTTGGGTCAGGGGAGGAGTTTATGTTCCCATTGAGGCATAAGGGGGGGTCTTCTGGGGACTTCAGGGAAGGTTTTTTCTGCTCTGGCAGAGGGGCAAGCTAGAGGTTTCTCTCTTGCATGAACCACACTGTCTGGCTGTTCCAGCTGTCTGGTGACCAGGGTGGCCTGCCCGGGGCACTGAGGATGATCGTGTGGAAAACGGCACTAACTCAGGTCCTGGACCTGCTCCACCGCTCAGAAACCACTGCCAGGGCTGCCCCACTCTCACACTGGATGGGGGAGGCAATGCAGTGTCCTTACCTCTGCCTGCAGGTCCTCTGACCCACAGATGGTCACAGATGGTATATGGCCTCTGGCTAGGACTGCATGACCTATAGGCCACATCTGGGGGCTC
This sequence comes from Homo sapiens, assembly GCF_000001405.40. Lineage (NCBI taxonomy): Eukaryota > Metazoa > Chordata > Mammalia > Primates > Hominidae > Homo > Homo sapiens. The sequence goes on along the minus strand of NC_000010.11, from coordinate 132,498,213 downwards.
TGTCGTGGACACACCCAGCGTCCCAGGGCTGTGGTTTTTAAATCCCTCCTAGGGCCCTTGGGAACCAAACCAGCCTGACGGACCTCTGCTGCAGGGTGTGTCCCCCAAGACAGGGCGTGCTGTGGGTGCCCGCCTACAGAGCCTCTCCAGAGGACAAGGGTTTGGGCCACAGTGGCCCTGCCAGCCTGCACCATCTGGTCCCCATCACCGCCTGGCTGATGGCCTTAAGCTCACCCCACACGTGGGTCCTGCTAGGGCCCTGCAGCGTCTCATGCTTGGGGCTTCGGCACGGCTTCTCCTGGGAGCGTGTGGTGCTCTCGGGAGGCTGTGGCTGAATTTAGGCTTAGCCGCATCCCCCGCCATTATTTGGTTGAAAGTAGGAAAGGTCATTTGGATGATACATAGCCTTGGGCTCCAGCTGGAGGTGTTCATTTCATGTCTAAAACTCCTCTCAATGCCCTGGTTCTTTTCTGTGAAATATTTTTCAAAATTTCTATAGAGAAGGGTTTAAAATAGGCTGCCCAAGAGCCACAGGGAGCAATGACCCAATTGTTGGTCACAAGAGGGAAGCGGGGGCCCATTTGGCCGTACCCGCCCCTGTCCGGGCCTCCCCGTCGCAATGTCGAGGAGTCTGTGCCACCCCTGGGGCCCCTTGGGGCTGGTGTTGGCTTCTTGGCAAGTTTCAACAGAAACGTGCTTCTGACTTCCCCAATCGTGTCTGCACCTCGTTCAGGGAGCTTCTCCCTGTGGGTCTGCCACTTGGCCCTCGGGGGCTTAGAACGCCGCTGGTCCTGAGATAGTGCCTTGTGCCCGCCGGCACCCTTGCTGCTCTCACTTGGGGGCTTAGAACGCCGCTGGTCCTGCGACAGTGCCTTGTGCCCGCCGGCACCCTTGCTGCTCTCACTTGGGGGCTTAGAACGCCGCTGGTCCTGCGACAGTGCCTTGTGCTGCCAGCACCCTTGCTGCTCTCACTCGGGGGATTAGAACGCCGCTGGTCCTGTGACAGTGCCTTGTGCCTGCCAGCACCCTTGCTGCACAACCATCCCCAGTGTCTTGGCATTTGCAAGCTTGGCTCCAGGACAATTTCTGGGGGTTTCCTCGCTATCCCTGCTCCTGAACAGCCGCTCGGCAACAATGCAGACTCCGGGGTTTCCAGGAGTGGTCCCGTTGGAGACAATGATGACAGTGGGCCTCCTTCCCTCCCTAAGCCGCCAGCACAGGCATTGCTCAGCAATGAGGGGGCTGCCTGGAGTGGGGAGCAGGCCATGAGCCCTTCAGACAGGTCCCAGACCTCGTGTCTGGCTCAGAGGCCAGAGGGGCATATATGTCAGCAAGATATGGAATTACAGAAGTGACAGGTGTCCAGACAGAGGAAGGACAGTGCCACGAGAGGACGCGATGGGAGGACACGACCTGGTTTAGAGATCAGGGTGGACTTTCTGGAGAAGCAACGTCTGAGGGGTGACCTGGAAGGTGATGAGCCCACCCTGGTGTCTCACTCTCCCCCTCCAGCCCAGCCTCTGACAGACAAGGCCAGTTTCCTGGCCCACAAATCCCCAGGAGTGAATTGACTTAGCGCCTCCCTTTGAGGTCACACTGCCATCTTCGTCAAGTTGCCTTGTAAATCCTACAAGCCTGCCACAGTTACTGACTCAATGTCTGCTACGTGCCAGCCAAGGGGAAGGGTGGGGAGGCATATAGGCAGTAATGCCTGTTGTTCAGCTTGGCTCAGAGTGTGTGTGTGTTTGTGTGTGTGTGTACATGCACACGTGTGTCATGTAACTGTTGTGTGAAGACGAAACTACACAGAACATAAGAGTGAATTAATGCACAGAAAACATCTTTAGAAAAATACAACAGGAAAAGGAGGGAAAAGTAAATTGAAAAGAAATTAAGGAAGGGGTTAAAGTATTAGGGAGAAACTGAAAATACTGAAGATCTGATATGTGGATAATAGGAGTCCCCGAAGTGGGAAATCAAAACAAAGCAGAATAAATATTTACATTCAAAGAATTTTTAGCTGAAATAAAAAAAATTGAATTACAATATTGCAAAAGCACACTGTGTACCTGAGAATACTGCCCAGAATGGCCAAAACCAAGACATGGTCTAGTAAAGTCATTGGACTTTAAATAAAAAGAAAAGTGCCTTTGGGCTCTAGTAAAAACAGTGGGGGACTTATAAAGAAAAAAAAAGATTTATCATCAGACTTTTGTCATTGACATTTCTTGCCAGAAGATAGTGAAGATTACAAAAAAAATTAGCCAGGCATGGTGGCAGGTGCCTGTAGTCCCAGCTACTCAGGAGGCTGAGGCAGGAGAATGGCGTGAACCCAGGAGGCGGAGCTTACAGTGAGCCGAGATTGCGCCACTGCACTCCAGCCTGGGCGACAGAGCGAGACTCTGTCTCAAAAAAAAAAAAAATCGTCTTGCTGAGAAAGCTTTTTGTCTAAATGCTATTTTTCCTTGCAGTACCAAGGAAGAAGCATTCTGTTTCTAAATAAACATTTTACTTATAACAGTCCTCTCAAATTCTGCCATTGCTTTGTCAGCTAAGTTTGTGGAATATTTTAAATCCTTTATGTCATTTCAACAATGTTCACGGCATCTTCACCAGGAATAGTTTCCATCTCAGGAAACCATTTTACTTGTTCATCCATCAGAAAGAACTCCTCATCCATTAAAGTTTGATCCTGAGATTGCAGCAATTTAGTCCCACCTTCAGGCTCTACTTCTAATTCTAGTTCTCTTGCTGCTTCCCCCACATCTGCAGTTACCTCCTCTGCTGAAGGCTTGAACCCTTCAAAGTCATCCGTGAGGGCTGGAATCAACTTCTTCCAAACTCCCGTTAATGTGATATTTTGACTTCTTCTCGTGAATCATTATTGTTCTTAATGGGATCTAGAAAGGTGAAACCTTTCCAGAGGACTGTTAATTTACTTTGCCCAGATCCATCAGAGGAATCACTATCTATAGCAGCTATAGCCTCATAAAATATTTTTCTTTTTTTTTTGTCTCTGTGCCAGGGCCTTGCTCTGGATGGGGGTTGGGCTTAAGGGATTGTTGTGACTGATTGACCTTCTATGCAAGCCGCTGAGACTTTCCACATATCACCAAGAAGACGGTTTCTCTTTTTATCATTCGTGGGGTCACTGGAGTCGCACTTTTAATTTCCTTCAAGAACTTTTCCTTGGCATTCACAACTTGGCCAACTGTTTGGTGCAGGAGGCCAAGCTCTCGGCCTCTCTGAGCTTTCTCCATGCCTTCCTCCCTCAGCTTAATAATTTCTAGCTTTTGATTTAAAGCGAGAGACCTGCAACTGTTCCTTTCACTTGAACGTTAGAGGCCATTATAGGGTTATCAACTGGCCTAATTTCAATACTGCTGTGTCTCGGGGAAGAGGGAGGCCTGAGGAAAGGAAGGGAGAAATGAACAGCAGTGGTGGATTGGTGAGAACGCATATTTATGCGCTAAGTCCGCCTGCATATATGGCCGTGGTTCGTGGTTCTGTGAAACAATGACTGTAGTAACTACAAAGGTCGCTGAGCGCAGGTCACCGTAACAGACACAATCATCATGAAAAGGTGACATGGAGACAGGAAGTGGACACCTGCTCTTGGAAAAATGGCACTGATGAACTTGTTGGACTTAGCATGGCTACCAACCTTCAGTTTGCAAACAATGTTATTTCTGCAAAAAATGCAGCCCAGCAAAAGTCAAGTGCATAGAAATAAACCTAGTGAGGCATGACCTGACTGGCCATCCTGGGAGGAGGACAGGAGCCAACTCATCGTCCTGAAAGATGATAAATGAAGGGAGAGAATCCTGCATTCATCCTGCCTTTGCTCCATGACCTGCACCCCCAGGCAACCCGGTGGTAGTGAGGGGAAGCGACATTTTATAAAAGCCAATGAACAACTAAAGGGGCATGATGGAATCCGTATGCCACCATCTTGCAGCCCCTGGGGATGCGAGGACCAGGCGCTGGACCTTCTGGGTGCTCATGTCAGAGCTGGGGCAACGGCCAGGCAGGAGGTGCCTCCTGGGGACGGTCACCACTGCTTTGAGTCTTGCTAACGGGACTGGATCCAGCTGTCATTTGCCTGGAAATGCAAAGGAGCTGGTGCACGGCCCCGTGGGGTGGTGGGCAGCCCGTGCTGGCTGGTCCCAGGCATTGCAGAGAAGCCACGAGGAAGCAGAGTGGGGAGGGGGTCTGTGAGTGAGAGGAGACCTGGAAGACTCATCAGATCTGAACACGGGGCAAGACGGCTCTGGTGTCTGGGAACATGGGCTTGGGTGACACACAGCACGGAAGTTTGGGGGAGTGGGGACAGTCATTGGCAGGATAGCCAGGCGCCAGGTGCTGTGCTGGGCGGGGCACATGGAGGGCTCTTGGGATAACTGGCCAGGTTCTATCCAGGCCTGGGAGATCGTGATAATGGTGTTTGCCTTATACTAACTCATTAAACTACACATTGTTGGTGTGCTTTTATCCCTCTGAGCTTTATTTGGCAATAACTGGGCCTAAGGAATAGATACCACATCTTGCTGGTATGCAGTGCAAGGTGACCTCCCATCAAGTAGGCAGGGGCGTGGCTCCTCTGTGCCTGGCTGTCTCCTCAGGGCAGGGCTGGGCATAGGGCTGGAGGGTAAGCACCCTGGAGCCCCGGAACCTCAGGTCTCCATGGCAATGCTGCGCCCACTTGCACAGTGCCTGACAGCTCTTGCGGAGGCCCTTGCAGGGATCAATCACTGTCAGGAACATCAGGAACCTGCAGAAAAGGAGCACCCAGCCTTCCCGAAACCAGCCCACGCCCAGAGTGGGTTTGCAACAACCCTACCAGCACTCAGCTGATGGGCAGGGACGGGATCTCTGAATCTGTCCAGACTCAGCAGGCCCTGGGGGCCCATGGGGGTCAGAGAAGGTTGATTTTCACACCCCCGCACAAAGAGCTCACAGAGCAGCTGTGTGAGATGGAGACTGAGGGGAATTGAGCCATACCAAGGAGGCAGCTCTACTGGCCTCATGAGGGGGCCTCTGGGGTCTCGATGGACGGCCCTTCCTTGCAGAAGGAAGACTCGCAGGATTATGGGGAAAGAGCATGAAACACGGAAGAAGGAGGCTTATTCTGAAGACGTAGAAGAATTTTCGAAGATAATTTTCTGGAGAAAGAGGAAAACTCTTTGACATTTACAGTGTGATGTGGGAGGCACGGCCCCCACGTAAGGGGAGGAGGCGGCCTTCAAGAGAGACAGCTGAGCCAGAAAGACAGGGACGTGACAAGAGGGAAATGTTTCTTGCAAAAACATGAAGATGTAACAATTCAGATCATCCAGGGAGCGGGAAAGAACCCCCAGACAGCTGAGTCAGGGAGCACCCTGTGCCGAGAGAGAGGAGCAGCAGCGAGGACGGGGGCCCAGCAGCCAGAGAACAGCGAGAACGAGGCTCTGCAGGCCCAGTGGGAACAGCTGGAGCCAGGGCAACAGCCAAGCACACAAGCCAGAAACTCCCTTGTTGAGTAAAACACAAAAGAGATGAACTGGGCATTGAAAAGGAGACGCAAACCTTTCAAAGAGCAGGGGGGACAAGGCCGAGATGCAAGCCTTTCAAAGAGCAAGGGGGACAAGGCCAAAGCACAGGATCCTCTGAGGGCCTCGAACGTGCGGGAACACAGAGCCCAGGCGGGCAGCCGTGGATCATGAAGCAGCCTCTTTCTTTCGCTCTTTTGTGACAGGGTCTGGCTCTGTTGCCCAGGCTGGAGTGCAGCAGGGCGATCACAGCTCACTGCAGCCTCAACCTCTCGGACTCAGGCAATCCTCTTGCCTCAGCCTCCTGAGTAGCTAGGACTACAAGCACACGGCACCACACCTGCCTAATTTTCTAATTTCTGTAGAGACAACGTCTCCCTATGTTGCCCAGGCTGGTCTCGGACTCCTGGGCTCAAGGAATCTTCCCACCTTGGCTTCCCAAAGTGCTGGGATTGCAGGTGTGAGCCACCGTGCTCAGCCTGAAGCAGCCCCTTCCTGTGTGTTCACTTAGAAAGACGGCGGGTAACGCAGCTGGTCTAAGATTCTTCACATGTGTTTTTGCCTCAAAATTCTGCAGTTATTGCCCCATTGCACATTAAATGTAGAAATACATGTATTATATTGTAAATAACAGGCTATTATTAATTACTGATAAGTAAAATGAAATAATAAATATAGCTATTCTCTATCAACACATTAGAAACATTAATGGTGATGATAATTATGATAATATGTACATAATACTATGTGTCCTCAAAAAGTACTTGAAGACATGTTTTGACCAACTGAAAAATGAATTAAAAATGTAAGCTGGGGTGGGCGCGGTGGCTCACACCTGTAACCCAGCACTTTGGGAGGCCAAGGCAGGCAGATCACCTGAAGTCAGGAGTTGAAGACCAGCCTGGCTAACATGGTGAAACTCCGTCTCTACTAAAAACACAAGGATTAGCCAGGCATCGTGGTGGGCGCCTGCAAAACCCAGATACTCGGGAGGCCAAGGCAGGAGACTTGCTTAAACCTGGGAGGCGGAGGTTGCAGTGAGCCAAGATCTGCGCCACTGCACTCTAGCCTGGGTGACAGAGTGAGACTTCATCTCAAAAAAAAAAAATGTAAGCTGGGATTGGTGGCAAACAGCTGTGGTCCCAGCTACTGAGGAGGCTGAGGTGGGAGGATCACTGGAGCCTCAAAGTTTGAGGCTGCAGTGAGCTGAGACCGTGCCTGCGAATAGCCACTGCCCTCCAGCCCAAGTGACAGAGTGAGACACTGTCTCTTACAAAAGAAAAAAGCAAGCGTGAACACTGATGCAAAGCATGGGCTTTGGGCGGTTTTGTGTCCACACAAGTTCCGTGTCCATGCAGGTTCTGTGTCCACGCAGGCTATGGGTCCACGCAGGTTCTGTGTCCACGCAGGTTCTGTGTCCACGCAGGCTATGGGTCCACGCAGGTTCTGTGTCCACGCAGGCTATGTGTCCACGCAGGGTCTGTGTCCACGCAGGCTATGTGTCCACGCAGGCTATGTGTCCATGCAGGTTCTGTGTCCACGCAGGTTCTGTGTCCACACAGGTTATGTGTCCACGCAGGTTCTGTGTCCACGCAGGCTATGTGTCCACGCAGGTTCCGTGTCCACGCAGGTTCTGTGTCCACGCAGGTTCTGTGTCCACGCAGGCTATGTGTCCACGCAGGGTCTGTGTCCACGCAGGCTATGTGTCCACGCAGGGTCTGTGTCCACGCAGGCTATGTGTCCACGCAGGCTATGTGTCCACGCAGGTTCTGTGTCCACGCAGGTTCTGTGTCCACACAGGTTATGTGTCCACGCAGGTTCTGTGTCCACGCAGGCTATGTGTCCACGCAGGTTCCGTGTCCACGCAGGTTCTGTGTCCACGCAGGTTCTGTGTCCACACAGGCTATGTGTCCACGCAGGCTATGTGTCCATGCAGGTTCTATGTCCACGCAGGCTATGTGTCCACGCAGGCTATGTGTCCATGCAGGTTCTGTGTCCACGCAGGTTCTGTGTCCACACAGGTTATGTGTCCACGCAGGTTCTATGTCCACGCAGGTTCTGTGTCCACGCAGGCTATGTGTCCACGCAGGCTAGTGGATTGTAGGGAATGCGCCGCTCTGGTGGGGGAGAGAGGGCAGGGTGTGCACGAGGGGAGAAGGGCGTACAGGAACTCTTTGGACTTAACTCTCACATTGGCCGTGCATCTGAAACTGCACTAAAAATAAAGAAATTAAAGGTTTGAAAAGAAGAATAGAAATGAACAGCTGGTGGCCCCCAGGTCAGGGTCCTCGGTAAATGCTGCAACCCTGCATGCCTTGCCCAGCGGCCCTGCCGTGATTCCCCAGTTCCGGGAGATACATTTCTTGGGTGCACCCCTGCTCAGCCGTAGAGCTGCGGAGAGAGCGATGGTGTCTGTGTCCCTCGGCAGACTGTGAAGGGTGCCTCCCTGCATCATGAAACCTCGGGTTGAAGCCTGTGGACTCTCTTGTCCATTTCTGTTCATAAAGAACAATAAGCCGTGACCGCCAGGCCCCTGGCACCCAGCTCCACATTTCCTCTTCCACCAGGAGCGGCGGATGCTTTTACGATGCCCTGCCCCCCACCAGCCCCGCGGGACGGGACGACTGCAGTGAGGCCGTGAGAGTCCCCGGAGCCCTGAAAGTCCCAGAGCCGTGGGGCCTGCCTCTCCCCGGAGGGGGTTTCCTTCTTTGCCCTCTCCTGAGAATTCCAGCTTTTAATAAGGCGTACATCTCACCTTTACAACCAGAAAGGAGCATTTGAGCGGGAAATGCAGTGCCGCCTGGGCACTCTCTGACCGCTGAGTGAAGACACACCTGGGCATAAAACTTTGCAAGGCTCCTCCGAGCATGTGGGGGCCCGAGGCCAGGGAGTATTTCTTCTTCTTTCTAGTTTATATATTTCCCAATGTTCTACAATGAAATGGTATTACTTGTAAAACGGAATTCACTTTAGTTTAAAACTGAAAATCAAATCAAGGTGGGTGAGAGGAAGTCGCTGTTTAAGGACACCGCCTCATGGCGTCTAGGAAGTCCCTGTTTAAGGATGCACCTCGTGGCGTCTGGGGCGAGCTTCTCGGGGCCCTGTCTGGGGACGTGGCCATGTCTGCAGGCGAGGCCTTGGGTGGGAACAGGGCCGCTTCTCAGAGGCGTGGCGCAGCCCAGCCTCGCAGTAGGGACGTGGACAGGCTTGGTGCAGAGGTGCCATACTGTGCTTGGTGGGTGCCCTGCAGGACAGATGGACCCTCAGGGCACCTCCTGCAAACAGTCATCTTGCGTGGCAATAGGTGGGCAGGCCCAGCCAATGTGCCACTCAAGCAATGCCAAAAGTGTTCCTGGGAGTAAACAGAGGCTGGAGGCCAAGAACAGCAGGCTCCCTGCTGGGCATCTGCCTGGACGGTGGGGCTGGGGATGTGACTCAGCCCCACCAGGCCTGGGTCAGCCAGCAGCCAGATGTGCTTGGGAGCCGTGCAAACCAGCGGAGGGGACTCAACAGGGAATGGCGTGGACAGGGCTGTTGTCTCACTGCCTGAGGGGCTCACAGGGAGGGTGGACGTGGTGGTGCAGGGGCTCAGGAGCATGGCCAGGGGAGGGCTGGGGACAAGGCCGCCCTGAGGGAAGACCCCCACCCTGCCCTAGGCGGGGTCACCTGGCTGAGGTGTGCGTTGGGTCTCCACACTGCAAAGGCCCCTCCCCTCTTTCCATGCTGGTCTCTCTAGAAGAAAATAACCTCATGGCCCAAACATGGAAATGACTCGTGGATCCTCTGCACTGCAGCTCTGTCTCTGGGTTTGCTGCTTCGGGGAGTGAGGACTGTGGAGAGGATGGTGTCAGACCCAGATCTGGGCATCAGCGTGCTCTGCCTGGACTGGGCTGCCTCGCACTTGACACTGGGGACTGCAAAATGCTGTTCTGCACAGAGACCCCCGCCAGCCCACCACTGAGCCTCTGCCATGCCCTTCCAAAGCAGAGAGGCCTCCTCCAAGGAGCCCAGCAGCCCACGACCAGGCGCATGCAGTGGGCAGGACAGGTCCTGCAAGTGGCCTGCTCCTCCAATCCTGAGGGCAATTGTCCCCCAGCCCACCCGCCTCCAGGGCCCTCCTGAGGTCTCCTGTGTGAACACAGACACCGTGTGGACACAGGAGCCTCCATGGGCTTCTCACGCTCTCCCTTCTGAAGGGTCACCATCCCCTCCGGTTCCCACCCTGACGTTTTCAAAGCTGCCGCTCCAGGACTGACCACCACCTTCACTTGGGAACAGGCAGCCTGACTGCTTGTGAGGGGGCCCCGGACCCCGCAGAGCCTCAGGGCAGCAGGGACACTGAAGAGGATGATGGACAGAAACCGCCCCCCGTCCTCCGCAGGTGGGGAGCAAACCTGTCCCAGCTCCTGCTGCTCCAGGGGTGGCCTGGATGGAGCTGGGACTCCTGGCCTTCCATCCTCCATCCTCCATCCAAGAAGGCCCTCCCCCAGAACCTCATATGAAGATGGGAGGGATCCACCTGGGGAGCACCCCCACCTCCAGTGCCCTGAGTGGGCTTCTCAGGGACAGGAGTGTGGGGCCCAGTCAAGCCGCAGGGGCAGAGTGAGTCCTCAATGGCTTGGGGCTTTGTCCCTCTAGGAAGAAGCATGTCTTGACCAGAGAGCTGGATCGATGGTGCTCTCCCCGCTGGCCAGGCTGGGATGCAGTGGGGTGCCCCCCACTGTGACACCCTCGGCTGTAATCTCCTTGGCCCTGGGCTCCAGGCCTCTGATCCAATTCCCTCTGCTATAAACCAGAGCTGTGCTCGTGCTGAACGGGCTTGTTGATCTGATTCTGGAAGTGTCTGCTCACCCTGCCCTGGCCGGGATTCCCTCCCAGGCTCTCATCGTGTGTTTGCCGTTTGAGCAAATTCAGCCTCCCAAGGCGATGTCTGCCTGTGTCCTACTGGAAGGATGTGGAACCCTGGAGGTGGAGGCAAAGTCCCTACACTCGGCAGGGCGGAGCTCACCTCAACAGGGCCTCCCGCACAGGACCGGGTGGGGCATCCGTGACGGAAAAGCAGCCGCGTGAGCAGCCCCGTCCACTCATTCCCGCTTGCGGCACAGCTTCCCAAGCCTGACTCTGTGGCCACCTGCAGCTCACCGGAGAGAAGCATCGAAGACAAAACAGGACGGAGCACAGGGCCCGGGTCTCTTGCCTGACTCACCACGTTCCGTAAAAGATGAACGAGTCCAGTCCTTGCCTTTCCCCGCACGTAAGATAACATCGGCCGGGGTTGGGGATGACGCCTCTGACCTCTAACCAGACGTCCTCCTGCACCCACACCTGGTGCGACTCTTCACCAGCTGGAGGTAAACCGTGAACTGAAACTCTCGTAGGCGCAACTTCACGGGGCTGCTCCTGAGCTGGAGGCCTCGGTCCACCGGCCTCAGTCAGATTTCCACATGAAACTAACTTGTATTTTCCTTCAGTCAACAGGCCCCTAAGGTGCCCTCGGCTGTCTCGGGTGTCCTGTGCTCTTGGGTCCCAGGGTTGCAGTGCGTTTGGGGACTGAAGAAGGTGGTCCCAGAGTCTGGGCTGCAGGAAGGTTGGGGGAGGAGGAGGATGGGATCTGGCCAGGCCGATGCAGCTTCGGGGTCGGGGTGGCCTGAGTGGAGGGGACATTCCGGGACATGCCTGCAACAGAACCAGCCGGCGCCCTCCCTGCACCGTTCATTCACTCCTTTACTCACGGCCCTCTGCTCGGTGGCAACTGTGCCAGGGCTGTCTGAGCCACAGAGATGCAACAGCAAACCTAACACACAAATCCGGGCCCCCAAAAGCCGACATCCCAGGGGATGCGTCAGGCCAGGAACAGACGGGAAACAGTGTGTGGGTCGGGAATGGGCTCTGCAGGAATCTCTGTGTCGGCGCGACGTTCCCCTCGGTGACTGGTGATCGGGGCTCCACCGGGTGGTGCCTGTGAAGAAAAGCCTGAAGGGGTGAAGGAGGCAGCTGGAGTCTCAGAAGGGATCTGCTTGGTCCAGGAGAGGGTTTTCCAACCTGGCTGTGCCAGTTTGCACTCTCAGCAGTGGTGCGGGAGAGCTCTGTGTGGACTCGGGGCTCCACCCAACGCTTGGTTTTGTCAGGCTTCTCACTTTTTGCCCATCTGTTGGGTGGCAAATTCACATTCCCACCTGATGAAGGACAGTGGACGGCCTCTCCCCCGGCGGCGGATCGCTGGTGGCTCCACCTCGGAGGTTCACGTCTTTTGCACAGTTTTACATTGGATTGTTTGGGGGTTTCTTTCTCTTTTTTTGAGACAGAGTCTCGCTCTGTCACCCAGGCTGGAGTGCAATGGTGTGATCTCGGCTCACTGCAACCTCTGCTTCCCGGGTTCAAGCGATTCCCCTGCCTCAGCCTCCTGAGTAGCTGGGATTACAGGCATGAGCCACCACACCTGGCCTGTTTGGGATTTTCTTATACTTTAAGTAATGTGCTTTTAAAAATCCTAGATAGTGGCTGGGCACAGTGGCTCACACCTGTCATCCCAGCACTTAGGGAGGCTTAGGCGGGAGGATTGCTTGAGCCCAGGAGTTTGAGACCAGCCTGGGCAGCATGGCAAGACTACAATAAATAAAAAAAATTAGACTGGCATGCTGGCGCACATCTATAGTCCCAGCTACTCTGGAGGCTGAGGCTCGAGGATCACTTGAGCTCAGGAGTTTAAGGCTACAGTGAGCAGTGTTTGCACCACTGCACTCCAACCTGGGCGACAGAGTGAGACCCTGTTTCAAAAAAAAAAAAAAAAAAACCTGGATAGTGATCATTTGAAATTTGTCTACATTACAAATATCTTCCCCTGGTGAGTGGCCTGTATGTTTATGTGGTGGTTTTTAATGATGAGAAGTGTTCAATTCTAATGCCGTCACTCACTGTGTTCTGGACATCTGTGTTCCTCCAAAACTCCTATGTTGACCACTAACCTCTCATGTGTGGGAATGAAGAGGCAGGGCTTTGGGAGGTGATTCGGTCACGGGGACTCTGCCCTTATAAATGGGATTCGTGTCCTTACAAAAGAGGCATGAAGGGGCCCCTTTGCTCTTCAACCACGTGAGGACACGGCTGGAAGTTACTACCGCTGAAGCGTAGAGCAGGGCCTACCAGACACCCAGACTGCCGGCACCTTCATCTTGGACTTCCCAGATCTAGAATGTGAGCAAGAAACTTCTACTGTTCCTAAATCCCTCGTCTAAGGTATTTTGTTATGGCAGCTGGAGCAGACTCAGACATCACTTTAGGAAATATTTTCTCTTATGGTTGACCTTTTTGGGTCTTGCTTAAATTCTCTCTTATTATGAGGTCATAAAATTCACGATCAGATATTTTCCTCCAAAAGCTCTAAGGCTATGGGTTTCTACACTGATGTCCTCCACCGTTTCACAGGCGAGCCTGTCCAAGGCTGTGCGTTTCTACACTGAAGTCCTCCTCCGTTTCACAGGCGAGCCTGTCCAAGGCTGTGCATTTCTACGCTGAAGTCCTCCTCCGTTTCACAGGCGAGCCTGTCCAAGGCTGTGCGTTTCTACACTAATGTCCTCCTCCGCTTCACAGGCGAGCCTGTCTCTCGGCAGTGACACGCTAGCTCAGCGACGTGAATCGGATAGGACACACCCTCTGCTTGTTCTTCCTCAGGGATGTCTTTGGTTATTCTTTTCCACTTGTTGTACCATGTAATCTTTAAAACTGGCTTGTTAAATTCCACAGAAACTGTTGGGATAGTGACTGCAACTGTATTGGATGGAGAGATAAATTTTGGGAGGTGGAACATCTGTACAGATTGAGTATCTCTCCATTAAAATGGTGTATCTCCATTTATTTGTTTATGTTTCTGTCATAGTATTTTCTTTATGTAGGTATTTTCTGTCTTTATATAGATTTGTTCCTAGGTACCTTATGGTTCAATAAATTTTTTGAGATAAAATTCACATCATAAAAAATTCATCATTTTAACCATTTAAAGCACACAATTCAGTGGTTTAGTATATTCAATGTTGTGTAACTATCATCTCGCTCTCATTTTAGACATTTCAATCACTCCAAAAAGAAACTCCACACATGCCCCTACCCTCAATAACCACTCATTTATTTTCTGTCTTTATGGATATGCCTATTCTGGACATTTCATATAAATGCAGTTATACAGGCCGGTCGCGGTGGCTCACAACTATAATCCCAGCACTTTGGGAGGCCGAGGTGGGTGGATCACAAGGTCAGGAGATCAAGACCATCCTGGCTAACACGGTGAAACCCCATCTCTACTAAATATACAAAACATTAGCCAGGCGCGGTGGCGGGTGCCTGTAGTCCCAGCTACTCGGGAGGCTGAGGCAGGAGAATGGTGTGAACCCGGGAGGTGGAGCTTGCAGTGAGCCGAGATCGCGCCACTGCACTCCAGCCTGGGCGACAGAGTGAGAATCCGTCTCAAAATAAATAAATAATATATTAATTAATTAATTAATTAAGTTATACGACATATGGCTTTAAGGTATAGACCTAGGAATGGAATTGCTGCATCATATGGTAATTCTGTTTAACTTTTTTTTCAGACAGGTTCTAGCTCTGTCACCTAGGCTGGAGGGCAGTGGCATTACCAAGGTTCACTGCAGCCTTGATCTCTCAGGCTCAAGCGATCCTCCAACCTCAACCTCCTAAGTAGCTGGGACTACAGGGCTCTGTCATCACGCCTGGCCATTTTTAAATTTATTTCTTTGTAGAGACGGGGTCTCTCTATGTTGCCAAGGCTGGTCTTGATCTCCTGGGCTCAAGTGATCCTCCCACCTTGGCCTCCCAAAGTGCTGGGATTCCCGGTGTGAGCCACCGAGTTCGGCCTGTTTAACTTTTTGAGGAACCACCAAACTGCTGTCCACAGCTGCAGCCCCATTTTACATTCCCACCAGCAATCTGTGGGGGTCCCAATTCCTCTACACCCTCACCAACTGCTGTTATTTTCCTTGTATTAGGACTACTTGGATTACTTTTTGCAGCTGTCCTCACGGGTAGGACCTGGTGTCTCATTGGGGTTTCTGTTTGCATTCTCCTAACGACTAATGACCTTGAGCATCTCTTCCTGAGCTTATTGGTCGTTTGTATATCTTTCTGAGGAACATGGCTATCAAATACTTTGTCCATTTTTATATCGAGTCACTTCTTATAATTCATTATTATTATTGTAACTATCTTTATTTGAATTATGTTTTCTATTTGCTGATGTTAAGAAATACAATGGCTTTTTATGTGGATCTTGTAAGCCGGCTACCTTGTTAACTTTCTTTTAGTAATTTCTCTACAGATTCATTTTGTTTTTGTAATAATCATTGCCTGGAATTTATGAATTATGTTCTTCCTTTCCAATCCTGGTTCTCTTCACTGCTGTTCCAGTGAATGACAAGGTGTGAGGCTGCCCTGCGTTAAACCTCGGCTGGATCTCTGCCGTGCCGCTGAGGGGAGAGTATTCCCACCTTGGCTCTGGATTTTTTTTTTTTTTTTGACGGAGTCTCACTCTGTCACCCAGGCTAGAGGGCAGTGGTGCAATCTCGGCTCACTGCAAGCTCCACCTCCCGTGTTCACGCCATTCTCCTGCCTCAGCCTCCTGAGTAGCTGGGATTACAGGCGCCCGCCACCACACCTGGCTAATTTTTTGTATTTTTAGTAGAGACGGGGTTTCACCGTGTTAGCCAAGATGGTCTCCATCTCCTGACCTCGTGATCCGCCCACCCCGGCCTCCCAAAGTGCTGGGATTACAGACGTGAGCCACCGTGCCCAGCCTGGGCTCTGGATTTTTAAAGGGGATGCACCGGTGTTTCCCCATTTTTGGTCTGCTGTAGGTTTTTGGTAAGTTTCCCATTTCTAAGTTTGAAAAGTCTCTTCCTTTTTTCCTGAGTGTGTTTTGAGTTGTGTTGAGTGATTTTCGGCATCCACTGGGATGAGCCTGTCTTCCCCTTTAATCCGTTCATGCGGTGAATGAAAGTTATCGATCTTCTCGGTCTAAATCACTCACATTCCTGGGATAATCCCAGCAAATCCCAACACAGTCATGAGTGTCATCACCTTTTAAAAATAGACGCCGTGAGTTCAGTGTGCTAATGATTTGTTTAGGGTTTGTACGTCTTTGTTTGGGAGTGAGATTGTACTAAAACATGATTTTTCTTGGACTATTCTTGTCTGGTTTGTTTTAAAGATTGTAATGGCTTCACAATGATTCAGGGAGTGCTCCCTCCTTTCTACTCTCAGGAAGAGTTTGTAAAAGACTGGAACGTTCTGTTCCTTGAAAGTTTGGTAGAACACATCTGTGCAACCCTGGGCAGGGGAAAATAAGAACCCTGTGAGTTCTTAGTCGGAACAGATCCCTCTTACAAAACAGAGATGAATAGAAGAAAAACAAGCAGAGGCTTATTAACATGTGTGTTTCACGTATGTGTGGGAGATGCCTAGGGCATGAGTCACTCTCAACGAGGCGGCTTTGAATTCCAGCTTGTAGAGCATCTTTAACAAAGAGCGATAGATTTTCAGAGAAGTTCTGGGCAAAAAAGAAAGACTTGGAGTCTCTGTAGGCAGGAACTTGAGGAAAAGCGAATAAATGTCAGATAAAGGCTCCTTCATAAAGCTTGTTGGTGCAGATTATTCTGGAACTATCTTCAGGTGCAGGTGATGAGGGTCTGAAGCTGTCTTCAGTGGTTAACCTTTGTTCTCCCTAGTAGAGGGGGGCAGGATTCCTTCGTCTTTGTAAGCCCGTGTCCTGTGTCGAGGGGGGACCGGGAGCTCTACCTCCGTTGCTCCTCGCAGAGGCCCTCAGCCCCACAGGCCTGCTTTTCAGGAGGCGCGTTCTGGTCTCCCACACCTGTCAACCTGAGTTTTCTTGCAGGAGATTTTAAATCAATGGTTAAATGTCTTTAATGGTTGTAGAATTATTAGGTCATCTCTTCCTTCTTGAATCAATTTTTTGTCATGATCTTCTGCGAATGTATTCATTTTCCACAATTTTCTGGGAATGTATCCATTTAAAATCTTACCTGTTTTGGAAAAGATTTCAAACGGACTGGTTCCTGATATGTTTATCTTTAAACTTCTGCTTGTGTTTGATGATTCTCCTTTTCATTCCTAATACCGACTCTGTTCTCTCTCTCTCTGTTTTTGCCAGTGGCGTCTGTCACCTTCATCTTTCTAATAATCAGCCAACATTTGTCTTTGATCCACCCGATTTGCCTTTTATTTTCTATTTCCTGAGTTTCTGCTCATATTTGTATCTTTGTCCTGCTTTTATTGCTTTAGCCTCTTGTTCTTTTTGTCACTTACGTTGAAGGCTTGGCTCATTAATTTCCATTGTTTCCTTCTTTTAAATCTGTCTAATTTCTGGAGTGAGTTAGTTGCACTTTGCAATATTCCATATGTACGTGGAGAGTTTCATGTACTCATACATAATAGGCAGTGCACCCACTGTAATCTGGTTCTAAGCATTTCTCATTTCTATCATGTGTTATTCTTTAACTCACGGCTTTTAGAAGTGTATATTTTATTTTCCAAATAAATGGTAATTTTGGAAGGTTCTACTTCTTTTTTTTTTTTTTTTTTTTTTGAGATGGAGTCTGGCTCTGTCGCCCAGACTGGAGTGCAGTGGCGTGATCTCGGCTCACTGCAAGCTCCGCCTCCCAGGTTCAAGCAATTCTCCTGCCTCAGCCTCCCGAGTAGCTGGGACTACAGGTGCCCGCCAGCACACCTGGCTAATTTTTTTTTTTTTTTGTAATTTTAGTAGAGACGGGGTTTCACCGTGTAAGCCAGGATGGTCTCGATCTCCTGACATTGTGATCCACCCACCTTGGCCTCCCAAAGTGCTGGGATTACAGGCGTGAGCCACCGCGCCCAGCCCCTGAAAGCTTCTTCTTATCTCAAATTATTAAGATCAGTTGTAAGATCTCATGTTGACTGTTAGCTCGTTGCATCCTGGTCAGGAAACATTGTTGCTACAGCATGAACTGACTGAAGTCAGCTCACTCACTTCCTGTGGGATGTGCAGCTACTTTTCCCAAGTGCTGCATGTACTTTGAGAACAGGAAGGCCCCTTGGACTGCCAGGGTGCCAAGCCTGGGAGGGATGTCCATTCATTTGTCCACATAGCTAGGAAACCCTACACCACAGCTCAGTGTCTCAGTAGGGCACTGCTCGACGACTCAGAAGGATGCCAACTTCCCCGGTGCCCCAGGCAGGGAGAGTGTCTCGGCTCCAGTTGACCTAGACTCTCCTTCAAGTCTTGCCCAAGCTCTCCGACCTTCCTCGGTCTCCCTCAGGGCAGCCTGCACTTCCATATACGGAGGTTCTCATCGTTTCTTGCCTCTCTGCCTGCACTTTTTTCTGCCATCTACACCTATTAGCTGACATTTGTCTGTAAAGAAGAGCCTTCCCTTCTCCCCCACCTCTGCCTCCACATCGTGCATCCTAATTGTGGAAGTGCCGGTTCTTCCCTCACTCAGTGCCCTCTTCCGCCCTGGGCCACTGGCCTTGGTCTGGTCTTGGTCTCGGTCTTGGCACATCTGGGAGTTGTCCCAAATGTGCTGGCTATGAACTCCTCACACTGGAGCTGGCACAGGTGAAAAGTTGAAAGAGAGATACCAGCTGATGTTTACGAAGATGCGATTGAGAAATACCAGCTGATGTTTATGAAGACGCGTTTGGAACAGGGCATGTGCATGTCCTGGGGACCAGCACGGCAGCTCGGCCACCAGGACACAGGGGCACTGCCTGTTCCCTCCCTGAGTGGTCAGTGTTCTTGGGCCAGTGGCCATAGTCAGCTCGTTCTCTGTCACCAGCGTGTGGGTCACACAACATTGGGAAGCCCTGTGTACACATTTCCATGTGTCCCGTGACAGGTGGCAGCTCCTCCCAGGACACCAAGAAAGAGACCAAGGGGCTGGGCTGGGTTCACAGTCGGATGTGAGTGGCCTCCAGGCCTGCAGGACAAGGAGGCCAAGCACTTTCTGCAGCCACAGGGTGATTCCTGATGCAGGTTTCCATCCCAGCGTCACCTGTGGTGGCACCTGCAGCCCCACCCATTGGGAGCTCATCTTCTACTCCCTAGGGGGGCAATGCAGAGGGGTCTACTTCTTCCTCTGCAGTGCGAGGCGGGGTCGTCTTCTGCATTTAGAGTCCAAGCCAAAAGTCCCCTCCAGAACCAGCTCACGCAGGGGTCTCACGCCTTTCTCCACCCACCCTCAGGCCCGTCAGCCATGCATGGTCCCGCAAGGTCACTGAGCCACCCTAAGCCCTGGCCTTTTCCCTCTGTGGGAAGGGGCTCAAGGTGGGGCTCTAGGTACGGCTAAAGGTGGGGCTCAAGGTGGGGCTCAAGGTGGGCCCCTTGTCCAGCTCCTGCTCCAGCCAGGGAATGGGCTCCATGGATTCATGTCCACCAAGAACCTCAGGATGTGGCTTTATTTGGAAGTAGCCTTGCTGATGTCATGGGTTAGGGATGTTAGGGATCTCTGGATGTGGTCACCCGGACCTAGGATGGGCCCTACAAGGATAGCAGAGAACACAGAGAGGAGTCCGTGAGAAGGCATGGCTGGGGTGATGCAGGCACACGCCCAGGAACGCCAGGAGCCACCGGGAGCCGGCAGAGTCAAGGAAGGGTCCCCCCTGAGGGACAGAGGCTTCGGAGGGAGCGTGGCCCTGCTGACACCTTGACTGCAGGCACGTGGCCTCCAGCACTGTGGGAGCAAACACGTGTCTTAGCCACTCACATGCTGGCTCTGTGGCAGCAGCCCTGGGACACCGACGGGAGCCCTGAAAGGGGCACAGCCTGAGGCGCAGACGTCTTCGGCTAGGTGCTCTGTGACACCCTCAGGGCCAGAACTGTCTCAGTGCCTCCTGTACAGGTGGAGAGACTGAGGCACAGAGTTGGCAGAGGTGGCAGAGGTGGGGTTCAAACCATGCAGCCCGGGTTCCTGCCACCCAGCAACTGCCCCTCCCAAGTGCTCAGGGTCACGTCCTCTGGGCCCCAGGGGCAGGGTGGAGGCTGCAGGAGCAGGTGTGCTGGGGCTGCCAAAGGGAGGATTGCACCCACTTCCTGGGGTTTGCAGGCCTCGGCAGCGGCCTTTGCCCAGCTTCAATATCCCCGGGCCCAGAGGGCAGAGGGTGCCGGGGGGAAGCCCCTTCAGGCCTCTCCTTTCTCCCCCCTGTACCCCACAGGACCTGCTGCAGGGGAAGGGGCCAGGAGGCCAGGAGACTGGACAGCAGGAGGCTCGAGGACCACGCAGACACTGGCCTTGGGAGCACCCACCTCTCTGACCCGCTCCAGAGGGGGCTAGAGACCTGGAGGCAAAGCCCAGGGTCAGAAACCACAGATGGCTCCTAAGGCCAGGTGGGCAGCTGAACCCAGCAGGGTGAGGAGCAGGAGGTATCCCTGGGCCCCAGCACCCACCCAGTGTGGTGCCCCCAGAGCTGGCCTGGAGGAAGATGCCCCCCCTGCTAGACCTCAGGGCTGACAAGCCCCCTGCGAGGGGCTGCGGGGCCATGGGTGGGGGCTGCTTTCTCCCGGCTCCCTGGGCCCCAGGGCCCCTCTCCTCAGCCTGGAAGCCCACATGCTCCTGACTCCATGGCTGTGGTTCTTGGCCCACACTCTGGGTTCTGGAGGCTGAGGGGGCTCCGACGGGGGCACACCTGACATCTGCTAAGGAAGCAGGAGGTCCCAGGGCACAGCGGCCACATCAGCTGGAGGCACTGGGAGAGCTGCACTCCCGGGCTAAACAGAGCCAGGCATGTGCTCCACGGGGAGTGGGTGGGGCACTGCCCTCAGTGGTCTTGGCCCAGGCTGCCTCTGGCTAGCGAGGGAGTGCGCTCCTGGGTGGCCTGGCTGCACGGCCGTCCTGCATGGCCCAGCTTTTGTCTGTGTCCCTGTGCAGCCTCATAGGCCCCGCAGCCCCCTGGGATCCCATATCTGCACAGGTGGCCTCTGCTGGGAGGGAAGTGGGTGGCTCTGATTCCTCTCTGGCTCCTGTTCTCTCCTGGGGCCCCTGGAGGTGGGCGGGCGGCCTCGAAGCCTGCCTATGTGGAAGAAGCTCGGACGGCACCAGCAGGATGGTCGCAGGACTCAGGGGCCCGGGCTGCACCTGTTGTCTGGCCTGCCTGTGCTCGGGTTTCTCCCTCCCTCCTGGAGCCCCCAACCAATGGGGGAAGCAGGCAAACAGTGGGGGCCCCGCCTGGCCCAGGGAAGGCTTTATGGAAGAGGCGAGGCCTGAGACCCCAGGAAGGAGGAGCAGCCTCTGGGTCAGGGGAGGGCAGGGGCCAGAGCTGGCAGGAGGCGCAGCTGTGAGCTGGGGTCTGGGGGCCCTGACTGGAGTCTGCGGAGGGCCCTGGGATGAGTGATCAGATGCTGTGTTATCAGGAGGAAGTTTTTGGGGAGGCTGGCGGTGGGGACCCACTTGTCAGAGACGCGTGTGGAAGTGGGTGAGACTCAGGAGACCCTGGAGCAGGGATGAGGGAAGGAGGGACGAGCTGGAGAAAGGAACAACGTGGGCATCCAGGAGGGCCTCACTCCCTGTCTCCTGGGGTCCCCACGCCCACATCCCTGGCACCACCAGCTCCTCCCCAGGCTGTCGGGGACCCTGCACCATGAGTCCTGCAACTGCTCCTGTGACCGCTGCAGAGTGGGTAACAGGAGGGAGTTGATAGAAGCCCTCAACCCAAGTGCCCCCAGCTGATGAGCACCCCAGCGGCATCTCTGACCCGGGCCGGGAGCCCTGGCTTTCCAAGCACATCACAAGCTAGGCCACTGGCAGATGCAAAGGTTGGGCTGATTAATGCTTCTCCAGTGAAATGCCACAGGGGCCACCCAACATGCGGGCTCGCCTGTCTGCAGCTGTGAGCAGCTTATTGATCAGCTGGGGAGCTTGCAGAAACCCAAAGACCTCAGTGCAGACATGGAGATGGCACGTCCCTAGGGCGCCAGGCCTGGGGTCTCAGACAGCTGGTGGGGGACCCAGCGTCCCAGCCTGGACCCAGGAGACCTGAGCTGGAGCCCCTGGGGAGCTCCCCAGTCTGTGTCCATTCTGGGACCTGGGTTCCCAGGACACAGTCCAGCTGGAGACAGGGTTTGGAGGTGGGAGGAACTTTGCACCTGGTTCCCAGGACACAGCCCAGCTGAAGATGGGGTTTGGAGGTGGGAGGAACTTTGCACCTGGTTCCCAGGACACAGCCCAGGTGGAGATGGGGTTTGGAGGTGGGAGGAGCTTTGCACCTAGGCGCCTGGTCTACAGCAGGTGCTGTGTGACCGCAGGAGGGGGCTCACCTCAGCCCAGCTCTCCATCAGGCTCGGGAAAGGAGACACCTGGATGGAATGCAGAAGGTACCATGGCCGGTGACCACAAGAGGTGAAGGTGGCAGGGTGGCCAGGGGCTGGGTGCATGGCCACCTTCAGCTTAAGTTCCAAAGCAGACGGGTGTGAGGGGAGCCAGGAAACATCTGCTCATAGATGCCTGCTCTACTGGGGTGCAGGAGTCCCCTCAGCACTCCGGGAGGAGACAGACGGGGCAGGCACACACACACACACACACACACACACACACACACACACCTGCATGTGTGCACAGACTTTTGCTCACATACACATCCGTATGCACATGTACACGTGCACAGAAAATCCATACGCATGAGTGCATAGGTGTGTACACACGCACACGTGCACACACCCAGAATAAAACCATGTGGGCCTGTGAAAAGATCCACCATCATAAAGGGCAGAGAGCTAGCCGGCCAAGAGGAAGATAAAACAGGCTTCGAAAAGATTTTCTCGCAGAGATTCTCTCACTATTTTTTGAAGCATCTGCTTTATGTTTTCATTAAAAATTAAGAATAAGTGGACTTGGGGAACAAGAGGATACATAAGAGGTCTCAATAGAGTAAGAAGATTTTAAAAAGAAGAGAAGCTGCCTAAAAATCAGAAATAAACAGGTCGATGGAGAGGGGAAAGGGGAAACATTACCCCAAAACTGACAGCAACTGAAGGAATGAGAATCTGCATTCGCCGTGGGTCTGAGAGGCTCACCCTGCTTCCAACCAGGACAGTGGAGAGGGGACCTGAGGTCAGAGACACCGTGACGGGCGTCTTGGAAGTTAAAAAACTGAGGGTGAGTTTTGAAATAAATTCAACAGGTCAGTGGTTGAAATAATTGTATTTGGTTACCTAACAGAGTTAACTATCAAAAACAATTCTTAAAAATTACATAGTAGCAAAGAATTATAAATGAAATAATGTGCAACATTATTACATTTGTACATCTCAAAGAAAGGGGCAATTTTCCAGGAAAATGTGGTTTTCCAAAAATTGTCTCAAAAGGAAACCTGAACACTTTAAGAGATGAATAACCACTGAATGAACTGAAAGGGTTTTGCCAAAGAATTATTTCCATACGTGATGCCAGACCAGTACAACTTTATAGGTGGGTTAGTTCAAACTTTTAAGGAACAGAGCTCCAATGCCATATACATTGAAAATTCATAGAAATATTTGGAAAGCTCCCCACTTAATTTTATGAACCTAGTATAACTTTGATATTAAAACTTGGCAAAGATAGTATCACAAGACGAATTATAATATAATCTCAATTACGAATGTAGATATAAGAATTCCAAATAAATTCTTAAATGTAAATTCAGTCACCATTTTAAATAAAGAATATATCAAATTCACAGAATTTATTCCTTGAAGGCAAGGATGAATTAATATTATAAAATCTAATAACTTAATTATATCAATAGGTTAAATGAGAAATATAATCATTTGATTGTCAATAGATAACAAAAAGGCATTTGATAATGTTTGATATCCATTAACCTTAATTTTAATCAAAACCATAATTAATGTTAAAATTTGAACTGTGCGGCAAGGCTTATAACCAAATGCTGTAGCCCCTTACCTAATCTGTCTGACTTCTAGAAAGTTCTTCCTCTTCAGAGGCCACCACTTTCAGCTCTTTGCAGAAATTTTTTTAGGTATTTACCTACATATTTCTAAATAACACACTTACCTTGTTGTTGCTTGGTTTTTGAGTTTTATATATTATCTGTTGACCGTAGATGGGAAGATGAAAGTTAAGTTCTCTTACATGGCCTCTATCACCACACAGACCCATGAACTTCTTTTCTTCCTATTTTTTTTGGGATAAATCACAATTTTTTATTTATTTATTTATTTTTTGAGACAGAGTCTTACTCTGTTGCCCAGGCTGGAGTGCAGTGGTGCAATCTTGGCTCACTGCAACCTCTGCCTCCTGGGTTCAAGGGATTCTCCTGCCTCAGCCTCATGAGTAGCTGCGGCTACAGGTGCCCGCCACCATACCTGGCTAATTTTTGTATTTTTAGTAGAGACGGGGTTTCACTATGTTGGCCAGGCTGGTCTCGAACTCCGGACCTCATGATCTGCCCACCTTGGCCTCCCAAAGTGCTGGAATTATAGGCGTGAGCCACCGTGCCCGGCCATAGTTTTTCATTAAATCAAAGTTAGTGTTTGTGTTAGGTAAATATGACTCAGATCTGGGCTATGACATAAAATTTGATTACATTTCCTTTGTTGTATAACTATAGTTTCCTGATGTTAATATTGCCTTTCTTTTTCACCCCCCCCCCCCATTTTCTTTTTTTCTTTGACACAGGGTCTCCCTGTGTTGCCCAGGCTGGAGTGTAGTGGCATGAACACGGCTCATTGCAGCCCCCACCTCCTGGGTTCAAGCAATCCTCCCACCTCAGCCTCCTGTGCAGCTGGGACAACAGGCATGTGCTACCATGCCTGGCTAAATTTTGTATTTTTCGTCGAGATGGGATGTATCTGTGTTGCCCAGGCTGGTCTCAAACTCCTGGGCTCAAGCAATCCTCCCACATCAGCCTCCCAAAGTGCTGGGATTACAGGCATGAGCTGCTGTGCCCTGCTGCCTTGTTTTTCATTAGCTTAATTTTTCTCTTGTGTCTTGCAGAGCTTCTTGAATTCGTGAATTCATTCTTGAGTTCTAGGCCATGATCTTCTTGCACATTGCTTCTGCCCCATTTGCTCTCTCCTCTCCTTCTGGGACTCTAGTGATGAGAGCATTGGAACTTTGGAGCGTGCTCCACACGCCTGTCACAGGTTTCTCTGGTTTTCTTCTTATCTGTTTTTACAGTCTCTGTGCTATAGTTTGAATGTTTTCTATTAATCCATTTTCCGGTTCACCAATCTGGTGTTCAGCTGTGTCCAACTGCTATTAAAGCCATCGATGGAACTGCTAATTTCAGATACTGAATATTATAGTTACAGCATGTCCATTTGATATCTTAATAATTTAAATTGGCCGGGCACGGTGGCTCACGCCTGTAATCCCAGCTCTGTGGGAGACCAAGGCAGGAGGATCACGAGGTCAGGAGATCGAGACCATCCTAGCTAACACAGTGAAACCCCATCTCTACTAAAAATACAAAAAAATTAGCCAGGCGTGGTGGTGGGCACCTGTGGTCCCGGCTACTTGGGAGGCTGAGGCAGGAGAATGGCGTGAACCCGGGAGGAAGAGCTTGCAGTGGGCTGAGGTCGCACCACTGCACTCCAGCCTGGGTGACAGAGCGAGACTCCATCTCTAAAGTAATTAATTAATTAATTAATTAATTAAATTATTTTTTCAGATTTCAATTCTTTGCTGAAGTTTTTCAGCTTTTTATTTAACTTATTCGATCCCTCCTTGAATTCTGTAATACTGATGTGGTTTGGCTCTGTGTCTGCACCCAAATCTCATCTTGAATTGTAATCCCCACATGTCCAGGGAGGGACCTGGTAGAAGGTGACTGGATCATGGGGGCGATTCCCCCATGCTGTTCTCATGACAGTAAGTTCTCACAAGATTTGATGGCTTAAAAGTGTTTGGCAGGCTGGGCGCTGTTGGCTCACACCTGTAATCCCAGCACTTTGGGAGGCCAAGGCGGGTGGATCACAATGTCAGGAGTTCAAGACCAGCCTGACCAACATGGTGAAACCCCGTCTCTACTAAAAATACAAAAGTTAGCTGGGCGTGGTGGCACACACCTGTAATCTCAGCTACTCGGGAGGCTGAGGCAGGAGAATCTCTTGAACCCAGGAGGAAGAGGTTGTAGTGAGCTGAGATCACGCCACTGCACTCCAGCCTGGGCGAC
This sequence comes from Homo sapiens, assembly GCF_000001405.40. NCBI lineage: Eukaryota > Metazoa > Chordata > Mammalia > Primates > Hominidae > Homo > Homo sapiens. Next base: position 132,472,513 of record NC_000010.11, on the reverse strand, counting down.
AGAGGGAGACTCTGTCTCAAAAAAAAAAAAAAGAAAAGGGTTTGGCAGTTACCCCGCCCTTGCGCTCTCTCTCTCCTGCCACCATGTAAGACGAGCCTTGCTTCCCCTTTGCCTTCCACCATTCCACCATGATTGTAAGTTTCCTGAGGCCTCCCAAGCCATGTGGAGCTCTGAGTCAATTAAACCTCTTTATAGATAACTCAGTCTCAGGTGGTTCTTTTTGTTCTTTAATTGAAACAGAGTCTCACTCTGCTGCCCAGGCTGGAGTGCAGTGGTGCGATCTCAGCTCACTGGAATCTCCACCTTCCAGATTCAAGCGATTCTCCTGCCTCAGCCTCCGGAGCAGCTGGGACTACAGGCATGCACTACTATGCTTGGCTAATTTTTTGTATATTTAGTAGAGACGGGGTTTCACCATGTTGGCCAGGCTGGCCTCCTGACCTCAAGTGATCCACCCACCTCAGCCTCTCAAAGTGCTGGGATGACAGGAGTGAGACACTGCGCCCGGCCCCTCTTGTAGTTCTTTATAGTGGTGTGAAAACGAACTAATACAAATTTATTCACTGTAGTTAATTTAAAGTCCTTGTCTGCAAACTGTAATGTCTGGATCACTGCGGGGTCTACTTCTATTGTCTCTTTTTTCCTCTTAGTTATTGGCCATATTTTCTTGCCTCTTTCCATGTCTGAAAGTTGTTTATTAAATGCCTGACATTGTGTATAAAAGAGCCGGTGAGACCCGGGTGATCTCATCCGCACCAGCGAGGGTCTCTTTTCCTCGTTAAGGCAGAGAGAGCGCAGCCTCACCGTGTCCCTCCGGCCAGGGTTGTGCTGGGAGGAGCAGCTTGCAGTTTTAGTGAGACTCAGTCTACCCACACTTGGGTATGGCCTTGCCTGCCTGGCAGACCTCCGTTTCCCTGAGGTCTGCACAAGGCCTGGCTCTGCCTTTTGGAGGTTCCAGCTGAACTCTCCAGCCTTCTATGTCTCCTGGCTTTGTAATCACATGAATGATTTGACAGAGATGGAGAGGATATGCTTGAGGAACTCTGTCCCCAGGGATGGGAGGGCCAGAGAGTCCACTCTGCCTTAGGACTTAGCTAAACTCCCACCTCCCAGCCTCCCCTGTGGCCATAGACTCAGCACATGCCCCTCAGAAGAACCAGTGGTTTGTTTGAGCCCCTCGAGTTTCCAATCTGCCTTTAGCTCCGTGGCAAGCACCAAAAGTTTTGCCATTTCTCTTTGTCCAGAAGTGGCCTCTTGTCTGGGCCAGACCGGTGTCCAGCCAGCAGGCAGCTGGGAAACACTCGGCTCAGCTTGGGGGTGCTTGTCCCTTGCCTAGTTGCCTCTACAGCTCTCTGATGCCCTTGGAGGCAGGATTCTCACACACCCCCTGGCTTTTTCTCGTCGTGGTTGCAGGATCACTGGCCTGCCGTGGGCTGCCACCTCCCACGTGGAAGTGGAACTCTCCATGAGCTTTTTGTTCCATCTTGTCGCTAACCCAGCCTCTGAACCTCTCACCACATCACTCCTCCCTCCGTGCGGCCTCGTCCCCTCCGTGGTTTCATAAGCGTCTGCAACACACCACACACCTGCTTGCTGATAGTTCAGCAGCGTAAAGAATCTGGTTTAAAATCGTTTTGCCCCAGAACTTTGAAGACATCGTCTGTGATTTCTAGCTTTAGTTGTTGCTAGTGAGGACATTGTGTGCTGGGGGCGTTCTGGGATCCGCCTCCGCGGCAGTACCAGGGGACTCCCATGCCCTCTGCCTTCTAGTTGGGTTTGGCAAAGGGAGGAACTGGCAGGAGATGGAGGTGGGAGGAGAGCAAGATCAGGCCTTTTCTTTCCTGATACCCCACCAGGCTGCTCTGGGTGGGCCCATCTCTTAACCAAGGCTGCTGCCCGTGTGAGGGTCTCCTGGCAACAGCTTGCCTCCCAGGGTTCCTGTTAGGGGGGTGCCAGCTCTACGCTCCTGATCCCGAGACGTGGCTCAGTCTTCCGAGTCTCCTTTAAGCCGCACACACACTTCCAGAGGCCCTTTCGTTAAGCACCACTCAAAGCACAAAACCACAAGGGCCCAGGCGGCCGCAGGATGAAACACCGCAAGTGTCCCGGGAAGGCAGGTTCATTACTTGGAGAAAAAATAAAATTATATTCCTAGCCAAGTGTTCACATAAATCAATTCCAGGTGGGCTAGAGAATAAATAAAAAAGCAAATCATTCTATAAATAAAAACACATACGTCTGTAAGTATTGCACCAATTTTGAATTTGATAAGAACTTTCTAAGCATAAACCAAACAGTCTTCATCAAGGGAAAATATGTACAAATTTGAGTGCATAGAATTTTAACATTTTTATTTATAAAAATACCTTAAATAAATTAAAAGTCAAGTGACAAACAGGAAAAAGTATTTGCCACAGATGAAGAACCACAAAACTAATTTAAAAAAAAACAAATATCCCAGTAAAAAAATGGAGAAAGACCAGCCTAAGACGATTTAAATGAAACAAATCAAATGTCCAAAGTAGAAATGCTTAACATCTCTAGTCATCAGATAAATTAAATTAAAACTACGTACAATTTATCCTGTATCAAATCCCCTCTCCCCTGCCCCTTGGGTCCAATCTGAGGGCCCCTAACAGTTCCGCCTTTGAGGCAGCCCTGCGCCCCGTGGGACACCCCTCCTGTGCTGTGAGCCACTTTGACTCTGTTGATTTCAGACGGTGCCCTGAGATTTTCCTCCCACTACCCAAAAGGCCATTAACATATTTTCCTAAACAAATAGGCAGTTTCCCCTGGAGACAGACTCACTGGGACTTGGCAGCCCACCAGAGCACAGAGCCCGCCGCTCAAAGTCAGAACCCAGAAAGCAAAGCTCGCCCCACTCTGCGGCTGGTCTCCAGGCTGGTGAAAGTCAAGGCCATTACCAAGCCCCTGCTCTTCCCCTCCAGCCCCCTGCCTGCCCCAAACTGCCCCCCTGGCCTGGCCTCTGGGACCTGCAGAGGTTTCCCACCTGTGCTTGCCTGAGGCCTTACAGTCAGATCTTTTACCCTAATGCCCCTCCTGGGACAGGCCCCAGGGAACCAGCCCCACCCCGTGGCTGGACACCTGCCGCTGCCCCAGCCCTCCTGGCTGAGCCCTGTTTCACCCTCGCTGGGGCAGCCCTGGTCACCGAGCCTAGCTTTCACGGGTTTATTGTCCTCTGGTGCCCCGGGGCAGGCTCGATCGGGCAAGGAGAGTCCCAAGCAGGGTCAGCGTGCCAGGGACAGGCTGGAAGGGCCGAGCAGACGCTTGCCATCAGGCCTTCCCGCTCCGGGTTTTGGGGTGAGGTTGTGGTTTTCTTCTATTTTATAAATGTTCTACAATTTTATTATTAAATAAGTCAGGAGCCATTATTATTATTATTATATTATTATTTTCAGGGAAAACAAGCATCAAGTGGGCCCACTGAGTTTTCTTCTTGGTGAAGGAAGGGCCAGAGCTTGAACTGAGGCAGACGGCGGAGGGGGACTCTGCGGCTCTTGGGACCTGCTGACCCCTGGGCAGGGGGCAGGGGCTGCAACAGCCGTGGCCACGGGGCTGCAAACATCAGCCTAGCAGTGTCCCGTGGCCCAGGGCAAGGGGCCAGTGCTGCCAGAGATTCCTGAGGCCCTGGTGGGTGGGAGACAGAACCCCAACCCCCAACACCCCCACCACTGTCCAGGAGGCAGGAAGAAGTGCCCACAGGGGCAAGGACCGCGTGAGGGTCAACAGGCCCAAGAGGCCCCAGAAAAGACTCGGAGAGCTGCTGCAGCCCCTTCAGAACAGCCAGCACTGTCTACACTCTCTAGGTGCCGCTAGACCCCTCCCCTCCCCTCCCCTGCTTTCCCTCCCCTCCCCCGCCTTCCATCTCCTCCCCTCCCCTGCCTTCCCTCCCCTCCCCTCCCCTGCCTTCCCTCCCCTCCCCTGCCTTCCCTCCCCTCCCCTCCCCTGCTTTCCATCTCCTCCCCTATCCCATCTCCTCCCTCCCCTCCCCCTGCCTCCCATCTCCTCCCCATCTCCTCCCTCCCCTCCCTTTCCAGCTTCTTCTCCTCCTCCCCTTCTCCCTCCCCGAACTCCCTCTCCTTCTCCCTCCCTTCTTCCCTCTCTCCCTTGGTTCCTCTCTCCCTCCCTTGCCCTCTCCCTCTTTCCTTGCCTCCTTTCATTTCAGCGTTGAGCGGGATGAATGGGCGTGAAGACCCTCAGTCTCCCCTTGTATGCAGGCAGGGAGGTGGACCTGAGTCCTGTCAGCGCCAGACCAGCAGGACTCTGACCACCCCCAGAGCGGCACCCTGTCCCTCACCTCCCCAACACCCCCACGACCCTGGCGCCTCCCAGGGGCTGTTCCCCCGTCCCCTCCCGCCCTGGGAGCTGGCGTTGCCCCGCCTGCCTGGAGCCGGCCTTGGGGCCGCACAGCTCTGCTCAGTAGCGTTCCTCCCTTCCTTAGCCTTGAGCCTGAGACAGGTGTCCCCTGGCCCCACCCAGCACCTTGTGCTCATGCACCGCGTTGAACCGTGGCTGGCCCTGGGAGGGGGATATCCTCCCTTGTGAGGACGTGAGGGGCTGCAGGTCAGAGGCAGCTGGTGTCCTGCCCTCCTCCTGCCCCCAGGCAGAGTCCTGGGCAGGTGGCCTTGGTGGACGGGCATCTTCCTGGGCCCTCGGGAGCCGCGGTAATGAGCTGTTGCGTAAGCGCTCACCTTTCCTCTCTGGGCGGCTCTAAGGGCTTTTTGATTTAATTGCCAGTGTATTTCCAGAAGCAAAATCTGGGGCACTGTGGTGAGAGCAGCCTGGGGAGACTGGGCAGCAGGTGGGGCCAAGGCTTCCCCACCCCTGGGAGGGCAGCCTCGGCCCGGGCAGAGGCTGGCTTTGGGGGGATGCTGGACATGGGCCGGGTGGTGAGCTGAGCCGGGGCCTGGCGCCCCCTCCTCGAGTCAAACGCCCTCTGCCGAGGGTCCCTCCCCCCACGGAGCATCACATGGGGCCCCTCCTCCCCTGCTCAGCTCACGCCCCCACCCGGTCAGCTGGCACTCTCCCTGACTGTCTTTCATCAGGCAAATGGCTGAGTGCTGGGCACAGCCACGGTCCACAGGCCACAGTTACCTGAGGCCTCCTTTTTCAAATTGTCACCCAGGTGTCACCTGCGTGGACCCTGCCGTGTCTCTACCTAAGGGCTCCCCAGCTCAGTGGGTGACACATGGCCCTGGCCAGCTGAGAGCACTGAGGTGGCTGGAGGAGCAAGAGTCTTTCTGTCCAGCACCCAGGGCCTCACAGGGCTGAGCCTCCCTGGCTTTGGCGTCCCCACGTGCAACAGGAAAGGCGGGTCAGGGGAGTTCTGGACTGACCCAGGCCGCCCAGCTTCTCAGGGCTTGCGGTGGGCCTGCCATCCACCTCCAGGGCCAGCTGGGGTGGGGAAGGAAGCAGGACCTCCAGCCACAGGCCGATGGCTCCTTTGGGGAAACCGAGACTTCCATCTGCCTGGCACCTCTTCCCGCCCCGTTGGAAAAAGGACCCTTTCCCACGGAACCTGCACCAAGGCGATGGCCCCACTGGCTTTCTTGCTCCCCGGCCACACAGGGTGGACCCCTGGTCTAGGCCTGGCTCAGGGTAGGGTCCAGTCCACTGGCACTCAGGGAAGCGCTCCCTCTCCTGAGTCTCCAGTCCTGGGGGGTCGGTCCTTTTGGAGCCTTCTCTACAGTCCAGGGGCAGAGCCTGCCTTGGGAGGAGGCGGCGTGGAGGGTGTGATGGAGACCGGGCTGGTCTGAAGCCCTCTGAGCGGAAGGGAGCTCCTTCCCGGGGGCCGAGGACAGCAGGCTCAGCAGGCCAGACGGTGGTGGGAGGAACTGCAGGGTGCCGGGGTGGGCCGGGCACGTCCTTGGGCACCAACCAGGCGGGGCCGTGTGTGACAATTTTAGAAAGGATTTGATATTTGTTATTTCAAAAAAGGCATCCAAGCTGTCTCTGTGGGAAAGAACAGAACTCTGACCTTTCACCCATTCGATGGCTTAGTGCTGTTGTTATTTCAAATCATACACAGGGGGCACCCTGATCCTTCAGCGCCAGGGGCCTCAGAGGGTCTCAGCTGGAAGTTTGCATGCAGGGCCGGGCGGGTTTGAGTTGAGCACACAGAGCAGAGGGGTGGCAATGTGGGCACGACCTCAGCCCGGCACCCTGGCCTGAACCAGGCCTTGGCAGCCTGTCTGGGGCAGGCTGGGCTGTGCTGTGGCCACAGGAGGGGCCCGGTGGGGGCTGCATCCCCTCTGGCATCCCAGGGCCAGCCTGACTGCAGCCTCATGGCTCCTGAACACCCTCCAGCTGGGTCCCAGTGGTGCCCCTCAGGCCCTGTCCCTGGACCAGCCCTCACTCAGAGCCACCAAGGGGGTCTGTTGGGAGGGGGCTGGCCGGCCTCAACCTGCGGGCCCGGGCGTCTCACCTGTAAGGTGACCTGGACGGGACCAGACATGACCCCTGTCCTGCACAAGGCCCCCTGCGTGGTCCGGGTGCCTGGGCTTCCCCATCTGTAAAATGGGAGCGTGACCCTGACCTTATGCAGGGCTTGTGAGGGTCACCGGCTAGGCCTGCACGTGGTGCTCAGCGCCATACCTGGCGTCGTGGTCACTCGTCTTCCTGCTCCGCCCCCCGGGCCCTCCTGATGTCACGGAGACAGAGCCGCCTCCCTTCTGCCGCCCCCTCGCTCAGGGCGTGGTGGGGACTCCAGCTGGTTCTCCACGGCCTCCTGAGCAGGGGCTACAGCCTGGGCCACCTCCTCCTGCTCTGAGCACGCAGGCCAGAGAGCCCCGAGCGGAGGGCCGGGTGCGGTCTGTGAGGCTGCACACTCCTGCTTCTGGGGCCTTCCCCAGGCTGGGCTCGGTGTGACTGACGGAGGCTGCGGAGCTCTTCCGGCTCTGAGCCAGGCACGGAGGCCGGGCTGTGAGTCTCCAGAGGGGCTGTCGGACACGCACCTGAGGGTCCGTGAGGGCCAACGAGCCGTTCAGTAGCAAAGACCTTCCTAAGGGAGTGTGTCCTGGGGCAGGCTGGGCCCGGAAGGATTGCGGCGGGGGGCTGCAGCTGTGTAAGCACGGGGAGGGTGGCGCTAGCGAGGAGGAATTGCTGGGGAGCAGTCCTTGACTGGTGACTACACGCAGGGAGGATCTGGCTTGTGGGACCTTACCCTGGGGATGGCAGGGCAGGGTGGGGCGGGGCAGGGCAGGGCAAGGCAGGGCAGGGCAGGGCAGGGCAGGGTCTGGCTCTGTGCTGCCCACTGGGCTGTATCCACAGGGCATCCGCAGGGCCGCCAGACACTGCCCAAAGCCACCAGCACCCACCCTGGACTCTGCAGAAACCAGCCTTGCACCCTCAGGGAAGGCCGTCAGCCTTTGAGCCCCTGTGGGGGGACCTGCTGCCCAGCAAAGGTGTGGGAGTAGGGGCTGGGGACCCTACCAGGGGGCAGGCACTGAGGCTCTCCATGCTGGACTGTGCTGGGCCACACCTTCTTTCAGCCTTCCCAGGCCTGTGCCCAGGGGGCCCTGGGTTCTGGTGCCAGCAGGGAGGCCAGCCTGGGGTCCTGAGCCACCATCCCCCAGGGAAGGGCGCAGGCCAACGTCCTGACCCCTGCGTGTGCCTACCGTGGGCCAGGATTTGCTGTTCATGTGATCCTGCTCCATGCTGTGACGTCAGGGCTACTGTCACCACCTCACAAGGAAAGAAACAGGCTCTGAGAGAGAGGCCAGGGAGGGCCCCCAGCCACAGCCAGCCCTCAGCTAATCCAAGTCTGCATGTTCCACGTCCTGGGCTCAGCTCCCTGCCCTGCCTGGCCGGGAGGACGGGGACTTCTCTGGCCCTGGCCAGGGCCTGGCTCAGGCAAAGCATCCTGGAAGCTTCTGGGTTGGGGCAAGCACGGGATCTGACTCTCAGCCAGAGAAGAGAACCAGCCAGCGTTGTCCAAGGGAGGCCCAGCCACCCCTACCACACCCGGGAGGCAGCGAGCCTGCTCCAAGGGAGGGAGCTGGGTCTCTGGGCAAAGCAGACAGCGTGGGGTTCCCTGGAACCAGGAAGGGCGGTTGGCTCCCCTTGGCCAAGGGCAGGCAAGCATGGCCTCCTCCTGGAAGCCTGGGCCGGTTCCAGGCTTGGACAGAACAAGCTGGTTTTCACTCCGGCAGAGAACACGAGGATCCGGCCGAGCCAGCGACAGCCTTTCCAAGACACGTGGGCAGGCTGAGCAGCCCTGGCCCCAGGTCCCCTGTGGGCCTGCCAGGAGGCATGCCGCTGTGTCAGGGAGGCTGTCCTTAGGGGCGTGTGGGTAGCCAGTGAGGGGGACCACGGCCCCCAGCTCGGTGATGGATGCATTCAAGGCTGGGGCATCTCCGGCTGCCAGGCCCTGGAGCTTTGCAGGGTGCATCAGGGTTCCAGACCGCCCAGGCTTGAGCACAGCGCCGCCATGCACGTCTGTTGACTCTGGCGAATGACTCCTCACTTTCCCCAACTGCGGTACGGGCACCATCAAAGCCCCCGACGATGCAGCTCCAGGGACCCTGTGAGTAGCTCAGCCTGGTGTGGGCGGCCCAGACCCACCCACCTCCTGCCCTGGGACCTGGGTGCTGGGAGCCGTCTGTCCCGGCCTCATCACCGGCCACGCACTCCTGGGAGAGGTCTTTCCCATAATCACTCTGGGGTCCGAGCACGTCCTGCCCATCTCCTCAGGCCCACTTCCCTGCAAGGGGAAGGGGCTCCTGGCCCACAGAAGCCCCATGGGGCTGGGCCTGTGGGGCTGGACATGCTTCTTGAGCTGCAGAGGCATCTCACTCCCTCCTGTGGCCAAAACCCTCCAGAACCTGCCTGCTCATAAAAATGATGGCACACGCACTGTGCTGGGCCAGGGCTACGGAGCACCCAGACCAGGAAAGCTCTTGTGCTCCTGCCGACAAAGCCCACATGTAGGGTCAGTGGCTGGCACGGGGCAGTCTGTTCCCAGCTGAATATGCTCAGAACCTCCTTGGAAAAATCCCATATTGGTCAGGGCAGAGCCCCAGAAGACACTGGCCAAGGGCGCTGTCAGGATTTGGGGACTCTGGCCCTGGGGCCCAGCCCCCCACCGCCTGGCAACCTTGGAGAAGAGGCTCAGGGTGGCAGTGATGCAACAGGCCACCCTGCGCTGCTCCGACGGCCTCTACGGGCCGCCCTGCGCTGCTCTGATGGCCTGGCTTTCCACCCTGTCCAGCGTTGCCTGGGGCCCCGGGCCAGAGACTGGCCATGGCCCGCACCCCAGCCTCGGGTGGCCACCGGCAGAGCAGCGCAGGCTACTGCCCCTGGGGCCTGCTCAGGGAGTGGGAACCACCCCTCTCTCCAGGAAAAGATGTGGAGCCTCGTGGAATTGACCCGATCCCCACTGGCCACGCCGGGCAGCCTCGGACCAGCCTGATGCCCTCACCCAGCCCGAGGCCCCACTCCAGGGCCTCTCTCCCAGACAACTGTGCAGCTGCTGATGACTGAAGAGGGAGAAGGAGGGAAGGGGAGGGATAGAGCAGGCGCCCCAGGAGAGGGGCACCCAGGCCCTGCAGTGTGGACCTGGCATTCCAGCGCCATGGTGTGCATGAGCTGTGCTCTGCCAGGGCTCAGTCTAAAGGGCTGGGAAGCCCCATGACTGTGGGTTCCACACAGCGATCCGTGCCCACCGGCAGCAGGTGGCTTCCTGAGCCGCTGTCCCTGCGGGGAGTAGAGGCGTACCTGCTTGCTACCCGCCTGGGCCTCCAGATGGAGGTCTGGGCTTTGCCCACCAGCTCCAGCGGCCGCCGGGCCAGGAGGAGCATGGGGCCCATCGAGGGATCCCCCTTTCCTCTGCCAGCAGCAGGTGCCTCCCGGCTGCCCTGACCTCCACGTGCTGGGCTACTCTGGGTGCTCATCGCTGGAGGGTGGGAGCCCGGAGTCCTGCTCACAGCCAAGTGTCCTTGCGGTCTGGAGACCCAGGTAAAACAAGGCATGGGCTGAGGCTGCGCCTCCTGTGGGATGGGGTGCCTCGGCCCTGCAGGGGCCCAGCCTGTCCCTGTGGGTCTCCCTACTTTGTCAGGGGTTGGGTGCCAGCACCTCCCTTTCCCTCCTGGAGCCCAGCCTTCCTGCTCTCTCGCCGCCCGTCCTTGAGCTGAAGCCCCCCACCCGCCCCCTCCTCAGTTTTGTCCCCCAACCCCCCACCATCGTTATTTCCTTATTTAGGGCCCACACACCTCGAGGCAGCTGGGCCTTCCGAGAAGAAACTGCAGGCCCCATTCTGCTGGGACCTCTGGGACGGTGGCTCCCCGTGGTTCCGAGGCCCGCGGAGTCCAACCACCTTCTGTGTAATTTAGAATCGACCTGAAGAATCTCATTCTCAGCTCCCCAGGGAGCCCCCAGCCCGCCCCGGTTCCGGAGGCTGCTCTGCTTCCCAGGAGGAAGAGCCCAGTGACCTGATTTCACCCAAGGCCCAAGGAGGGGCCCGGCAGGGCAAGGAAAGCTTGGGGGAGCTGGATTGGGTGCCGGGTGCAGGGCTGCAGGCTGGACTCTGCTAGGACAGCCACCAGCAGCGGGCACAGCTGAGCCCATGCCTGCTTGAAACCAGCCAGGGCAGGTGGCAAAGGGCAGGCTGCACCCTCAGCCTGGAACCTCGCCCAGGGAACCGGGAGATGCCTCACAGGAGTGACTCGCACCTGCCCCTCTGGGACTCCCTGGACCCCACCCTGCTGGGGCGGCTGCATCACACACAGGCCCCTTCTGCAGCAAAATAAGGCACCTCGAAGAGGTCACAAGCTGAGAGCTCCCCAGTCTGGTGACCCAGCCCGTGCCGCCCTAACTGCTGGCCCTCAGTCAGCCTCGCTGGAATGGCCTCTGCATGCCCCATAGGCCCTCGTCTCCCTGGGCCACGCTGAGTGCTCAGCTGCCACGCCTGGCGTGGGGCGTAGTTAGGCCCCACCCGGATGTGGGACGCCCATGGCTCTTCCTCTCCTGTTCCGGAGCCACGGCCACACGAGCACAGGGGAATAGCACTGGACACAGAGCAGAGCCAGCCATGCCCCCAGGGAGGTGTGCACAGGCCAGAGAGTGCCAGGGAAGCAAGAGAGAGGGGCTGGGGGCAACAAGGAAGGGCGGGAGGGGCTGCCAGGACGGGGAGACAGGAGGGCTCCTGAGAGGAGATCAGATGGAAAGCACTGTTAGCTGGGGGGGAGAGAAGAAGGGGAGGAGGAGGATGGAGGAGGAAAGAGGAGGAGGATGAAGGAGGAGGGAGGAGGATGGAGGGCAGAGGAGGGAACTTGACAGTGGAGGGGGAGAGCTGAGAGCAGGGCAGGCCTGGGGTGCGGGGCCCTGGTGTTGCTGTGAATTCCAAGTAGAGTGCCAGCCTGTCCTTCCTTCCTCTGGAGTCTGGGGGAGACACAGGGGCTCTGAGTGGCCTTGGAACAGGCAGGTCCAGGCTGGTGTGGCTGAGGCTCTGGCAGCCACCGTTCCTCCCGCCTGGGACCACTCTGGGGAGGACCCCCAGGCTCCAAGGGCATGGAGAGGTCCTGCTAGGACCTAATGGAGCTGCAGGTCAGGCAGAGCCTGGAGTGTCCCTGCCATCCCAGGAGGGCCCCTCACTGGCCTGGGGAAAGTAGAGGCAGCCCAGACAGTCTGCAGCCACCTCCACCCAGGCCAGGTGGGGACAGGGCCCCTGGGAGGCAGAAGCAAGGGCAGTGAGAACCCGGCTGCTCCGTCCATCTCTGTGCTGGCCGAGCCCAGACAGACCCTCTTCCCCAGGGGATCCCACAGCATGCAGATGCTGCCCCCTACTCCAGCACCCTCCAGGGCTGCTGGGCAGACCCAAAGTCCATCCTAGACTAGCTCCACAATTGGGAAAGCCTGAATAACCACAAAACAAACCGAAGTCATTCTTCACTGTCCCTCAAGGAGCAGATGTTGGAGAAGTTTGAACCTACATGGGGCCAAAACCACCTAACCGGGACCACCTGCAACATGGCTCATTGTCCTTGCCGCCTGAACTCAGCACTCCCCTCTGCAGTGCCTGGCTGCAGAGGGGAGGGGCCACGTGGAAGGCAGCAGAGAAGTGGCTGGGCGCTGCATGGAGCATGGGCCGGAGGCCATCGGCCGCCATGGAGAAGGCGATCCCTCACCTGGCCAGCTGGTTTAATCCCAGGTCTGTGCTCTCAGCATCTGGCCCCACTTTTCAGCTGCAGCCCCCACCCTGTGTTGGTCACCCACAGGTCACCCTGAGCTGGACAGGCACACCCACTGCAAAGCTCAACTCCGGGTGTGAGGCTGAGGAGGCCGCAGGCACCGGGACGCTTTTGGAGACTGTGTGAGGGCAACACCACCGTTGGAAGAGACCCCCACGTGGGGGGCACGCCCGAGATGCACCCCAAGACATCCACGCCCTAAACCCTCTGACCTGCAAATGTGTTACTTTGCATGGCAGAGGGAACTGAGTGACCCTAACATGGGGACATTGTCTGGATCATCCGGGTGGATCCCCCGAGTTACAAGAGTCCAGAAAAGGAGAGGAGGGAGGCAGAAGACGAGAGTCCAGGGAGACACGAGGGTGGAAACTCAGCTGGTGGCTGCTGCTGGCTTCAACAGGCAGGAGGGGCCAGGAGCCGGGAACGTTGTGGCCTCTAGAAGCTGGAAAAGGCAAGAAAACGAATTCTCTCCGAGTCCCCAAAGAACACACAGCTCTGCCCACACCCTGGTTTCAGCCTAGTGAGATCTGAGTTGGACTTTGACCTCCACACTGTGGGCTCACAGGTGGACTTTTCAAGCTGTTCAGTTTGTGGCCATCAGTTAGAGCAGCCACAGGAGACTCCTCCACCACCTTTCCGAAGCCTGCAGCCCGGCAGAGAAAGGAGCACGTGGCCTGTGCACCGCCAGACTGCACGCAACACAGCTCCCACCATCACCAGGCACCTGCGGCGGGTCTGAGTTGTTCTGTAGACAGAAGTGTGTGGGGGTCCCAAGGCTGAGTGTGGCAGAGCCACCTGCTGAGGTCCTGGTCTACGGGGGTCTCCACCCAGCCTCCTGACCCCCATCAGAGCTGGCAGACAGCCTGGGAGGCCTCAGAGGCTGCGGGGCCAGGCCTCACCTGACGGGAGGGTTGCCAGGGCCTGAGGCAGGAGCACGGCCGGTCTGCGGTGGTGCGGGGAGCCATGCCGGGGGCCGAGATCAATGGGAGACCCCTGTGTCCTCGCTCACTGCGGCACACCCTCCAGTCACACCCTGCCCTGTGTCCTCTCCCACTGCGGCACACCCTCCAGTCACACCTTGCCCAGTTTAAAAGTTCACAGCCCAGGCTCTTCCAGGAACAGGGAGGGCCAGACTCCCAGACTGTGTGCAAAGCGGCTGCCCTGCCCTGGTGCTCAGCTCAGGGTGCAGACTCCTGGAGGGATGACGATGACAAGGATGACGATGATGCCGGTGCACACAGGACGCAGGGACCGCGGCGGCCATCACAGCACTGCACCTTGGAGGTGGGAAACCTGGCAGGGCCTGCACATTCCACGACGGGGGCAGTGAAGCCCAGTGACTGGGGAAATCACAGTGGGAACCGCCTGGAGGACGCGCCACAAGCTGATGGCAAGGCAGACGCTTGGCCTGTGAACCCCATGTCCTCTGTAACTGTGCTAGTGGTTTTGTGGTCAGAGGTCTTTTTGGAGAAGCATTTGGTGCTGTTGGCTCCAGGGTGGTTTCCAGGGGGAATGGGAATGCGTGCGGAGAGGCAGGCTCCCATGGGGCGTGGGGCTCAGGGCACAGGGCTGTGGTACAGGGCGCGGGGCGTCGGGCACCTGCTCACGTGGGCGGGGTGCCCTCTGCTGGTGGAGGTGGGCACGGCAGCGGGCTGGGCGCTGCGGGCTGGGCGGAGGGGGCTGCGCTGTGGCCCACAGGAGTTGGGGAGCATGGGGGGCAGTGTTCTGGCCACACTGTTCAGGGCCGTCTCCAGCTTCCGTCTCCAGTCCCAGGAGCCACTTCCACCTGCCGGCTCTGGGGGACTCGCTCTTTTGGGGGCCCTTGATATCTGAGGATGGGAGTCCTAGGAAAAGTGCCACCGTGGCCACCTTGGTCTCTTTCCTGAGAGACAGACTTGGCATTGATGATGCTCCCTGGGGAACGCCATTGCCCAGAGCAGCCAATCAAGCCACTCGGGTGGACAGCGTTGCTCAGGCGCTCCTGGCGTCAAGGAGGTTTTCAGGCCCCTGATCATGCTGGGTCCCGGGAACACCCCCTGGGCTGAGGCTCTGGAATCTGGGTGGGATGGTCTCTCCTAGACCCCCTCAGCGGGTGCCTGTCATCCACACAAGGCTCAGCCTCATAGGCTCCACGCCAGCAGGGACCATCACCGCCTCCATCAGGGTCCACATTTCCCCCACGTCGCGGGGCCTCTGCTGGCACCCAGCCTTCTATGCTCCTGCCACGAGCACGGCCTCCTTGGAGGATGGGAGCCACAGACAGGGCCAGATGACGAGGAGAGAAGGTGCCCCAAGACCTCCGTGTGCCCACGCCCCTCCCTTCGGGGACGGCCGGGTGCGTTCCTCCATGCCAGCCAGTCAGTGCAGAGCCTGCAGCCCACAGCCGCAAGGAGGTAAAGGCTGAGGTTGGCTGGGCCCTGTGGGATCCGCCTCACATCCACTCTCGGGTGCAGGCGGGAAGGAGGGGTCCGGATGGTGCCACCTGGTGATCTGGCACAGGCAGGTCCCTCATTGGGGTGATGGCTTCCCGGGGCCCTCCAGGCCCCTCCTGGCGGTGGGTATTGGTACCTCCTGTGCTTGGTGGCTGCCCGCGAAGCTGTCCCTCCCCTGCCCTCCCTCCCCAGGCACCTGCTACCCACCTGCTTACCGCGGGGGTGAGTACTTTCTGAGGACATGAAAAGGAGCCAGAGGCTGGCAAGAGGCAGGTGTTGGGGTCCAAACCCACGGTGCTCCGGGCTCTGAGGAGGCTGCATCCGGCTGCTGAGGTGGGTTGGGGGCTGGGGTGGTCCTGACTTAGGCGGCAGCAGGGAAGCACATCCCAAAAGGGAGGCTGGCTGGGAATGTGGGGCTGGCTGGGGAATTCAGGCGGCACCTGGGGCAAGCCACCCTGCCTCAGTTTCCCCTTCAATCAATCATCTTGCCTTTACACCCACCCAATGTCAGCCTCTAACATCCGGTGTGGGCAGAGAGTTGGCACACCTGCCTGTACTGAGATCCTGCAGAGATCACTGTCCACACTCTGAGGCCAGGGCTTGGCAGAGATGCTGACCCCCTCCAGGCACCTCCAAGGGGCTGCAGAGACTGACAGCCCAGCCAGGCCACAGGTGAAGAGGGCTTGAGCTAGACCAGGCCGTCCGCAGGGGCAGAGGATGAGGGCCCTGACCCAGCAACACTGCACAGAGGCTCTGGGCTCCTGCAGGGGCCACGATCACCCCCAGGAGCCACCTCCACTGGCTGGAAGTGCTGCATGGGCTCCTGCCGGGGTTCTGTGGCACCTGCTGCCCACCTGCTGCCCCGCTGGAGTGAGTGCAAAGGTCTGGAAGTGCTGGAGAGCCCACAGGGAGATGGGCTGGACAGCCCAGACCCCAAGGCAGCTTCCTTCACGCAGGGTCGCGCTCAGGAAACGATGGCCTCCTGGCTCTCACCTGAGCACACGTGGCTTTCTGCATGGTTTGTCCATGCATGTCCCATTGGCTCCCAGCATTGCCATCATCTGCCAAGCATTGCGGTTGCTGGGGAATGAAGTTGTCATCTCCCAGTGACAGCATGGCCTGAACCTTGCTCCTCTCCCAGGACCCAAGCTCCCTGCACGGAGGACAGAGCATGGTCCTTGCTCCATCCAGGCTCCACCCACAACACCCTGCATCCTCGCAGCCCAGGCAGGGTGCCCCTGTGGAGGGGACACCATGCCCTGCCACGCAGCCTCAGAACAGCCTCCTGGAGGGCACACGCTCCTGTCCCTGGGCCGTGCGGACACTCTGGCCACACGTGTGTGAGGGGCCTCATGGTCTGGAAGCGGTGTGGTGGCAGCCACATGGCAGGGCCAGCACCAACTCACACCTCAAAGCATGTCGTGTCTTGGGGAGGCCGTGGCCAAGGTGGCCGCCTGGCTCAGCCTCTGTGGTCCTTGGGCCCTGGTCACAGGACTTCCTATGCAACATGATGATGTGCCTGACATGGGGTCTCAGCGGGAGCAATCAGCTTCAGTGCAGGGTGTGCAGCAGAGCAGGCACCAGAATGCACACCCAGGACTGTGTCCCCCCAGGACTGTGCCCATCATGGACTATACCCCTCAGACTGTGGCTGCTGGTAGGATGCACCCCCTGTGGACCGCCCCCCATGACTGTCACCCCCACAGTGCCCCTCTCAGGCTGTATCAGACGCCCTCTGTGAAGGAGCAGGCTCTCCGGAGCAAAGGAGGCACAGGAGCTTTGCGGAGACATGTGCCATTTCCCCAGCCCCACCTGTGCTCCATAAGGACCCTCCTCAGACCTACAGAGAGGGGCTGGCCTGGAGGGTCAGCCTGGGAGCAGGGCTGGGAGAACTGAGACCCCCACAGCTGGGACCCTGAGCACCAGCACCCTGGCCTCATTGGTGACCTGAAGTCCTGCTGTCTCCACCCACAGGGCTCCATCCCCGTCTCCAGGGACTCCTGGCACCCTGAAATGCAGACTAGCAGCTGGCTCCCAAGGTTCTGAGATCTCTGGCCTCAAACCCCTGGCCTGGCTTTCCCTCTGCTGCTGGACTGTGGTATCAGGTCCTTCCCTGCACTGAAAGGCGGCCTTCGACCCGGCCTCCCATCCCCACACGCCCCAACTCGTGCTCCCTTGGCACAGGGCCGCTGGCTCCTCCCACACCTGGCCACTGAGCAAGTGGGGGCCAGGGGACCGCAGCTGGGAGGGACTCGGGAAGCCTGCCCAAGTTATCCTACCTTAGCCGGAACTTCTGAGTCGTCCAGTCCCGGCTGTGGGCTGCCCATCCCTCCCTACGTGCTGGGCTCACCTGCCACCAAAACGGACAAAAATGCCAGGAGATGCCGACCCGTCCTCGGCCACTCGGGGCAGCCGGAGTGTCCTGTCCACCTGGGATTTGTGCTGCTGTCACGGTCGCTCACACATCATCCTCTTTGAGACGTCAGTTTCAAGACTTTTCCACGTGGGGTCACCATGGCTGAGGACTCAGGCTACTCAGAGGAGCTTGGCGCATGGGCCTGACCCCAGCGTGGATGGATGCCCATCTGGGTCTCTGTGCTGCTGGAACTGGAGTGGAGTTGGAAGAGAGGCGCTTCAGAGCTGCTGGAGACAAGCACACCCCAGGCCCATGGGAAACCTGGTCAAGGCTGGCCACAGCTCAAGCTTGCCATCCCAGATCTTTGGGAGGCCGAGGCAGGAGGATCACTTGAGGCCAGGAGTTCAAGACCAGCTTGGTCAACTGAGAGAAACCTCATCTCTACAAAAATAAGTTTAGAAATTAGCTGGGCATGGTGGCGCATGCCTGTAGTCCCAGCTACTAGGGAGACCGAGGTGGGAGGATCTCTGGAGCCTGGAAGGTTGAGGCTGCCCAGCCTGGGCAACAGAGTGAGACCCTATGTCAAAAAGAAAAGAAAAGAAAACCCGTTGGGGGCTGCTGCCTGGAAAAACCACACCCAGGCAGAATTCAGTACTGCCACGCCCCTTCTGAAGTTTGGTTTGAAAATATGGCCATTGCACCTCAGATAATCATGTTTACACTTCTTGACAGTGGAAATTCTTTACCCGGAATCATGCTGGGGTCTCGAGGCCCACAGCGGGACGCCCAGGGCTGCTCTGGTTCTGAGGTGGCTGGGGTGGTGGCTCTGACCCCTTGGCCCTACCCTTCTGGACTCACGCTGGTCACCGGGTCCTGCAGCCTGTGCCCTCTCCCCTGAGAGGACTGGGATGACCTTAGAATTCGTCCAAGAGTGACTGCAGCCCTGGAGTCTCGGACGTTCGTTTTGAGGTGTGTGCAGCTGGGCTCCAGTCTAGGGCCTATCTCTGAGCTGAGAATAACCGCACGCGGTCCCGTGGTTCACGAGGGATCGGTGCAGGCTGCGGGGAGATAGACGTTTGTGTGCCGTGGGGGAAGGGGGGCCCTGGGCTCCCTGCGCACCTCTCCCTGGAGACTCAGAACTAGAGACCTCGCCACTAGACCCACAGACGCTGCCCATTGCTCCTGGGATGGCTCCGCAGACGTAGCCTCCTGATGCGGCCTCACCCTGGCAGCCTGCGAAGAAGCCACATCTTTACCTTACGGAGACGGCTTCTTTCCTTAAACCTCATGAACCAACCTCTGTGGACTTCAGACTTTTCTTCTGCAGCTTCCTCACCCTCTCCACCTTTGTGGAGTTGGAGAGAGTTAGGGCCTTGCTCTGGTCGAGGCTCTGGCTTAAGGGAGGGTCATGGCTGGTTTGATCTTCTGTCCGGACCACTCGAACTTTCTCCACATCAGCAAGGAGGCAGTTTCACTTGTTGGCAACTGTGTGTCCACTGGAGTAGCATTTTAACTTCCTTCAAGGACATTTCCTGGGTATTCATAACTTGGCTCACTGGTGCAAGAGGCCTAGCTATCGACCTTGGCCTTCACCTGCCTGCCTCACTCAGCTTAGCCATGTCCAGCTTGTGATTTAAAGCGAGAGACCAGCAACTCTTCCCTCCACTTACACTTAGAGGCCATCGTGGGGCTCTGCTGTGACGTGTCATGAAAGGGGCACACCTGTGGGGGACAACACAGCCTCTGCACAGTCTCTTCTGAGTCCAAACTCGGGACCACGCCCTGGTGCCTCGGAGAGGGGCCAGGGAGCCGGGGCTTGGCCACCCACCTCTGTGCCTGGGGTCCTGACCTGTCCCTCAGCCCACGGCGCGGTGTGCGGCACCTGCCACGGGCCGTCCCGCCCTGGTCTTCGCTGTGTCTTCTCCACCTGGGAAAGCTCCAGCTTCAACCCTGGGGCTCAAAGCCAGAAGGCTCCTGCCCCTACACCCTCCTATGAGCCTCCTCCGGGCCCTATTTAGCAAATGGTTATGCAGGTACATTCATGCATAAAGACTCGGTTCTCTAAGTCCCTGCTCTAGAAAGAAGTCATCGTGTCCCCCTCTCGCAGCCGCCGCGTCTGTTTGTAAGCCCTGCAGGGGCCACTCCGGAACGACCCCCCGGGCCC
The DNA here is from genome assembly GCF_000001405.40 of Homo sapiens. Taxonomy (NCBI): domain Eukaryota; kingdom Metazoa; phylum Chordata; class Mammalia; order Primates; family Hominidae; genus Homo; species Homo sapiens. The sequence continues at coordinate 132,453,355 of NC_000010.11, read as the reverse complement.
CGCCCCGCGGCCACGCGGGGACGCGATGCTAGGAGGTGTCGGCAGGGGGCGCCGCTACACCGTCCAGCCCCTTTCCGGTTCCTGCGGGGCCGGCGGGGGGTGGAGCCAGCGCCCGCCCTGCCCCGCGACCCCGCCCCTGGGAAGTCCCCGCGCACGGGACTCGCGGGGCCTTCCGGAGCCGCCTTGGACAGGTGCCCGGGGCTCTGCTGTTTGCAGAAGCGTCACCACCTGCAATTTTCTGCACATTCTGCAGAACAGTGTTGGGGGGTGGGTAATGTGATCCTGGGGTACAGAAGGGGAAACCGAGGCACAAGAGATTTATCCTAACCTGGCCTTAAATCTGGCTGCTGGGAAGTGGCCACGCAGGGCCTAGTGGTTCACTCTTCCCCTGTCCTTCCCAGGCCCCGCCCCCCCCAATCCCTGGTGGACTGGCCCCTAGGTGGGCTGTGGGCACTGGGAGATGTTCCTTGCGGGGCTCAGTCCTGGGGCCTCCTGCACGGTGCTGGGTGGATCTGCCTAGCCGGGACTGCCAGGGCTGAGGTGCTGGAAACACTCAGGTTCCTAGGTAGGGCTCAGCCCCCAGGGGCAGGAGGTGAGGGGTCATCCTTCAGCCTTAATGGCCAGGCCTGACTGGGGCCTGGCAGGTGCAGCAGGACGGGCTACTTGGATCCCTCAGACCTCCAGTCCCTCCCTCCCAGCTCCATGGCCTCCCAGAGGTCCCCAGCCAGGACACAGGCCTTTCCAGAGCTGCCTGGGGAGATCAGGGTCAGGGTGCCCCTCCCTGGTGGATCCTGCCGCACATGGAGAGGGTGGTCTGCCTGAGTGGCGCCGGCACCTCGTGCAGTGTGAGGTCCCAGGCGCAGCGTGGGCGTCTAGGCACAGTGCGGGCTCCCAGGTGCAGCGTGGGTGACAAGGCACAGTGTAAGCTGCCGGGTACAGCGTGGGCACCCAGTGCCTGGGGGAGCTGCATGCTGGGTGGCAGCTGTGTCCTTCTGTATGGGACCAGCAGAGGGTGTCACGCCCCTCTAGGGCAGCGCTGACCACCCAGAGACTGCAGGGTCGGGTCCCTGGGCAGCAGAGGGCCCTAGGGCTAGGCAGGGCCATGCTGGGTGCCTCTGGTGCTGGAGCCCTGTGGCACCTTTGGCTGGACCCTGACATGGGCTCCCCACCCCACCCTCAGGCCCAGGCGGCTCCAGTGGCCACTCAAGGGCCACGCCCCAGGTACAGTGCATGGCTTTACCTGGAGGGTATGCGGGGCCACCCCCAACACACATATCGCTGTCCCCTTTCCCCAACACACGGACGGCTGTCCCCTTGGGCTCAGCTCCTGCAGGCGGCTGCAGCGTGCTCCCTGCCAGACTGTGGCAGCCAGCGCAGGGGTCCCGGCACCCCAGCATGCCCCACCCAGCACCCTGCTCTTCCACAGGGAGATGCTCCCCTCTTGCCTTCCGTGCCACCTTCCCCTCTGGCCCTGAACATCCTGATTTCTTCCTCCACAGCCAAAGTGTCAGCCAGGGGCTGCCTGCAGGTCCTCACCCACTAACTCACTCATTCAGCAACCGCAGGTGAGGCAAGCCTCTGTGCTGACCCGCCGGGCGCCGCCCCTCTGTTGCGCATGGTCTCCTGGGAGAAGGTTCCTGGAGGCAGGAGCTGCTCCCCTGCCCAGGATGGGGCCAGCAGGGAGGCAAGGGGTGGCCACGAGGTGGTCACCCATTCCCCTGGAATGCTGTGTTTTGGGGGGCCCTTGTCAAGTGAAGGTAATGGCTCAGCTGTTTTGGGACAAGCCCATCTGAGCCTGGAGCATGGTTTGGAACAGCCAGAGCCTGGAAGGTGCTGGGGGAAGCTGCCTTTGCATCTGAGCCCTGTCCAGGTCCCAGCCAGCTCCCAGCCCTGCGTGCTCCAGGCCAGGTGGGCTCAAAATGTACCCTGAGCTCTGAGAGGGCAAGAGAGGGGCTGACATAGACCTGGCATAGAGTGGGGCGCAGTGCTTGGCGGGCCCACCCCTCGCCCTGCCTGTTTCCAGGATTCAGTTCCCCTATCTGCGAACTGTAGAACCAAAGCGGACATCCCCAGGAATTCTAAGACGCTCAGACTCCAAGGACCCTCCCCCATTCAGCCAGGGGCCGCCCCTTCATTTCCTCGGGCCAGGCCTTGTAAAGGGTGGGCCCCTCTGAGGACCTCCAGAAAGCTGATCCTCCTGACTGGGGGGCTGTGCCCTGGGCTTTGGAACATGAGGGGGGGCCCAGAGGTCAGCCCTCCCTCAGCTGGCCCAGGTCCATGTCCAGTGACCTGTGGGACCCTCAGAGTCTGTGCTGGCTGGACACACTCCTGCCACTCCACCCTGTGCTGCAGTGTCCTGGGACCAAGGCTCCTTGACAATGACCAAGACCTTTAGGTGGTTTCTGCACCCTCAAGGAGGGGGGATGTGCAGGGGAAGGACAAGGAGAAGTGGGGGCCTGGGGGGCACGGGCCTGGACTCCCAAGTCCAGGGTGGCTGACGTGAGGGCAGGGGGCCTCTCAGGGGAGCCCCAGGGTGACCACCCTGCCCCCCACTCTCCCTTCACGAAGGCCACACCGCAAAATCCACAGGATAGGACAAATACCTCAGTTTGGGGCCAAGTCCGCCCCTTCCCACCAGCAGAGGCCTGGGGAGTCCCTCCCCGCACACAGATCCCCAAACACTCAGAGCCTGCCCTCTGTCTCCTTCCTTCTGTCACCTTCTCCAGGGTCCATGGTGGGGGCTGGGATGGCAGGACCTCGGCGGGGAAGAGTGGGAGTGGGGTGCCTCTGAGCACGGGAGGGCCTTCTCAGGGCAGCAGCCATGGCCCAGGAGCCTCCTCAGTCAGGCTGGGGAGGGGACCGGGGTGGGGGATGGGGTCGGGGCTGGGGTGGGGGTTGGAGTAGGGGTTGGGGTGGAGGCTAGGGTGGGGCCTGGAGTGGATGTTGGGGTGGGGGTTGGGGTGGATGTTGTGGTGGGGGCTGGGGTTGGGGTGGGGATTGGGGTGGGGGTTGGGGTGGGGGTTGGGGTGAGGGCTGGGGTGAGGTTGGGGTGAGGACTGGGGTGGGGGCTGGGGTGAGGGTTGCGGGGCTGGGGTGGGGGCTGGGGTGAGGGTTGGGGGCTGGGGTGGGGGTTGAAGTAGGGGCTGGGGTGGGGGTTGAGGTTGGGTGGGGGTTGGGGTGGGGGCTGGGGTGGGGGCTGGGATGCCTCCAGTCTGCCAGGGCTTCGAAGTGGCCATCATGAGGATCGGGCATTGGGGAGCCGGTGCCCACCCACCCACTCATGAGCTCCCCAGCAGAGGAGGCAGGCCCCAAGGCTGCCAGTGGGGAGATCCCTGGCTCCCGGGTGAGATCCACCTGCCAGGGGGCTCCACCGACTCCCCGAGCACCCCCCACCCCAGCAGCCCTACTTCCTCCCATTACCTGGGAAAGGCCAGCCCGTCGCCACAGACCTGCATGGGCATACTGGCTCCGTGTCAAAGTCAGACATGAATATTTCACGAGCGGCATCATAAATAATGCAATTATTTAGAAAGACACTGAATATTTTATAGACCGAAGTGCAGCCCAGTTTAAAGAGGGGATCCACATCATGAGGGGCTGGTTTTCTCGTCCACGTGCTGAAGGCCAGAGTGGCACGGGGGGGCACACCTGGTACCGGCTCCAGAGTGGCATGGGGGGGCACACCTGGTACCGGCTCCGGCTGCAGCCCCCACCCCCGCTGACCCCACGTGTCCTCATCAGGGTCCCTTTGGGCCCCACACCTGCCTTCCCAGAGCATCCCTCTGCTTTAGGGGAGTAAATGGAAGCTGGGTTCCTGGAGAACAGACAGAACCTTCCAGGGCCCAGGGCCTTCCACCTCCTTCCTCCACCTCCTGGGCTCCGTTCTCCATTTCTCCTCCCAAATGGAAGTTTCTTTTCGGATTTTTACATCTTCCGTAATGAATAGCTTTTCTAGTACTTTATTTTATTAAAACTTATAATTTATTTTGAAAACCAAAAGCCCGAGACAAAGGCGTGAGTCCCATAGGAAGTGCTGGGGTGAGGTGGGCAGGACCAGGCAGGGGCTGGGGCAAGGGTGGGAGGGGCCAGGCCGGACTGGGGCAAGGGTGGGAGGGGCCAGGCCGGACTGGGGCAAGGGTGGGAGGGGCCGGGCAGGACTGGGGCAAGGGTGGGAGGGGCCGGGCAGGACTGGGGCAAGGGTTGGCGGTGACACGAAGGGTTGGGACGAGTGGGAGGGGCCAAGCAGGGGCTGGGCAAGGGTGGGAGGGGCCAGGCCGGACTGGGGCAAGGGTGGGAGGGGCCAGGCCGGACTGGGGCAAGGGTGGGAGGGGCCAGGCCGGACTGGGGCAAGGGTGGGAGGGGCCGGGCAGGACTGGGGCAAGGGTGGGAGGGGCCGGGCAGGACTGGGGCAAGGGTGGGAGGGGCCGGGCAGGACTGGGGCAAGGGTGGGAGGGGCCGGGCAGGACTGGGGCAAGGGTGGGAGGGGCCGGGCAGGGCTGGGGCAAGGGTGGGAGGGGCCGGGCAGGACTGGGGCAAGGGTGGGAGGGGCCGGGCAGGACTGGGGCAAGGGTGGGAGGGGCCGGGCCGGACTGGGGCAAGGGTGGGAGGGGCCAGGCAGGGCTGGGGCAAGGGTGGGAGGGGCCGGGCCGGACTGGGGCAAGGGTTGGCGGTGACACGAAGGGTTGGGACGAGTGGGAGGGGCCAAGCAGGGGCTGGGCAAGGGTGGGAGGGGCCGGGCAGGGCTGAGGCAAGGGTGGGCGGGGCCAGCCAGGGTTGGGGTGAGGTGGGCGGGTCAGGCAGGGCTGGTGTGAGATGGGTGGGGCCAGGCAGAGCTGGGCTCCCTCAGGCCTGGGAGGGGCCGAGGTCCCAGTGGTTAGGGCAGCCTCATCTGGGAAAGGGACCCTCCTTCTCCTTCTTAGGCGGTCTTCTCTTTTCCTCCTTTGTGGTTAGAATTAATACTGTTAACGTTCTTCTCGGGCTGTAATTAACCGTCTTGTTAGCCCTGGCTGTCGGGGCTGATTTTCCCTTATTCTCTCAGTGTCCGGTGTTTCAGCCTGGAGCCATCACTTACTTAGTATTTTAATTAGGAATTTTGACAGGAGATTTGTTTCCTGCCTCTGCCCTCTGCCTTCTCCCGGAGATAAGGGATTGTGCCTCTGGAGACCCCCAGGCTCTAGACCTGCCCAGGGCCAGCGGCAGTGGGCGGAGAGGGTCCTCTCCCCTTGGGTCAGCCCGGCCTGGCCTCCCAGGCTCACCGCCTGCCCCTTGAGGGCCCAGAGCCGCCATTCCCCGCTTCAGGCTTCGAAGGCCGCATTCCTGAAACCCTGACTAACAGACGCCTGTTCCCACAGGCCCAGCCCAGAACTGGCTCTTCCAGCCGCCTGTGAGGCTTGATCTACCACGGGAGCTGCCTCAGCCAGGTCTGGGCCACTGGAGTGCGGAGGCCGCGGGCGCCCGGAGGCAGGGGCGCTGGGGTGCTGGGGCTGACGCAGAGAAAGCGCTCTCGTGGTCTGGGGTTGGCCTTGATGAGAAATGGGCGACGTGCTTCTTGTCTGAGGTTTCTCTGTGAACAGGAAGCTGAGAACCCATGTGTACTGAGTTATCCTGGGTGCCTGTGGTCTTTTGAGAGGTGGGGAAGTGGGCGAGAGGGAGAGATTAATTCAGACAAGAAAGGAGGGAAGGGGAGAGAAGAGGGAGGAGGCTGCACACAAGAAGGGGCCCGACTGGGAGCCCCTCCATCCCCCACCCCGTTAGGAAAAAGCCCAGTGGACCTCGCCCTGCCAGGCCCTGCCTGAAGCACCTGGGTGTGATCAGCCTGGCTTCCCCAGGGCCCCACTGCGCCCCCACCTTCAGTCCCTCCAGCCCAAGTCTGGGCCACGTGGAGGCTCTGAGAGCCTGTCTACACCACTGCCTGGGGCAGCCCTCCTTGGGCCCCAGGGCTGGGCTTCTGGGCCTACGGGTGACCCCTGCTGCTGGAGGGAGAGGCCCTCTGCCCAGTCCCTGGGTCTCTGGCCATCGGGCCCCAGAACCGCTTCCTGATGACCCTCGGATTCAAAGCTGAGGCAGGAGGGGTTTTCAGGAAATCCCAGCCGCAGGAATCCCAGGCACAATCCCACAGCTGGGCCTGGTGCCCCTCTACCAGGGGCCGGGCTCAGGGGCTCCCATGGGCCTCTCAGGGGACCCCCACCCATGCGTTGATTCATGCACTTCCTGCCCTCCCCCGCCCCAGCAGCTGCTCCCGGCCACCTTTCCCTCCTCTCATTGACCCCTGACCTGCCAGTGCCAGGGGCCCCCCAGAGCCGCATGGAAGGTCCTGCTCAGAGAGCACCTGGGCACCCAGCCTCTCCTGTCCCTCCTCTTGCCCCTCCTCCTCCCGCTTCTCCCAGCTCCCGCCCTTCACTTCCTCTGTGCCCTCCCACAGTGAGGCAGCAGGGGGCAGAAAGGCAGGCTCTTCCGGGCCCTCCCAGGCCTCCCAGCACCTGAGGCCTCCTCAGCCTGGACCAAGTGCGGGGTGCCCAGGCCCCTGCTGTGGCTCTGGAGAAAGGCCAGGCTCCTTCCCAGCAGGGTGGGCATCCTGCCAGCCCGAGCAGCTGAAGCACTGACCTCAGGACCCCCACCTCCTCCTGCCCACCCCACCCTCCTGTCTGGGCCAGGCCGGCGGGCCATCTTGCACCTTCTGCCTGGGTCTAGCCCTCATCTCTCCTTCCTCCCACTGCCTAGGTCCCTTCGGTACTCCACTGCCCACAAGCCCCTCCAAGCTGGGGCACGGGCCATCCGGCTCAAGGCTGGGCCTCGCCAAGGCCCACAATAGCTCACCTGCTAGTGCTTCTACCCCGGGCCTCTCCAAGAAGCTGCTGGAACCTCCCCACACGCCTCTGCAGGTCAAGGGTACCCAGGGCCCACCCTGAGGCCCCTATGCCCTCGCCCTGGCCCCACCACGGGGCTCCTCTGCCCAGACGTCCCAGGTCCAGAGTGGAGGCTCAGCCTTGGGCCTCAGTCCGCTCCCGGCCCGGATGTGAGGGTGGGTCGCAGCTGCACGGCCTCGCTGCCCACCAGGCCTGCGGAAGGGAGGACACGCCCTCCCACAGACCCTGTGATGGCGGCTGCCATGGAAGGTGTCTAGGCCCTTTTGGGCATCCCCTGCCCCCGTCTAGGTCCCCAGGTACTTGCAGAAAAGAAGGGGTGAGCACAGCCTTCTGTAAGGGGGCGCCCGAGTCCTGGCCAAGGTGGCCGCCCACCCTGGGGCTCCACAGTCCAGGCAGCCACCTCTTCAGTCTCTCCCCTTAATGTGGGGCAGAGTGGATAGAGGGACTCCCTCCTCTGACCAGCCAGGCAGGCAGGGAAACCCGGGCACGGGAGCCCAGGGCTGGTGGCCATGCCCTGAGGGAACTGGCTGCACTTGCAGCCCAGGCCACAGGCCCCAGGACACCCCAGACCTCTTGGCAGGACCCCAGGGTTAAAAGGCAGTTTGTGGCGCCACTTCTCCCCTGATGATGGACACCTTGAAGGGGCTCTGGGCACCAGCGGAACAAACGTCATAGGGAAACTCAGCAGCTGACCTACCACCAGGACCCACCTGTCCTCTGCCCTCCCAGAATCCTGGTCATGCGTCCAGCAAGCTCCCAGGGAGGACACGCCAGGCACTGGGCCCATGGACACGCTGTAGAGAAACGCCGCAATCGTTAGGGGCATGTGACTAAGACGCCTCCTTCCCATAGGCACCCACGGGGTGCGGCTCTTTCCAAAACGCCACATTAAAACAGCTGCAGGAGGACCGAAGGGGCCTCGTGCCCATCCCCTGCTGCTACTCCCCAGCCCGCCCTCAGCCTCCTGCCGCTGGAGCTCTGCCCACCTGCACACCCCACTCTTCTTCATCCCCAGCCCCATAAGCGAGACTACCTTGAGGCCAGTAGGTGCTTCCTGAGAGTTTAGGAATAACAGGGGAACTACAGCAAATAGCAACAATTTTAAAAGCAAACAAGGCATCAGCCCTTGCCATCCTCAAGCCGTGACCACCCCTGCCCAGGACGGAGCTCCAGCGGCTGCACACTTCCCCCAGGGCTCGCCCTGCAGCTACCTCTCAGCTCCTGGGAGGAAACTCCACATTTCAGCTGCTTTATACCCAGAGAAGCCTCCTGCCTCCCTTCCCAGTCCTGGCAGATCCTGGGCCTCTCCTGCCTGCCTGGCCTCTTGGAAATAACTGGCTGAGCCTCTCTGTGTGTCTGGCACAGCATGGGGCCCAGAGGCCAGAGCCACCGGAGGTACCCTGCAGAGAGGGTAGGGTTGCAAAATCCTCCCCCCCACCCCCACAACTGCAGAACACACCCTGGGCCCAGCTGGGCTCTAGAGGTGCCCAGGAGAGGGAACTGAATTATTTCAGGAATTGGAGATGCCCCTGTGGCTGAGGAGGAGCTGGGGCTGGGGCCGGGGCCAGGGCCGGGGCTCTGACCTGCCACTCTGCCCCACATTAAGGGCAGAGACCGAAGAGGTGGCTGCCTGGACCTTGGAGCCCCAGGGTGGGCGGCCACCTTGGCCAGGACTCGGGCGCCCCCTTACAGAAGGCTGTGCTCACCCCTTCTTTTCTGCAAGTACCTGGGGACCTAGACGGGGGCAGGGGGCCTGGGGGTCTGGGCCTGGGGGCCAGACCCTCCATCATTTCCTAGGCTGGTGCTCAGAAATGGAGGAATCTCAGGACAGGTCCCTGTGGTCTACGGGGTGGCAGGCCTGAGGCTGGCCCTCTCTGCAGAGGACACCTTGGGGGCTGCTGATCAGCCTTGAGGCCAGAGATGGCTCTCACCTGCTTCCCCGTCACAGGACCAGCACTGTCAGCCTCACCTGGAGGCTTTCTGCAGGGCTGGTTCTCTTGTCCCATCAGTGTCTGTGTGGGGTCACCCTGTTCCCCTAGGAGGGTGGGTCTGCAGGGGGGAAGCCAGAGTGGCCCTTGGAGACCTCAGGACCCCAGAGGGAATGAGCAGGGAGCCTTGAGGGTCTGGAGGAGGAATTCAGAGAGGCAGGAAGCCGGGGAGCCCTGAGGAGAGGCGAGAGGGAGTGAGCGAGCGGGGGAGGGAGTGAGGGGGGAGGGAGCCCTGAGGAAGGGGAGGGGAGTGAGCGGGGAGGGAGTGAGGAGGGAGGGAGCCCTGAGGAGAGGGGAGGAGAGTGAGTGGGAGTGAGGGGGGGAGCCCTGAGGAGAGGGGAGGAGGAGTGGGGGGGTGGGGAGCCCTGAGGAAGGGGAGGGGAGTGAGCAGGGAGGGAGTGAGGCGGGGAGCCCTGAGGAAGGGGAGAGGGAGTGAGTGGGGAGGGAGTGAGGGGAGGGAGCCCTGAGGAAGGGGAGTGGGGGGAGGGGAAGGGTGAGGCAGGAAGCCAGGGAGCCCTGAGGAGAGGGGAGAGGAGTGAGGGGGAGGGGAAGGTGTGAGGGGAGTGGGGGTTGAGAGGAGAGGGAAGGAAGGGAAGGGGGAGGGGAGGGCGATGGGGGAGCCCCCACAGACACCCCAGCTGCTGGCTGGGCGCTGGGCACCCCCCAACCGTTGGGCCTTGCTCCCACTAGGGGCAGTCGTGTCCCAGCCCCACAGTCAGGTCTGAGTCAGGGACCCGTGGCGCCCGCCCTCCCTCAGCTGAGCTCACCAACAGCTGAGAAATATTCATTTAAAAAAGCCCCCATTAAAGAGCTAACTCATTGCTGACACTGCAACTTTTTATTTTATTTTATTTTATTTATTTATTTATTTTGGAGACGGAGTCTCGCTCTGTCGCCCAGGCTGGAGTGCAGTGGCGTGATCTCGGCTCACTGCAAGCTCCGCCTCCCGGGTTCACGCCATTCTCCTGCCTCAGCCTCCCGAGTAGCTGGGACTACAGGCGCCCGCCACCACGCCTGGCTAATTTTTTGTATTTTTAGTAGAGATGGGGTTTCACCGTGTTAGCCAGGATGGTCTCAGTCTCTTGACCTCGTGATCCACCTGCCTTGGCCTCCCAAGGTGCTGGGATTACAGGCGTGAGCCACCGCACCTGGCCTTATTTTATTTTATTTGAGACAGAGTCTCACTCTGTTGCCCAGGCTGGAGTGCAGTGGCACGATCTCAGCTCACTGCAACCTCCGTCTCCTGGGCTCAAGGAATTCTCCTACCTCAGCCTCCCAAGTAGCTGGGACTAAAGGCGTCCCCCACCATGTCCAGCTAATTTTTGTGTTTTTAGTAGAGATAGGGTTTCACCATATTGGCCAGTCTGGTCTTGAACTCCTGACCTCAGGTAATCTGCCCACCTCGGCCTCCCAAAGTGCTGGGATTACAGGTGTGAGCCACCACACCCGGCCTGCAACTTATTTTTATATTAAAAAATTTGAGTCCTTAGAGGACGGAGGCCTACAGAGCCATGGGCCAGGCAGAGCAGAGGCAAGAAGGCAGAGGTGAGGGTGGCACCGTCCCCTGCCGGGGCCTGCAGTGTCATCTGGGGCTGGATCTCCAGGCCCCGTCCTCCTGCGACCACCTCGCTGCCCATGTGAACCTGTGGTCAGCCCCGGGGACCTCGGGGAGGCAGGAGGAAGTGTGCACCCTGCCCTGCCTGCTGGCTGGGAGCCCACGGGGTGGGCAAGGGGTGGGCAATGCCTTGTGACGTCTCCCATGTGGCTTCCTTCATTTTTTCTGAAGTGCCCTGGTCCTTTTCCTTCTTTTTAAACATTTTATTGTGGATGTGTCCCACCCCACTTAAGGAAGAGTCTAGTACCTCATGCCGGCCGCCCCGTCCTGGCCCCCCGCCCATTCCGGCCCCCCCATTCCGGCACCCCATTCCAGCCCCCCCATTCCGGTCCCCCCATTCCGGCCCCCGCATTCCAGGCCCCCCATTCTGGCCCCTCCATTCTGGCCCCCCCATTCCAATCCCCCATCTGCCCCCCCCATTCCGGCCCCCCCATTTCAGCCCCTCCATTCTGCTGCTGTCCCTTGGTGTGTGAATGTTTCCGTTTGTCTCTACAAGATCACGAGTTCCCTGCGCTGAGCTCTTTTTCCTTTCCCCTTCCCCAGCGCCCCTGCTCTGTGCTGCATTTGGAAAGAACCTAAATGTCCTCCCTCTGAAGACTGGTTAAACATCTGGTTATGATCCAGTGGTAAGCAGTGCCTCCCTTGGGTTAAGAATACACACGCACACATGCATACACATGCGTAAACACACACATGTACACACATGCACACTCATACACTCACATGCCCACTTATACACATACATGCACACATGCACTCCTAAACTCACATGCATGCGCACACACGCACATGCACACACACGTGCACACACACACTCATACACATATACGTACACACATGCACACACACGTGCACACATGCAATGCACTCATACATACATGCACACATGCGCTCCTACATTCACACACACATGCGTGCACACACGCACACGCACATGCACACTCACGCAAGTCACACGTGCACATACGCACATGCACACTCATATGCACACACGCACACCCACACTCACATGCATACGCACCTGCTAACAGCCCTGAGGAGGGAACCCCGGGTTAACAGGAGCTGCCCCTGAATGTGTGAGGGATGGGCTGGTTTAGGATACCATGCTTGGCTGTCAATATTTTGTAATTGTTCTGTAAAAAGAGTGGATTCATTTTGTAATAAGCAAATAAGCTTAAAAAAGAAAAAGAAATCTGGGATCAGGAGAATTCGGGGTTTTACCCACCTTCGCTTTAAATTCCATTTCTGCTCTCAATGTTTGGTAATGGTTTCACGGCCTTTTCAATTGCTCACGTGAGTGTTTTCAACCACCAGCTCACGTTTCTGGAATCCGTTCCTTTGGCTGTGCCACTTGTGATCCCTTCTGCTCCAACGTTTGCCTGGGGAGCTCATTAGGTAGCCAGGACCCTGGGCCACTGCACCCCACCAGGACGGCAGGACTGAAAAGGCCACTGACGTGAGTGCGGGGAGGTCGGGTGGAGATGAGCTCAGCCCGGCTTAAAGTGGGGCATCCCGACACCCCCAAAGGCATGGGGCAGGAGCGGCGGGGCGAGTGTCTTGCCAGGCTTAAGGCTCTAGGACCAGAAACCGGGCTCAGGGAGAGGCTCCTGGGTTGAAGAGTGGCCGTGGGGGCTCAGGAAGTCCTGCCCCAGCCTTTCCTGTGCTGCTTGAGTTCTCACTCTATGAGTATATTCTGACGAAAATGAAAATTAGAACATGAAACCTCCCTTTCTCTTCTGCTGGCCTCGAGGGTACACATGCTGTCGGCTGGCGGAGTAGGCCCTGTCCCACCGCAGGCAGCATTCTGCAGGCCAATTTGAGAGGCCTAGTGCCTGCCACGCAACCACCCTCGGCCCTGAGCCGTCTTCGAGGAATGGGGTCCCGGGCCCTGCAAGAGATGCCTGGTGCTGGGCATCACTCAGCCTAGTGTGAGGGAACCCATGGAGTGGAGATGGCAGGGCGTGGGGGGGTCCTGAGAGCCAGAGTCTGCACCACAGTGGTGGCTGGGGCCATGGACAGTGGGGCTCAGGGACGCTGCTGAGGAGACAGTGGGCCCAGATCCTGTGTGCTGGGGAGAGAGTGGGCCCAGATCCTGTGTGCTGGGGAGACAGTGGGCCCAGATCCTGTGTGCTGGGGGGGTAGACAGTGGGCCCAGATCCCGTGTGCTGGGCAGGGGAGACAGTGGGTCCAGATCCCGTGTGCTGGGGGGAGACAGTGGGCCCAGATCCCGTGTGCTGGGAAGACAGTGGGTCCAGATCCCATGTGCTGGGGGGAGACAGTGGGCCCAGATCCCGTGTGCTGGGGGGGAGACAGTGGGCCCAGATCCCGTGTGCTGGGGGGGAGACAGTGGGCCCAGATCCTGTGTGCTGGGGGGGAGACAGTGGGCCCAGATCCCGTGTGCTGGGAAGACAGTGGGTCCAGATCCCATGTGCTGGGCAGGGGAGACAGTGGGCCCAGATCCCGTGTGCTGGGAAGACAGTGGGTCCAGATCCCATGTGCTGGGCAGGGGAGACAGTGGGCCCAGATCCCGTGTGCTGGGAAGACAGTGGGTCCAGATCCCGTGTGCTGGGGGGAGACAGTGGGCCCAGATCCCGTGTGCTGGGCAGGGGAGACAGTGGGTCCAGATCCCGTGTGCTGGGGGGGAGACAGTGGGCCCAGATCCTGTGTGCTGGGGGTGAGGGTAGTGGGAGATGAGGGCAGCACTCCAGCTGTTTTGGGAGTGCCAGCCTGTGGTGGGGTGGGGGAAAGGCCCCCTCATGCAGGCACACATGCACACACACACGAGTCCACACACAGATGCACACAAATCCACAGACAGACATCCGCACATGCACACATGCATCCACACACAGGCGCACACACGCACACATGCGTCCACACGCAGGCACACACGCACACATGAACACACACATCCACATGCAGGCACACACATGCACACACACATCCACCCACAGGCACACAGGAACATGCACATCTACACACATCCACAGACACACACACATGCAGGCATACACTCACATGGGCATACACACCCACACAAGTATCCACATGCAGGCACACACACATCTACATGCATCCACACAGGCATACACATGCATCCACATGCATGCACACAGGCACACATGCATCCACACGCAGGCACACACAGACATGCATCCACACACAGGCAGACAGGCACACACGTATCCACATGCAGGCACACACACCCCCACACCCCACATGCAGGCACACAGGCACACACACATCCTCACACAGGCACACACATGCACGCACGCAGGCACACATGCACGTCGCATGTGCTCTGGGTGGATTTTGGTCACTTTGAGCACGGCGTCACGGCTCATTCTGGGGTCTGTCTCTGCAACTTCAAGGATAGCTGTGGGCACCTGGGGGAGGTCTTCTGGGCATGCCTTGGAGCTCAGATTGGCCAAGGCCCATGCTGTTGACGCAGGAGCCCACCACGTTCACGTTCACCAAAGCCATCCCGGGGATGTAGGTGGCATCTTTTCTGGAAGATTCCATGACTTTCTGGAACCCACTCTCAGCTGAACACAGGGCCTTCGAGAGGCTTCTGCTCCAGGGAAGGTCCCTCCCCCACGTCCAGCTGATCACGTGCTGCTTTCAGTCCAGGGCTTCTGAGGCAGGAAGAGGCCACCGGGACAGCCAGACTCACTGGGCAGGAAATGGGACCCACTGGCCTTGCACTCTGGGGTGACCAGCTGTGCTTGGTCCCCAGGCACCCATCTCCTCCTATTCTTAGGGACAGAGTCAACTGCTCAGCAATAGCAGAGCCCAGGGCCAATAGGACCCCCTGGGGCTCGCCCACACTGTGCCGAGAGGCCTGCACTGGGCACTGGCTCTGGAAAGGCACCGTCAGGGCCACACCAGCTCCAGAAGATGGGAAGATCTGTATTGTACGGCTGGGTGCAGTGGTGTCGGTGGAAGAGGGTCGTGACACTCTTGGAGTGGGCCTGCTCCTGGCCAGCTGCTGACAGTGAGCAGCCTGGTTCTCTGTGTCATGGGCCAGAGCAGACCAGACCAGGGGTGCTGGGCTGGGCCTGGACCGAGGAAGGAGCCTGGCCTGGCCCTCCTGGGTGGTCCCATCTGTCTCTGCATGGGCAGGTGGATGGGGCATCTGCCCTCCTCTGCCCCAGACTCACCCACTGCCCCAGGGATGCCTGGCTTTGTGAGTGGCCTCCAGGGAGAGCCAGCTCCACTTCTCTAGGACACAAACATGCCGGGGCCTGGCTGCGTCCTTGCTGTTGCCAGCTCTCCCCAAATGCCCGTCTCTGAGGGCCGAGACAAAAGCCTGGCCCCGGGACCTCTGGCCACCACAGGGCTGGCAGGGTCCAAGCAGGATGCTTCCAGAAGGAGCGCAAACACAACCCTCTCCAGGCCCTGAAGTCTGTTGCAGGCATGAACTTGGCTGCGCTGGAAGAAGTCCCTTCTCTAACTGCAGCTGTGCTGTGGGCCCTCGGGGATGGGCCTGCCGGGCATCGCTGCCCTCGGGAGTGCATCTCATGGGTGCACCTGGCAGGGGTGGGGACAGAGGCAGTGACTGGGGTGGGTGAATGGGCAGGAGGTCCTGCCGGCCCTGCTGCAGGAGGGAGGCCCTGTGGCTGCCTGTGCCGGGCAGGGAGGAAGCTGCAGCACTCAGGCCCCTGCCTGTGCAAGTGCCACAGAGTGTAGCAGGCCAGGTGGTTCCCACCACTCTCACTTGGTCTACATATAAATATATGGGTCTATATGTGTGTGTCCCAAAAGGAAATATACCAAAGAGGTAACGGATTTATCTCCGGTGGGGGTGATTATGGGTAATTCTAATGTTCTTTTCAGATTTTTTTACATTTTCTTAATAATATGCGGTGAGCACCTGCGATTTTTGTAATGAGAACAGAAGAGAAGACAGATGCAGAAAGCTGGTCAGCGGGCGGTTCTAGGGATGGGCTAGGGACGGGCATGTTTTGCGCTTATAGACTGGCCGCCCGGGCTTCAGGGAAGAGGTGTGGGTGGATCAGATGTAGGCAGGGCCCTGGCCCTGAACATGGAGGCCCAGCTCCCGTCAGAGCCATGGCTCGCACAAGGAGTTGCTGGGGGAGTCCTGTGAGGTCTGGGGGCACACGGCTAGCCCCGCAGGCCCAACTCATTCCCTTGCCCTCGGAAGAGAGAGACAGGCCTCGTCCTCACACAGGCCCACTGGGTGCCCACAGAGGGAAGTGGGGAGCTGGTGGAGCAGTCAGGCCAGCGAACAGCATGGTGTCACCAGTCTGTCCCTATGCACAGGCCCACCTGGCCACACCTCCCCCGGCTACCATCCCCGAGGTTGTGGCAGGCTGTGGCTGGGATGTGGCAGACACACCAAGAGGTGATTGAGGGGGCAGGGGCCTTGGGCCCAGCCAGACGTCTCCCTGTTGTTCACACAGAGGCCAAAAGGGCTGCCCTGGCCCTGACTACTCCTTTGGGGATGTTGGGGTGACATTCTGCCATCTTTCCTGCACCTGGAAGGCCCTGGATTCGAGGTGTATGGGGTCGCTGGTGGGCTTTGTACTTCTCTGGGGTGTTCTGGGGAAACAGAGCCCAGAGTCACCCCTGGAGCTGTCCTCGTGCTCAGGCTGAACGTGGAGGGTGCTTCTTGCCCTCGACTCCATGGAGAGTGCTGTGGGCCTCCTGGCCAGAGATGAGTGTCCCGCCAAATGTCCGCAGGCCAAGAGCGCCTTGGAGGGGGCACCTGAGGAGCTCTGGGCTGAGTCACTGGATGGAGCCAGTCATCCAGGATGCCTGGAAACAACCTTTCTCCCGTCGTTGGGCAGCTGGATTCGCTGGGACTTCCCCTGGGGCCTGGCGGGTTTTCCTAAGGCAGCTGTGTGCCGTGGGTCTCCCTTAGTCTGTCCTAGTGGCAGAGGCCATATGACTGGCACTGGGAAAGATCCCAGCCACGCCCACAGGTCCAGGCCCTCCGAAATGAGAAGACACATGGTGGGAACCCTACAGAGGGGCCTTGGTGCTGGGAGCCCCTCACAGTCAGGGGAGCCAGGGCAGGCGGGCCTGGGTCAGGGGTGTAGACAAGGCTGGGCTGGAGCCACCCAGGGCACAGAGCTGCCCCTCCCCACCGGGCTGGGTGCCCCTCCCTAGGGCGGCCCAGGTTAGCAAATTCAAAAGATCAAAGTTAGAACAACAAATCCATTTTCAGCATACGTGTGCTCCATGCAAATTTGGGACAGACGTATACTAAGCAATGATACATTGCTGATCTGAATTCATCTTAGCTGGGGATCCCGAGTTTTATCTGGCAGCCTGCCTCCCTGCTCCCCACCACCTTGGCTCCCACCAGCTAGGAGCCTTGTAATCTCTGGATGCCAAACTTCAGCCAATGGGCCACATCCAGTGGAGAAGGGACCTGGGGGCACCCAGTCAATGGGCCACATCCAGTGGAGAAGGGACCTGTGGGCACCCAGTCAATGGGCCACATCCAGTGGAGAAGGGGCCTGGGGGCACGCAGCCAATGGGCCACATCCAGTGAAGGGGCCTGGGGGCACGCAGCCAATGGGCCACATCCAGTGGAGAAGGGGCCTGGGGGCACTCAGCCAATGGGCCACATCAAGTGGAGAAGGGGCCTGGGGGCACTCAGCCAATGGGCCACATCCAGTGGAGAAGGAGCCTGGGGGCACCCAGTCAATGGGCCACATCCAGTGGAGAAGGCGCCTGGGGGCACTCAGCCAATGGGCCACATCCAGTGGAGAAGGGGCCTGGGGGCACCCAGTCAATGGGCCACATCCAGTGGAGAAGGGGCCTGAGGGCACCCAGCCAATGGGCCACATCCAGTGGAGAAGGTGCCTGGAGGCACCCAGTCAATGGGCCACATCCAGTGGAGAAGGGGCCTGAGGGCACCCAGCCAATGGGCCACATCCAGTGGAGAAGGGACCTTGGGGCACCCAGTCAATGGGCCCCATCCAGTGGAGAAGGGGCCTGAGGGCACCCAGCCAATGGGCCACATCCAGTGGAGAAGGCACCTGGGGGCACCCAGCCAATGGGCCACATCCAGTGGAGAAGGGGCCTGAGGGCACGCAGGGAGGCTGTGGCAGTGGGCAGAGGGGCGTAGCGGTGTCTGGGGTAGGCAGGATTCTCCAGGGAAACAGAACCATTGGGATGTGTGTACAAACAGTGTACATATAGGGTATATACAGTGTACATAGAGGTCATATACCATGTACATATTGGGTATCTACAATGTACATATAGCGTATATACCATGTACATCATATAGGGTATATACTATGTACATGTAGAGTATATACAGTGTACGTGTAGGACATATACCACATACATATAGGGCATATGCTGTGTACATATAGGGTATATCCCGTGTACATAGAGGTCATATACCATGTACATATTGGGTATCTACAATGTACATATAGGGTATATACCATGTACATCATATAGGGTATATACTATGTACATGTAGAGTATATACAGTGTACGTGTAGGACATATAGCACATACATATAGGGCATATGCTGTGTACATATAGGGTATATCCCGTGTACATATAGGCCATATGCCATGTGCATATAGGACATATACCGTGGACATATAGGGCATATACCATGTACATATAGGGTATATATTGATATTGTGTACATATATAGAATATTCATAGTGTGAGTGTGCATATAGTACACACATATACAGCATATATACAGTGTGTGCATATAGAGTATATATAGTGTGTGTGTGTAAAGTTATAGTGTGTGTATATAGTGTATGCATATGGACTATACTGTGTGTGTATAGTGTATATGTAGCATGCATACAGAGTATATATAGTGTATGTACACATATAATGTGTATATATTATAGAGATAGCATATGTATACATAGTGTGCATATAGTGTACATTAATATAGAGTATGCATATATTTGTGTAATATAGTGTGCATATAGATATATACAGTGTATGTATAGTGTATATATAGTATACATATATAGAGATTATATACAGTGTGCATAGTGTATATGGTCTGTGCATATTGCATACCTATATATTCTATACACAGTGTATGTATGTGTATACATAGTGTGTATATGTAGTATACATGTAGTGTGTGTATATATATATAAAATGTAAATATATACATAGGGAGAGCGTGCAAGAGAGATTTATTTTAAAGAATTGGCTTATGTGTTTGTGGCAGCTGCTCATCTGACACCTGAGGGCCGCTGGAGACCCAGGGACACTCCTGCTGCGGCTCATGTTTGGAAGCTGTCCGGAGGCGGGACTTCCTCTTCCTCCAGGGGCCGCCGTCCGGAGGCGGGACTTCCTCTTCCTCGGGGACAACTGTCTTTTTCTCTTAAGGCCTTGGACTGCCTGGATGAGGCTATAATATGGTCAGTACTCTGCTCTACCCAAAGTCTCCTGATTGAAATATTAACCTCATCCAAGAAACACCCTCACAGCGACGTCTACACTGGTGTTTGACCAAATAGCTGGGGACCGTGGCCTGGTCGAGCTGACACAAAAGTAACCATCACAGCTGCTGCTATGGTCTGAATGTTGATGTCACCCCCAGATTCATTTGTTAGAACTTAAGCCCCAAGGCGATGGCATCACTGGTGGGCTTTGGGAGATGAGGAGGATATGAATGGGACCAGTAGCCTCATAAGAGTTTTGAGGGTCCTGGTTGCCCTTCCCCACCCTCCCGTCCCTGCCACTGGGTGAGGACACAGCAAGAAGCCGCCGTCCTGGGAGCAGAGAGCAGAAAGCAGCCCTCACCAGACGCTGAATCTGCTGGGGCCTCGGTCCTGGACGTCCCAGCCTCCAGAACTGAGCGATGAAATTCTGGTTACAAATTGCCCCCTCTGAGGTATTTTGTTTTAGCAGAAGGAACAGACGAGGATGACCACCGAGGCCCTTCTCAGGCTGCCGCGGGTCTCCAGGATGGGGACAGTCAGCTGGGGCCAACCGAGCTGCATGTGGTCAAGGGCCCATGCATGTGACCAGGGCCCGCCTCCCACGTCACCCAGTGCACCCTCAGCATGGGACACGGACCTAGACACTGCCGGGGTCTCCGTCCTTGCAGGCACTGCCAGGCGCCCCTCCCTGGGAGAAGCTGCAGCTCTGAGGCTACGGTCTTGCAGGTCAGCCACCACCTGGCTTTGTGGTCTGTTATGCCCGGCCTAGTGTCCAGGGTGGTGACATTTATTTGAACAAAGACCAGTCTCCACCACCAAAGTCATGGCTCTGCTGTTGCTTCCAGAACCAAAGAAAGGCTGGCTTCTGGGCTGGGCGTGGTGATTCACGCCTGTAATCCCAGCACTTTGGGAGGCCGAGACGGGCAGATCACGAGGCCAGGAGTTCGAGACCATCTTGGCTAACATGGTGAAACCCTATCTCTACTAAAAATACAAAAAAAATTAGCTGGGTGTGGTGGCACGTGCCTGTAATCTCAGCAACTCAGGAGGCTGAGGCAGGAGAATGGCTTCAACCTCGGAGGCGGAGGTTGCAGTGAGCCAAGATCGCACCACTGCACCCCAGCGTGGGCAACAGAGCAAGACGCTGTCTCAAAAAAAAAAAAAAAAAAAAAAAAAAAAAGTCGGCTTCTCAAGCAGGTGGAATCAGCGCTTGATGAGACTCTGTAATGACTGCATAATGAAGGCCCTCCCGGTCCTCCCCCAGCCGGTGCTCCTGTGAAACGGAGCCTGGGAAGCTCCCTTACTGGAGAAGTCTTTCGGCCGGAGAATCGATTCCTGCAGCCCCTTGTTTCAATTCCGTGAGGCTTGAAGGGAGGGGCCGGCGGGCACCTGCAGACAAATGCATCCCAGGTGTAAGGAGGGTGCCCGTGGTCGCCCACGTGGCCAGCACAGGGCCGAGGGGGATGAGGGCAGGGGCTGCCGCCTGCACTCAGCTCCAGGCCTGCCTCAGGGGAGCTGCAAAGCTACTCATTCTCATCAGCTTCAAGCTGACATCCTTTTTGTCTTCAGTCCAGTATTAGCTTAAAGGGAAAAGCGTTCTTGTTTGAAATGTTAACTGGGTGCATTCTGCTCGTTTTAATTGTTTCATTTGCCTATTACGGCAGCCACAGCAGACGTGTTCCGATTAGCAAAGAGGAAAATCTATCCACTGGATCAAACTTGTAAATGTGCATCTCTCGGGGACTCTGTCCACATCAGGCCTGTCCCTGGGGTCATGGGGTGTGGGGAGGGGAGGCGAGGGGCCAGTGCTGGCCAGGTGGGACGAAGGCCACTGGGTCCGTTCCAGTCATTGACTGCTCTCTTCTCTCCTCGTCCCTCTCACTCAGGCCAGGTCCTGACCCCCTTCCTGCTAAGGGCGGGTGGGCTTGGCAGCCTCTGCTGGGCACAGGGTGGTGGCCACATCTGCTGCCTAAAAGGGCTGCCCCGGAGCATCCCTGGGGGTGCTGTATCTGCACCTCCAGCACTGCAGGCCCCTCACAGTGTCCCAGCCCTGTTGCCGGGTGGCTGCTCCCCTGCCCTTGGGGCTAGGGCATCCAGGTCCTTTGGGGGCTCTGCTGGCGGTGCCCAGACCTGTGGGAGCTGAGCCCCTCCTGATCCAGCCTCCCTGCTGGGTGCCCTCCCCTGGGCCTGCAGGGCGGGAGCCCCCGGGGCTGCTTCTCCTGGGGCCTGGGCCGTTACAGGGTGAACACGAAGCGAGGGCGCACTAAACACGCTCCGTAACTACCTGGGCTTGACTCGGTCTGTCCTCCACACCGCCCTCACCCAGGCCTAACCTGTGTGTGGCACGGCGGGAGGGGCCCCCTGCTGTCTGGGTGGTTGGTGGGCCACTGCACCTGCTCCATCCCACCCGTGGCCTGCACAGCCTGTCCCCACCCTGCATCACTGAGGAGCCTCCTGGGGTTCTGCCGTGGTCCATGCTGCAGACCTGCCTGGGACAGCCCCTGCCAGGCCCCCCAGGCTATCCCTGCTGGGCACTCACTCTGGCCAACCACCATGGCCTGCAGCCTCCCCTGCTTCTCACACTGCCTGGCGTGGGACCCTGTCTCAGAGAGGAGCTCCCCGCTGCGTCCCTCTCTGCATCGGGACGTGCACACTCTGCACTCCCTCTCCAGAATATTTCTCCTTCTCCAGTGACAGCCCGCCAAGCTTGCTCTCAGCTCTTTGAGGATCAGCTTAGAGATGGCTTCTTCCAGGAAGTCCTCCCTGATGCTCCAAAGTGGCTGGTTCCTTCTTTCATGCCCAAACTGCCCCTCACAGCTGCTCACTCCAACAAAGGCACTGGCCTCTGTGATGAACCAGGAGACTGAGAGAGCTGGGGAGATGCTCCAGGGCCTGTCCTGGACTGTCTTGATTCCCTGGGGCCTGGCACATGGCCCGGGGCCTGGAACTCAGACAAGAGCTCCACAGGAGCTGATGGCAGAATGAATGAATGAATGAATGAGGTGCAGGCTCGGGGTCCTTGGAGCCTCCCAGATTTCCAGGCAAGGTGAGACTTTGCCCTGCCTTGGGCCACTCAGACCCTACGGGGAGGGGCCCTTGGGGCCACAGAGCTAGGCAGGTGGGAGCTGCTGAGCCTGTGTGGACAGATGGGGCGTTGGGGGCTACAGGGGGCAGCTGTGCCCCACGGCCTGGCCCTGAGAATGATTCTGTCCTTGGTGCCTCTGAGGGGCTGGTGCCCCAGGCCTCAGAGTGAACCCCAGGCCTTGCCCAGCTGGGTCCAGTCCTGGGGCCTGCACCTTCTAGATGGCCAGCCTGAGCTGCTGGGGGCCCAGCGACCTCAGGGGACAAGAATGGTGGGGAGGAGGAGCCCCTGGGGAGGGGATGCTATTGAGCCCCAGGAGGAGGGTGAGCAGGGGTGGGGTGCGGGGGTGAGGTGGACAGGAAGCTTCAAGGAACACCCCATGATCTGAAGGCACCATCTTCCTTCTCGGGACCCTGCCCCACCAGGCCTGCCGGGCCCTCAGAGGATCACAGCACCCTCACGCTCTGGGACAGGTCCAAGCGCAGCCCGCGTGGCCCCTACAAGCCTGCTGTCATTGGCTAAGGTGAGTTTACCTGAAGGCTCAGGGACCCTGGGGGATGGGCTGAGGGGAGCGGCAGTGTTGCTGGGGACACAGATCCTTGGTGCTGGGTAGACAAGGTTGCCCACCAGGGACCCTCAGGCCCACAGAAACACACTCAGGACACATACGTGACACCCCAACATGCACACACGCTGACACACATGTGCACACACATGCACGGAGAGACACAACGACACCACACAGGCACATGCAGACACATGTGTGCACACATATGCAGATACACAGACACCCCAACACATGCACATATAGACACACCCCAACACACTGACACACGTGTGCACACACATGCACACAGACACAACACCTCAGCATATACACACACGCACACACATACACAGATACATAGATACCCCAACACATGCACACATAGACACAGACACCCCAACACAGACTGACACACACATGCAAACATGCATCCCAACACACACACTGGCACATGTGCACACATCACACCGATGCACATGGACCCCCACACTCACACACACTGACACGCATGTGCTCACACATGCACATATACATACACACTTAGCTGCCTCAGACACACACACCCAGGACCCTCAGGCATGTGCCCCACAATGACCTACAAACACACAAGCTCTCAAGGGTACCCCCACATACACACCACCTCATGGACACACAACCCACGAACACGCGCCACACCTTCCTGCTCTCCCTCACACACACAGACACACACCTCCCACCTGGGTGTCCTCCGCCTGCACTTGCCTGGCAGCCTGCTGTGGTTTCCCTGGAAACACTGTCACCATGGTGGCTTTGCAGAGCCTGGGGTGCAGCTCCAGCGCAAAGCCCAACCTGGGGCACAGGCAGCCAGTGGGCATGGACTGGATTCAGAAGAGACGCCCAGTGGAGGGCTCAGGTGGGAGGGGGACAGGCCCTGAGAGGCACAGTGGGGGCAGGGCAGCTCACTCCCGCCAGAGTCCCTGCAGCTGGGCTGTGCCACCCCTGCCAGGTCCTGAGATGGGAGGAAGTGCAGCCCACCCTGCCCCTGCCTGCCCAGGTCAGCAGTGCCCACGGGCAGAATCCCTTCCTGAGCCCCCTGCTCTCCTGGAGACAGCATGGGCCACAGGAGGAAGGAAGGAGCTGGGGAGAAGGTGGGGCCTGCAGCCTGGCTTGCCAGGGAGGAGGGGTGGATGGGGACCAAGAGCCAGGAATCCCGGCACAGCCGGGAGGAGCCGATGAGCCAGGGCAAGGGGTCAACACTGGAGCCTGATCTCCCAGGAAGGGTGCTGTTCTGGGCCCCGGCTGGGCCAGATGAGGCACCACGTTCCCAGGCCCTGTGTTGGCAGCAGGCCTACCTCTGCCCTCCCAGGCACTCTGGGGTGTGGTCCCAGGGCCTCCCCACTTGAATGGAGGCCAGCCAGGTCCGGCAGGTGGGAGCACCCAGGCATGCGCTGGGTGTGCAGAGGGAGGGCCCATGCTGCCCCACGGTTACCAAGCTGCAGGGACAGAGCACGGGGGCTGCCTCTGTGGCTCTTGGTGGGGCACGGGGCTGTGCTGGGAGGCCCAGACATCAGGGAGGGAGGATGGGCTTGGAATGGGGACTATAAAAGGTCACGGTGGGGAGGGCCGCTGACCCCTGTCCTTCTCACGGGGGGTCTCCAGCACACCCTGCTGCCACTGGCCCCTCGGCCTGGAGCCAGGCTCCATTGTGGAGTGGGTAGTGGCCACTGTGGAAGGGTTGGGGACACTTAGAGGCTGAGCTGCTGGATGCAGGTTGACATTTGAAGCCTGGCCTGATGGAGCTGGGCTTTCCCTGGAGCGCTGGACAGGCCACCCAGCCTTCTGGCTCTGCTTCCCTCCTGCATCTCATGCTGGGATTGATGGGTGGTCAGGGTGCCTGCTCTGAGCTAAGGCCTGACTGGCCCCAAATTCTGGGACCCATGCAGAGGGAAGGGGACATCTGTGGTCCTTGGAGGAAGGAGTCAAAACAATTGGGGCAGAAAATGGGATGAGTGGGCAAGGGCGGGAGAGCACAGCTGAGAATGCCCGGGGATGAGGAGTGAGCAGGGACACTGCGCAGCTGCTCTGGCCTGGACTGAAGCCCACCAGGGTACACCCTGAGGCCTGGTAGAGTGCCAGGGCCACACTGCTGAGGCTCCCTGTCCTCGAAGTCCGCTTGGAGCCCTCCTACCTCTCCAAAGGCGGCATTCTCCCCTCCACCGAGCCCGTGTGTTCATCCACACAGTCCCCATTTCTCAAGGCAGGGGGCTTGCAAGACAGGAGCCAGGCCAGGTCCCGGCCACATCTGGTCCACATGGCTTGTTTGTGGTGTGGTGCCCGCAGCCGTTCCTCCAGAAACATGCCTCAGCAGCCCAGCACCTTCCAGAGAGCCTTGCACACAGGCATGCATGAGGAAGCTGTGAGGAGTGTGATGACAACAGCAATAATGACAAAGGTGATGACAGTGGTGTGAGGTGATAATGAAGACGGTGGTGGTGAAGATGAGATGAAGATGATGGTGGTGATGGTGATGGTGACAGTGATGACAGTGATGGTGGTGTAATGGTGATGAGGTGATGAAGGTGGAGTGATGGTGATGAGATGAAGATGATGGGGATAATGGTGGTGATGACAGTGATAGTGATGGTGTGATGATGGTGACAGTGACTGTGATGGTGATGATGATAGTGATGACAGTGATAGTGATGGTGATGATGATGGTGATTGTGATGGTGATGGTGACAGTCACTGTGATGGTGACAGTCACATAGTGATTGTGATCTGATGATGAATGTGATGACGATGACATTTATAGTGATGGTGTGATGATGATGATGATGGTGATGGTCACGGTGATAGTGATGGTGATGATAGTGATGACAGTGATAGTGATGGTGATGATGATTGTGATGGTGACAGTGATAGTGATGGTGATGATGATGATGGTGATTGTGATGACAGTGAGAGTGATGGTGGTGATGATGGTGATTGTGATGTGATGATGAATGTGATGGTGATGGTGATGATTGTGATGGTGACAGTGATGGTGATTGTGATCTGATGATGAATGTGATGATGATGACGACAGTGATAGTGATGGTGATGATGATGGTGATTGTGATGTGATGATGAATGTGATGATGATGATGGTGACAGTGATGGTGATCATAGTGATTGTGATATGATGATGAATGTGATGACGATGACATTTTAGTGATGGTGTGATGATGATGATGGTGATGGTGACAGTGATAGTGATGGTGATGATAATGATGACAGTGATAGTGATGATGATGATGGTGGTGATTGTGATGACAGTGACAGTGATGGTGTGATGATGATGGTGATGATGGTGATGGTCACAGTGATAGTGATGGTGATGATGATAGTGATGACAGTGATAGTGGTGATGATGATGGTGATTGTGATGACAGTGATAGTGATGGTGTGATGATGGTGATAGTGATGATGATGATGATGGGGATCGTGGCACACCTGAGCTAACCTTTTGGGCCAGCAGCGCCCCCTGCCACTTGCTGGACACCCCAGGCGCCGGCATGCTGGTTGCTCCCCTGCTGTCTCCCAGCTCTCAGGCAGTAACTCTCTCAGTCATGTGAAGACATTGAAATGCAGCCGTCGTGCCTGGCATGCGGTTGGGCATTAATTACATCTCCTTTTGCAAAGCCTAATCAACTTCTCCTAATTAACCTGTTTCCTGTCAATGTGAAATAATTGAATTCACTCGGAATTGGCTGTGCACATAGAGCCATCAGAAGCCTACGTGGCTATTTGTAATGGTGGAGATTTTGCAAACAACATACCTTGTTTTGAAAACACATTTTCAATCCCTGTGGGCATATGTCCCTCTGATGCACAAGCTTTCCGTGCTTTCCTAGAGCAGGGATGCTTCATTCATGGGGTCTGTGAACTTGGACGAGAAAAAGCAACATCTCTATTTTACTAAGCTCTGACTGAAATCTGGCATTTCCTTCCACGAGGAACGCCAGCCATCCCAGGGCTTTATCTCAAATAGAAAACACAGGTGTGTTTGTATCACTTTGCAGTTGTTGCAGGTTTTTCAAACTTGTCCACACTCACCTCCACCTCTAAAACTCAGGGGCTGCTGGACGCTGGGTTTTGTTATCCAGTGCGACGTGTAATGCAGCCACTGCCACCCTCACACATCTGCTTTGTTGATATTTTGACATCTGCTTCACTATGGCTGTTTTCCTTGGTGGCCGTATGTGTTTTTGTCCAAGTAAATCATGAATGGTAGAGCGCAGGGATTTCTAGGGCAGTGAAATGATTCCATACGATACTGTGATGGTGGACACACGGCATCGTGCATTTGTCAAAACTGATGGAACAGCAGCAGTGGTCCCCAACCTTTTTGGCACCAGGGACCAGGGACCAGTTTTATGAAAGACATTTTTCTTATAGACCAGAGGCTGGGGGGGGCGATGATTGGGGATGAAACTGGCCCACCTCAGGTCATCAGGCATTAGATTCTCGTGAGGAGCTCGGAGCCTAGCTCCCTGGCATGGGCAGTTCACAATAGGATTCATGCTCGTATGAGAAGCTAATGCTGCCGCTGATGTGACGGGAGGTGATGCTCAGGTGGTAATGCTTTGCCTGCCCACCTCTCACCTCCTGCTGTGTGGCCTGGTTCCTAACAGGCCCTGGACTGGCACCAGTGCCGATGCAAATGACGGGCATAAGGGCACTGTGGGTGGGGGCTCAGGGAATGCCCTGTGCTACCTGCTCCCTGCTCTGTAAACCAAAAACTGCTCTACAAAATAAAGTCTATTCACTTAAAAAAAAAACTCTTAATTATGAAAAAAATTATCCCCATGCTGTCAAAACGCCCCCTCCCCACAGGAGCAGATGCTCTAGGGACAGCTGGCCCAGGCTCAGGCCAGCTGAGCCCCTTGCCAGCAGGCGTGCAGCCCACGCCTGCCGGAACAGGGGAACAGCATTGGCCTCTGTGTCCTGGAACAGGGTGGGATGCCTGGGGCAGCACAGCCCCCAGATCTATGGCCAGGTACAGCCACCGGCAGTGAACACCTCCGGAGGTGGCCTGCAAGGAAGGAACGGTCACGTCGTTGAAAGTGCAATTCAGCATCCACACGGCACACGCACGCGCACACGTGGGTACACAGCATCCACACGGCACACACACGCGCACGCGTGGGTACACAGCATCCACACGGCACAAGCACGCGCACGCGTGGGTACACAGCATCCACACGGCACACACATGAGCACTCATGGGCACACAGCATCCATATGGCACATGCACACACACACGGGTACACAGCATCCACATGGCACACGCAAGGCACACATGGGCACACAGCATCCACACGGCACACGCACGGGCACACAGCATCCACACGGCACACACACGGGCACACGGCATCCACACGGCACACGCACGTGGACACACGGGCACACGGCATCCACATGGCACACGCACGGGCATGCGGCATCCACACGGCACATGCAAGGCACATGGCATCCACATGGCACACGCACGCGCACACGGCACCCACACGGCACACGCACGGCACACGCACGCGCACGCAGGGGCACACGGCACCCACACGGCACACGCACGCGCAGGCACGGGCACACGGCATCCACACGGCACACGCACGCACACGCATGGGCACCCAGTCGCACATGCGTGTCAGTATCAGCAAGCAGCCCCACTGCAGGACAGGCCCAGTATGCTCCTTTCCCAGTTTTGAGGAGCTGAAATTCTTCCTTAATCTAAATGTTTTCCGTTCGGAACGCACACGTGTTGTGTTTTTTCCACAGTCATTAGATTCAGAGTAATTAAACCAAAACGCTCATTTCTGGAAAGAGACAAAGTATTTTGAGTTTCTACATCAATATTTAACATCTGCCTAACATTTTATATGCTGCCCTGGTGGGTAAAACGATTTCTACTCTCCATAAAGATGGACTCTGCCACAAATCCCTCAAGAAAGAAAGATATTTTCTTGTGAAGAGTCAGCCATAGTGTCTGCCTTACGTAGAGCTTGACAGTTTTTTTTCTTATTTTAAAATCTCAGAGCCAAATTCAGTTCGACAATCAAGCTAAATGATTAGTCGGCTTTAGAGCTGATGTGTGTGAAGTTGGAATTTAGCACATTAAATATTTCAGGGAGAAAGTGCGCAACGTGAGACAGAAAGGCAGAGGCTTCCTCTAGAACTCAGCCTGGAGTGGTTGCAGGAAAATGCGCCAATTAGCAGGGGCTTCGTTCTCGCCAATGTGACAGCTCAGAACATTTGCAATCCATTTTGGAGGATGAGAAAGGAATACTGTGCTCCCCTTCGTGCAAAAACCAAGCCATGCAGAACAAAATTACAGGCCAGGAGGACATGCCAGGGCCTGTATGGACAGTGCTGGATGGTGCAGAACCCACGTGCTGGGTCCCTGTGTGCTCATGCCCATCCAGAGATGCCCTGGGGACACAAACAGGCCCTCAAATGCAGAGGGCCTGTCCAGGGAGCAGGTGAGAGGGAAACGCAAAGACAAGTGGTGCCTCCAGGGTGGCCCAGCTCAAGCCTGCCAGAGCACACCTGCCTCGGCACCGGGGCTTCCGGGACCCCACCACTGAATGCCAGGCCACCCCAGGCAGGGGACAGGCTGCGAGAATGGGCCTCAAGCCCTTGCTGATCTCCTCGCCAGCCACAGTGGGACAAGCTCTGATGGGGCAGCAGGGCCCTACTCACCCCATGGGCAGCCACTGGTTAGAGATACCCCGGCCGCCTGGGTGCCCAAGCCGAGCCTCCCCTGGGGGCCGTGTGCGTCCCATTTGGAGTCCCCACCATGCCCACTGTCCTCTCCACAGCTGCTCTGGTGGGTGGGGTGCTGGCCTACCAGGGTGCAGCAGGGACACCAGGAAGCTCAGCACCTCACTCAGCACCTGCTCTTCAGGCTGAAGCTGGCAGCGGGACCACCTCCACTTGCCTAGGACTGCAGAGCACAACCTGGCACCCTCCTGAAGATGACGCACATGATCATGACCCACAGGACCCAGCGGCTCCACCCCCAGGGGTGAGCCTGAAAGAAGCAAAAACACACAGCCACACACACACACACAGCCACACACACAGCCACACACACACACACAGCCACACACACACAGCCACACACACAGCCACACACACACACAGCCACACAGAGACTGCAGGAAAGCTCACAGCAGCTTTGTGCACAGCAGCCAAAAGGCAGAGACAGCTCACATGTCCACAGACTGACAGATGGACAAACACCATATGTTCACCCACATGGGGAGCATCATTCAGCATAGAAAGGAATGGGGCACAGGCACGCGCCAACACGGGGGCATCGTGAAAGCACTGTGCTCGGCGAAGGAAGCCACACACGACCGCCTGCCAGAACACATGCTACACACAACGGTGTGTCACACACAACCACACATCACACGGAACACGTTACATGCAATGGTGTATCACACACAACCACGTCACACGGACCACATGGAATGCATGTTACAATCATAAATCACACAAACCACATGTCACATGGAACATGTGTTACACACCGTATCTTACACATAACTGCACGTCATACAGAATGTGTGTTACACACAACTGTATCTCACACACAACCGCACATCATACAGAACGCATGTTACACACAATCATATCTCCCACACAACCGCATGTCACATGGATGAAATGGAACGCATGTTACACACAATCATAAATCACACACAACCACATGTCACACAGAACGCAGAACAGGGAAGTCCCCAGAGACGGAAGCAGATGAGGGACTGCTTAGGCCTGGGGAGGAGGGTGATGGCTAAAAGCTGTGGGGTTTCTTTCTGAGGTGAAGCGAATGTTCTAAAAGGGCCCGTGGGGATGTTGCCCATCTATAAACACGCTGAAAGCCATGGACGTGTCCACTGGAAGGGGAGGGATCATATGATATGTGAGCTACGTCTCAAAGAAAGCTGTTTTTTCAAAAAGACTTGTTTCCCGTCTCCCCCGAGGGCTTCCTGGACTCCTGTTGCTTGTCTCTGTCACGAATCCTCACCCCAAAATCATAGGATGAACACCCCAAAGAAATCATGAGAACTCTTCTCTTTGTAGCAAACCACCAAAGGAGAAATTCATGCTTGAAACTGTATCCAAACGGATCAGGGGCCCAAGGGCTGGATGATCTTCACCGCAGCTGGTCTCTGAAAACATGCCTTGTGACCTGCAGTGAGGAGTCCGCATCTGTCTGTGCCACCTGCTGAGACTGTCCTCTCTCGGGCTCCCATGGGGGCTGCGGGCTGGAGCGGGGCCAGGAGGGAGGGGGATGGACGGCTGGGAGGAGGACAGACACCCACACCTCGGTGACAGGTGACAGGCGTTGGCTTGGGCAGAGCCTCGGTGACCTGCCTAGGTTTTCTTCCCCAAAGCAGATCCCAGCTGCGTCTGCACCCAGCAGGCCCCAGAGCCTTCTCCTCCGTGGGGGGGTGGGGGTAAGTCCCCTCCTGCTGGGCTGCCAGGCCTCAGGCAGCCTCGACGCAGCTCTGCACCCAGCTCCCGGCTCCCACAGAGAGCCCTGCAGCTACAGCCGGGGCGGCAGCTTCCAGTGGGCTTCCTGGACCCCTGTCTCCCAGCCACGCCGACCGCAGCCACTATGTGGCTCCTTACAGTCCTCCCCCGGGACCCCTCAGCCCCCACTGGCCTCCGTCTCCCCATCCTGGTGCCCCTCTGCTCTCTGTGGGTCTCCATGGGTCACCCCACTGCCCCGTTCATCTCTCCGTCCTGGCGCCCTCTGCCCTCCGAGGGTCACCCCCGCCGCCCTCTCATCTCTCAGGTCTTGTCCCTGCCTGGCAGCGGGTTGAGCACTGGGCCCACTCCTGGGCCTCCCAGCTCCCTTGGGACCATCTCTCTCACCTCTCCAGCCCCTCCAGCTGTGGACACTGACCCCTGCCTGGCTATGGGGCTCTAGGGCAAGCCCCTCCGGCTCCAGGCCTTCAGCCCCCTCCCCCCAGCCACACCCAGGAAGGAAGGAAGCCCCCACTGCTCTGCCCCTTGGAGGGTCAGCGACGCCTGCCCGCACAGGGAAGCTCTCCTGCCTCCCTTCGTGGTTGGGGAACTGGCTGCCCTGGGTGAGGCCCTCAGGCCTCACCCGCCTCTCTCTGCGGAGAAAAGGCCCGTGGTAGCAGCAGGCGGGGCTGGGGCTAAAAATAACTCTGCTGGGGCAGAGGCTGGCTGGTGAGGCCGCCTCTGTAGGGTGGGGGCGGGAAGGGAGACCGGCCCTGGGACAGCCTCAGCTGGAGCCCAGGGGCGGTGGCCCCAAAGGCCAAGCAGGAGGCCCACTGACCTGACCTCCCCCCGCAGAGAAGCTGGGCAGGGAGCAGGAAGTCCATCTGGGGTCAGGGCGGTGGGGCCCCCCCAGCTGCAGCCCCCTACTTCCAGCCGGGTATTGATCGGCTTGAAGCTCCTTGGGGCACAAAGGAGCTTAACCCTCCTGAGCAGATGACGGCCACGCTCAGGCCAGGGGCAGGGCCCCATCTGCGTCGGCCTCTCCGGAGTGCACCCTTCCCATGGCTGGGGGTGGGGCTGGGGCCGGGGCCGCAGGGTGCAGGGAGCCCAGCGGGAGAGCCCAGCCCTGCCGCGGCTCCTCCCTCAGTGTCCACGGGGAGATGCCCCTGGCCACAGGCAGCCGTTGGCACCTCAGACCTGGGGCAGGAAGGGGAGGGAGCCCCCGGCCACAGGAAGCCACGGAAGGGTGAGCTGGGCACAGAGTTCCAGGGTGACACAAGGCCAGGTCTGCAGAGCAAACATCTGTTAATGCCCAGAAAACTCACCCGGGAAGAAATACGCAAAAGGCCCACAGGGTGTGAGACTGCGGGAGATTCTAATTTTCTTTTTTTTTTTTGCTTTTCTTTATTTTGCTAATTTTTTCCCCCCACCAACAGGGGTTATTTTATAATCAAAGAAACAGAAAACCCTCGCAGAAAAGGGAAGTGCTGGCTGGGGTCCTGGCCACGGTGCCGTCCAGGCAGGATTTGGAAGGGTCCTGGGCTTTGGAGTCCAGGAACCAGCTGTGGCCCCCCGGGTCTCAGCCTCCCCAGCTGTAATGCAAAGTATGCACCCCCAGTGAGGACTCCTCACCTGCTCTTGCCCCTCCCCAGCCATCCCACCACCACCCAGCAGGGCCTAGGCTGCGGGGCTTGCACTGTGAGAAGCCCAGGCAAGGAGGTGACGCAGAGGCCCTGGCCCAGCCCACACAGCCAGGCCACAGAGCTGGAGCCCAGGGCGACCTAGTCTCTGTCCCCAGAAGGCAGACCAGGACTCCAGCCCCAGGAGCCCCACACAGGCCTTGACTCCCTCTCCTGGACCACGCCAGGGTCCCCCTAGATGGCGGGCAGGGGGTTGTGGGCAGGGCCTCCGGGAGATGGGACCAGCAGAAATGGAGCCACCTGGGGGAGGATCTGCAGCAAGAGGAGGAAGATGAAGAACAAGAGGAAGAGGAAGAAGAGAAAGAAGGCTGGAGAGCAGCACCCCAGGCCACGCCACCCACTGCGTCCAGCCCAGCTCTTCCACGCCAGGCCACGACAACCCCTGCGTCTACCCCAGCGCCCATGCCAGCCCCTGCTTCCAGCTCTGTCTGGGGTGGGTTGGAAGTGTGACCCTCAGAGGTAGGGATTGGGGCTCAGGCTGGGACCAGAGAGTGACAGAAAACAGACCGTGCTCCCTGCACCTGCCACCCCGTGTCCTCCCACACGGCCTGGTCCATGTCGAACACGGTAACAGCTGGCCTCAGCAGAGGAGGGACAGCAGCAGCCCTGGTGGAGACGGGATGCTGGTGACCCTGCGGGGCTGGTGGTGCCAGCAGTGCCTTCCCTGCTCCCGGAGGAGTTGCCCTGGGCCCCCAGCACAGCGGCTACTGGGGTCACAAACGTACCCCAACCCCGAAAGCTCCTTGGAAGGCTAAAGGGCCAGAGCCCTCTCCACGACAAACCCTGGGAAGACAGCCAGGGTTGGCTCTGTTCTGAGCGAGGAAGTCTTGCCAGGTGGGGTGCTTGGGAGGCTGGACCCAGAGCAGGGGAGACCCAGAGCAAGAGAGGCCCAGGACCAGCTCCGGGCAGCCCCGCTGAGGCCCCAAGCCCCCTGCCGCACAACCCACTTTGCACCCAGGACCTCGTACTGACTAGGGTTGGCTCCCCAAGGGCCCCTCCCCCAGGAGACCCCTCCTCCAGGCCCCTCCCCCAGGAGACCCCTCCTCCAGGCCCCCCCCCAGGAGACCCCTCCTCCAGGCCCCTCCCCCAGGAGACCCCTCCTCCAGGCCCCTCCCCCAGGAGACCCCTCCTCCAGGCCCCTCCCCCAGGAGACCCCTCCTCCAGGCCCCCCACCAGGAGACCCCTCCTCCAGACTTCCTCCCCCAGGTGCCTCCTCCCCCAAGGCTCCCCGCCAGGTGCTCCTCCCTCAGGTGTTCCGCTCCCAGGTGTCCCCCTGACCCCCTCTAATAGAGGGACGAAACCCTGGTCCCAGAACAGGGCTTTCCCAGCAGGAATTCTTCCCTCAGTTTAGCCTTCCTGGGGAGCCCATGGGTGGAAGGGCGGGGATTCAGGACCTGGTCCAGCCCAGCCTGACCAGTGGGTACTGGCAGCTGGGGAACCCACCTCCCTGGGCCTCCGCTCCTCACCGGATGAAAGCCCCACCCATGCATCTCAGGGTCTCAGGATTGAAGGGCAAGGGCTGGGGCTGGGCTTGGGGAGGAGCTGCAGGCTGTGGCGTCAGTCCTGGCCTCAGGCTCAAAGGCGGGTCCCGTTGCTGTCACCTGCAGTGGCTGAGCTCTAGTTGCAGGCTGGGCAGCTGGGAGTGAATGTGCCCAGGGCTGCACGCATATTTTGTCCCAGGGGTGAGGCCTGCTCCTTCCATTGGACACACACATTTCTTGAAGCAGTGCCAAGCTTTACGAAGGCCTTCCTTCGTAAAGGGGAGCCAACCCTAGTCAGTAGGAGGTCCTGGGTGCAAAGTGGGGTGTGCGGCAGGGGGAGTCACCCCGAGCAGCAGATCAGGCAGGGGCAGCCCCTGGGCACCGGAGCTCAGAGGGATGAGATGCCCAGCCCCAAGGGCCAGGGCCCTGACTCTGCTGCACCCACGTGGGCAGGGCCGGGGAGGGAGGAGGGGAAGGGGAGCTGCTCTCATTCCTCTCAAGTCCTGGCTCTGCTCTCCTGGGCTCATGCGAGCCCCTCCCTGGATTTTCAAAGGCTTCCCAGGACTCTTGGGCCTGGAGGGCTTCAGGAGGATGAGCCCAGCCCCTCCGGGAGGAAGTGATTCTGGGTGATTTTGTTGGAGAAAAGGGCTCTGCTGCTACAAACCAGTTTGAAAACCATGCCCCTCCTCGCAAGTCAGGTCCAGAACCATAGGAAACCATGAGGGTTGTTCCCTCATGTGCCCTGGAGAGGACCCTCCAGGTGTATGCTGCTGCCCTCCCCCGACCCCTCCCCCGCCAGACGATCCTTGCTGAGGGCAGCGATGCCTTTAGAGCACAGAATGTTCTAGCAAAACCAGGAACAAGCAAAGCCACCATCGTCATCTCTGAGATCTCCCTTGGTTCTGAATGAGCAAATCAAGAAACAAGGGATGAGAGGAGTCACTCCAGGAAACAAAGAACAAAGCTCCCCGCGTGCAGAGCACTGCCTCTCCAGGAAATCCCAGCGTCCACTGGAAAGCCAGCAGGGAGGCCTGGAGATGGGGACTCAGCCCACAGCCCTCCTGGGGCTCAGGGCGGTGACCAGCGTCCCCCCACCTGGAGGCAGCGAGATGCAGCCGGTGGCGGCGTCACCCCAACCCGTACGACATGGGCCCCGCCCAGCAGTGCCCAGGGGACTCAGGCCCCGTCAGCCCCGACAGGGACACACGCATGAGTGTGAACTGTGGCCGCACAAGTCACAACTTCAACTATGACATATGTTTCTCTCTCTTTTTGTTTTTAACATTTAAACAAAGAAAGAGCAGATTAATTTTTTTCTTTTCTTTCTTTATTCTTTTTGGTCTTTAAAGTGACAAAAAAGAGGAAAAGGAACACGCTCTTACAAAACAGAGCAAGTTTCTTTTCCTTGTACTGTTGAAGCCCGGTTTCCCAGGGGCCGCCCTTGGCCTCCTCCACACAGCACTGGTCACTCGTAGCAGCATCTGCAGGCCAGGTGCCAGGTGCCCAGCGGGCCCCACGCTCTGGGATGAACTTGGAGTGGGAGACGGTGGGTGGGTCCCCCAGCTCTCAAGTGCACAGAGACCCCGCACCCAAGGGCTGGGGAAGAATCCCACACGTGCAATTGGGTTTTTCTGAAGCCTGCGGGAGACCAAGCTGAGTCTGCGAGACAGCTGCCTCCAGGACACTGCGAGGCAGGGAACAGCTGCCCACACCAGCCGCTGGGCGAGGCCGGGGCGCCAGGCCTGGTTCCTCCATGGGACCCCAGCATGCGGGCAGCAGGTGAGGCCGGGGCGGCAGGCCCAGTTCCTCCATGGAACCCCAGCGCGCGAGGCAGCAGCAGCCAGCAGCCAGCAAGTCACGAGTCCCGACTGCCTCGTGAGCCAGGGCAGCCATGCGCTGAGTGGTGGGAAGAAATACACTCAGCGGGAGGAGCCGCTGGGCTCAGGGCCATCCCCTCCCTGGACACACTGCCGGTCCCCGGGGGGCCTCACACCAGGCCGACCACCGTGCCCAGTGGGCTCTGCACGCAGCCGGCCAGAAGGCTCACAGGGTCCCCGAACAGAGATCGGAAGCTCCAGGACAGCAGGTGCGCCCTCATCGTCGGTGACCTTGGGGGAAAGCAAAAAGGGGCAGAGATTTAACTCAGGGTCGAGTATGGGGGACCAGCCCCTCAAGGTCTGAGCAGCAGGTCAGGGTGCCCCGGAGGGCCTGAGGCTCACCCGGGACCTCCACCGCCCCCCAGCTCCTGCCGGCCCTCCTTCCCTCAGGGCCCACAGCCCGGCTGTGCTGGGAGAGAGTGCAGGGTCTTCCATGCTTGGGGGCTCAGACCACAGCCCTGAAGTCCCGCAGTCCACAGGCCCTACACGCAGGGCCACGGAGAAGCCAGCGGGCCTGGAGCCTTGTGGCCTCTTGGTGGGGGCTGACGACCATGCCTGTGCCGGGCTCATGGTGTGGAAGGACCCCCATACATGACTCCGGGGACCCTCGCCTCGCACTGACGGCCCCGTGGAGACCCGAGCCTGGGGAGGAGCCCCAAGCCCCCTCCACCAGGACACAGCCCCACGCATGGGGATCCCAGGGTGGGAAGGGAGGGCTAGACCCTGAGGGGAAAACCCTTTCCCAGATCTGTGCGGAGCCCCAGGTGTCAGCCCTGCTTCCATCGCCCCCCACCTGAGCCCACGCAGGCCCCGGATGGCCACCTCAGGCAAAAAGACCTGGCGGGGACAGACGATCCCGTCAGCCCCGCAACCCAGGGCCAACCCTGGGCCCTGAAGAGAGCAGCCCCCTAAATCCAACAAACAGAGAGACAGACACTGTCAGCCCCAGTTCTCCACCAGCCGGTGGGTGGAGAGCACAGGGACGGGGAAGGCAGCGGAGCCTGCAGAGCCGAGGGTGCACGGGGCCACGCCAGCCCCGCCACTCCTCCTGTCAGGACAAAGGCGCCCCATGGGCCCTGCCTGACCACAGCAGGGCAGGAGGGACCTGCCCCTGTCGCAGCCCCGCCGAGAAGTCACTGGAGGGACCTGCCCCTGTCCCGGCCCCGCGGAGAGGCCACTGCCACTTCCAGTGCTGCCCTCGTGGAAGCCCTGGGCTGCCATGGGAGAAACTGCAACCGCCCTGAGACCACCATGCCGTGAGGAAGCCCAGCGGCACGCGGGGAGGCCTGGAGGGCACCTGCAGGCGTGTGCCGTGTGAGAGTGTGAGGGTGGATGTGTGTGTGAGCATGAATGTAAGAGGGGATTCTTTCTCCTCACGCTGGGCATTCCTGAGTGACAACACTGTAAACAATTTGAAGACCAAGCACCAAGCCGGGATCAATGCTACAGAGAAGAAAGGGCCGGCAACATCTATAATCCTCTACATGGATGGGCTAAAATCATTAACATAAACACCAAGTCTTGAGTTAGCCAAACATTGTGTGTGTGTGGATGTGTGTGAGTGGATGTGTGTGTGAGTGGATGTGTGTGAGAGTGCATGTGTGTGTGGATATGTGTGTGTGAGTGTGTGAGTGCATGTGTGTGTGAGTGGGTGTGTGAGTGGATGTGTGATTGGATGTGTGTGAGTAAATGTGAGTGGGTGTGTGTGAGTGGATGTGTGTGTATGTGTGTTTGTGTGAATGTGTGTGAGAGTGCGTGTGTGTGACAGTGGATGTCTGGATGTGAGTGGATGTGTGTGAGTGGGTGTGTTTGAGTGAATGTGAGAGTGCGTGTGTGAGTGGATGTGAGTGTGAGAGTGCATGTGTGCGTGTGTAAATGAGTGTGAGTGGATGTGTGTGAGTAAATGAGTGTGAGTGACGTGTGTGACAGTGAGTGGATGTGTGTGAGTGGATATGTGTGTGGGGGGGTGTGTGTGGATGTGTGTGAGTGTGAGTGGATATGTGTGTGAGAGTGGATGTGAATGTGTGAGCGGGTGTGTGTGTGAGTGGATGTGTGTGAGTGTGAGTGGGTGTGTGTGTGAGAGTGGATGTGGATGTGTGGCAGTGAACAGGAGAGATCTCAGCCTCTTCATCTTCCATAGAAAAAGCCCTTAACTAACGTCTAAATTGAAAACTTAAGGATCAAGCAGCAGCAGCAGTACATCGTCTAGAAATACGAAGGTGAATTCTTGTCATTACATATTGCATGTGACCACTGGACTTGTAAAAATTGTACATAGTAAGATTGACACAAACACAAATTAAAGAGAAGCTGCATTTTGGACCATCTCCCATTCACGTCCCAGGGGGAGCAGGAGGCTCTCGGAGGCCCCGCTGACACAGTCCCCAGCCCAACGCCAGTTGAGACCTGCCGGGGGTACCAACAGTGACTCCTAGACAGAGCCATGCGTCAGTGCCTCCACACCACGAGGCTTCACTTTCTCAGTCCTGGAATGACTTCCTCCGACCCCGCAGATTCTGTGCGGGAAGCTGAACAGTCCCTGTGAGGAATGTTTGCGAGGATTAGAGCCGGTCACACAAACGCATTCCTACAAATACCATCTTCCATTTCTCAGAAGGAAGAGGCAGCTGTAACAAGGCAAACTGAGCCACCCACTCCACGGCTGACAGCGAGGTAGAGGCCGACCCCGGAATCGCAGCAGCTCCACCTATGCATCCTCCAGCCCCTGGGGTCCCTCCCAAACTTCTAGGGAGTCACCAGGGACTGCGTGCAAGATGGGTCAGGAGGAGGGCTGTTTGGGGGATCCGCAGAGGCCACAGCTGGTGCTGTGGCACAAGTGGGGTCCCTGCCATGCCTGGAACCTGCTTCGTCCATCCCTTCTAATGCAGCATTTTAGGATTCGAAAGAGGCTCAAATCAAAGGCAACCACACTTCCCTGCAAAGAAACACACAGCCCCAGGAGGTCATTAAAACCATCCAAGTCCTTCTCCATCAACAACAGCATGACCTTTGGAAATGTCGGTAAACATCCATCAGCCACTATCCTCATTAGAAACATGTGTAACGGGCCTTGGGAGGAGACAGCCTGGACGGGCCCTTCGTCCCGAACAGCAGCAGTGGCCTTCGCAGGAGCCTTCCCTCTCCCGGCAGCAGAGACACAGACTCCAAGGCTGGAGCAGCACTGGCCGCTCCTCACGTCTCTCCTACCTTTCTAGATGACCCTCGCTCATGGAGCTGAGCTCAGCTGCTCTGCGTCACTGAGGCCTCCAGGACATGAGGTGTTCTCAGGAACCTGGAGGCCTTGGGGCCCCACCTGCCTGGGAGCCCTCAGAGCCCCCACCGGGACACGGGGTCGGAGTCTCGTGCTCACCTACCTCTCTCCCACCCCACTGTCTCTGAGGCCCCAAGGCACCAGCACCTCCCTGCCTGGGCCACACCTTCTCCATGGTGAGAAAGCTGGTGGCTCACACCCTCCCCACAGCTTGTTGGAGAAAAGACTGGGACAGCCAGAGTCCCCCCAGGGAGTTGGGTGTGTCCCACAGCTCTGCACATCACAAGGAGGCGAGGGGCGGGGAGGAGAAGCCGGCGTGGGGCCTGCTTAGGCTGGAAGCCCGGAAGGACGATGGGGCCCTGCCCAGATGCGGCCACAGGAAGGCCGGGGAGACCAGGACGGGAGTGGACCCAGGGCTGCGGAGGTGCCACAGAATCCTAACACAGTGGGTTTTAAAAAAACGAGGAGTCTCCAAAAATAGAAAGTGAATGAAGATGCTTAAGTGTGTTCTGAGGTCATGACTTTGCCACAGAGAGAGGGATGTGACACATACCCCAAAGGGCCAGACCCCAGGACAAAAAGACGGGCAGGGCGAGCTCAGGCGTTCACTGCCACCACCCACCGGGACGCCCGCGGGCACCCTCCTTGGTGGGAGGTGCTAGGGTCCTTTTCTTCCGAAACTATCATACTGCATCAGAATAGTATTACATATATTATTTTCAGTAATATGTGACATTATGTTGTTATATTTTAAATATTTTACACACCTATATTACATGTTGATATAGATATATTAACCTTTACATCTATAAAATTGATCATGTTAACATTAAACGTCAAGATTTCCGGCATCAGACACAAAAGTGAATCCTAGCTGTGTTGACTGCAAAGGTTTAGAAACAGCAGCGGCCCGAGGGGCAGAAAGCAGGAAGCAGAGCTCCCAGGGACGTGGCTGCCTCAGGCCTGAGCCAGAAAACGCACAGTGAGCCCAGATGACGTGGCACGGCGGGGGCAAAGATGCCAGCAGGCTGCTGTGGTCACCACAGGACACTGGCGCTGGCCTCCGCCAGCTGACCCAAGATGGCACCGTCTGAGCATGGAAAGAATAGCACTTGTGTGGATCGAACCCAACTAGATATGTTAGCAAACATGTGCGCTTTCACGAGACACACACGCTCAGGAGGGACTCCTCGGCCACGCTGGAAGGAGCTGGGGAACCAGCCCCCACATCTACCCTGGCCTCCATGAGAATTCTCTGCAAGCGGGGGGTGGCCGCAAGTCTTGGTGCAGTGCCACTGAAAGCTGGTAAGGAAAGAGGCTTTTCTGCAAGAATTCCAGTGAGTAAATGAAGACCAGGGCCAGCACCTCGTAATCCCTCCTGAAAGAGCAAATCTTAAAGTGATCACCAACGGTAGGCGGAGCCCCAGGGTGAAAACCTGGGTGAACTTGATCGGGAACGGATTAGGCCAACAACCCCAAGCCCACAACCAACCCCCGGGTCTCCAGGAGAGAACAGCCTCCTGCCGGGCAGGAGCTCCCACGGCCCCTGAAGGGGTCCTGGTAAGAGAGTGAGCCCCATGGAGTGCAGGAAGTCCCACCCTCCACTCCCAATCCTCTGACATGGGGCACATGCCCTGTCCAGGGCATTGAAGCCCGGTGGGGTCAGGGGCAAGGATTTGGAGCTGAAGGTGAGACCCAGGAAGCAAGTAGGAGGTCTGGCAACAGGTCCGCATAGTATTAGGGCATCTCACCAGAGGTGGGCACAACGCTTGGCTTTGAAGGCATGGGTGAGCAGGGGCCTCCAGCAGTGTCCCCCCACACTGGGAAAGTCCCCCATGTCCCAGGCATCTGACCCCCTGAGAAGCAACTCCAAACACCCCAGCACCTGCCCGCCTGCCCCACCAACATGGCCTCAATGCCCAAGCTGCTGGCTGGGAGGAAGCGGCAAGGACCGGCTGCCCGGCTGCTGGGAGCCAGGAGGTAGGGCGGGGCCTGAGCCCCTGCAGCAGGCTCAGAATTACAGGCCTCTGTTTCCTTCTGGAACAAAATAATTACAACCTTCACGTGGGACCTGAATTCCCTGAAAGCAACGCAGGGAAGTCAGCTGAGAAACCCGTCCTCAGAAGCAGAAGAGCGTTTTTATTTAGAGTTGGAGGAAGAGAAAAGCAAGTTTTGTGCAGGAAGCTCAAGGACGCTGTTCTAAAAGGAAAACATCAATCAGAAAAGCCGAAGCCTGGAGACGGCGGCGTCGCTGCTTCTGGCCCGGAGACTCCAGTGAGCACCACACTCTCCCAAGTCCCGGCAGCGGCTCCTGCCGACTCAGCACTCCAGTGCCGGGCAGCTTCCTGATTATTATCTTTATTTCCCAGGAGAAATCAACATTATGAAGCTGAAGGTCGGAAGCGGCCCATGCTGCCCCCATGGCCTGTGCACAGCGGACCTTTCTGAAGCAGTGGGTCCCTCCCTTGCCCCACGGGCCCCTGGGCTGAAGCCCATCTCCACCCCTGCTTCCTGGGGCCTTCCCTTCTGTCGGACATGAGGCTCGGGTGGACCCTGGGCTGTGCCCGCGCTGCCCACACAACCGCTGGGGATGTGGAGTGAATGAGACCGGGTGCTCCTCGTCCTGGGAGCCTGGGAATGGCACCTTCTGCCACATCGTGTTTGCGTTGTGATTAAAGGGTTTCCAGATGAGCGGCCCCTCCCGCGCTATCTACGGGTCCCCAGATGCCACCAGGGTACTTCGAAGAGGCAGCGGCCTTGAGCCCATGGAGGCAGAGCCTGGGGCGACGTGGTCATGAGAGGGGGAAGCCTGGACCCCCAGGTCTGTGGAGGCAAGAGGGATTCTTGTCTGGAGCTGAAGGCGCACAGCCCTGCTCGCCTTGACTCAAGCTCCTGACCCCCAGAGGCGTGGGAATAAACGCCTGTGGTCTCAGAGCCCCAGTGTGTGGAGGTTTGTTACAGCAGCTACAGGAAACTCACAGAAGACAAGGACGACCCCAGGAACACTGACCGTCCAGTGGCGCAGAAACCCCGTGCTCCCAACTGCTGACGGAGGCTGTGCTGGGTACGCCCCCAAAAGTCCCCTGCCAGGGCAGGAGGGGAAAGGGTTGGGCCCCTGGGGCCACAGGAGGCTGGACCCCTCCAGCCTGCACTGTCTGGAAGCTGTGAAATCTCCCCCTTGCCCAAGAGGCCGGGACACCAGGAGAGCATTGAGTCCCCACTTCAGGGAGGTGCCCAGCTTCCAGTCCGCACGTCGGTGGAGCACGGCCTGCCCTGGCCACGACAGGGAAGCACAGGAGGTGCCTGTGCAGGACCAAGTGCCCCGTCGGCCCTCACAGCTCCCAGGACCAGGTGCCCCGTTGGCCCTCACGGCTCCCAGGACCAGGTGTCCCCATTGGCCCTCATGGCTCCCAAAACACCAGGCAGCCCGCCGCCCCTCTGGGCACGCCCCCCTCCCCTGCAGTGGTGCTGAGGTGCAGGACGGGCAAGGTCCCGAGCCCCTCAGGTCCTCCCCACACGGCTGGCCAGTGCCACCCACTCTCCGCCACCCT
The DNA here is from genome assembly GCF_000001405.40 of Homo sapiens. Lineage (NCBI taxonomy): Eukaryota > Metazoa > Chordata > Mammalia > Primates > Hominidae > Homo > Homo sapiens. The sequence goes on along the minus strand of NC_000010.11, from coordinate 132,410,469 downwards.
CCTTCCTGCTCCCGCACAGTGCACACATCCAGTCACCTGTCATCTCCACCTGCCTCTGCTGCTCCAAAGCCTCTGCCTCAAGCAGCCAGTCTGTGGAGCTCCCCGCCAAGCATTGTCCTGGCCCAGGTCCCCCCCGATGAATACGGATCCTTGCCCCCAGCCCTCTGCCTGACCCGCCTCTGAGCTTTCCCCTGAGATGCCTCCAGCCAGGCCTCAGGCACCTCCCGAGAACTGGAGCCACCCCTGAGGATGCGGGGCACAGACCGTGGCTCCCCTAGTTCCAGGAGCGACACCTGCACACCGCCCAGCCTCCCCGTCCCCCGTCACTCTCCCTGTCCTCACAGCTGGAGGTCACTGCTTTTATTTGTAAAGCTATCAGATTTTTTTAAAGTTTCATTTTATTTTTAACTGACAAATAATAACAAGACCATCTCACTCCTCTGTCTGTAATTCTCCAACAGCACCCAGAGTCTGTGCCTTGGCCCACCGGGCCCCCTGACCACCTCCGCAACCCCTGGAACATGCCCTGCCCTCCTCCTGCCTAGAACACTTGCCCCCACCCTCACCCCATCAGCTCCTGATTAGCTCACCATTCAGATCCTGGCTCCTGCCACCTCCTCCAGGAAGCCTTCCCGGATCCCAGTCCAGGCCAGGTTTCTCGCTGGATGCTCTGCTTCAAGCCCCTCTTCCCTTCCTTCTCAGCAGTTCCTGTGTGTGATTATGCACTAATTTGGGAACTGGTGATTCACAGCCCTCCCCATTTGGCCCCCTTCTAGCCTGGGCCCAGTGGAGTGCTTGGCCCTCAGTAGAGGTGTGGGTGGGTGGGTGGGTGGGTGGGTGGTGAGGGAGAGACCAGGGGAGCAGAGAGAGGACCTTGAGCCTGGACAGGGGCAGGACCCCAGCCCGAGGCCCTGGGGCTCACCCTGGGGAGGAGCTGCCTTCCCCTCTCAGGCTCGGTGGGCCCAGGCGGTGGTGGGGGTGTGGGTGGCATTGCCTTCTCTGGGTCCCCATTCCCAGCTGCAGGACAAGCCTGGCCAGGCAGCTCCTGCTGGGCCCCTGACCCTGCATGTCCGGTGCCTGCACCTGAAGCAGGAGGCTGCTCCCAGGCACAGTAACCCCAGAGCCTGGTCTCCACCACCTGCCCCCGCCCCGGACCTCAGCTCTAATCCCATGGGGTCCCTGTGGGTGTAGGAGAAGTCCCAGGGAACGGCCTCTCCTGCCAGCCTGAGAGGGCACAGTGGTCACCTCCAAGGGCAGCGGCCACAGGCCATTCACAGGCCCTGGAGCCGGCCGTGACCACCGGGGTGGAGTGCGGCTCACTCAGAGGCGGGACCTGTTGTTACCCTGGGAGCGGTGAACAAACAGGCTCAGAGGTGTTGGCTCCCTGAGACCGCAACAGCAGGTGACCGGCTGGGACAAGGCCCAACGGCCTCTATTCCTGCACAGGAGGCCAGCCCAGCCTCGGCGCACCTCCATCAGGACCTCACACGGAGGGGTGCCCAAGTGTGTCACAGCCATGCGTCCTGGCGCGGCCCCTGCTGAGGCCGATGTGCCCGTCCCTTGTGCCAGCCAGGCTGCCTCTTGGCACTGCCGGCCACAGGCCCAATGCCCTGGCACCCTGTGGTCTGTGGGGCATCCGCCTACCCCTGAGCAGGGCCTCCAGCCCCGCAGCAAGCTGAGAGAGAGTGAGGGGTCTCTCATGGGTAGATGCTGGGCTCAGTGTCCCTGCAACGGAGCCGATCTCGTGGTGCCTGCGGTGACTGCTCCTTGACAAGTGCCTCAGGCAGCAGACACCCACAAACCTCAGGAAGCTTCTGACACCGCCCAGCCATCCCCGTCCTCATCCTCGGGCAGCTGCAGGAGCGGCTGGGGCCAGGCCAGGGTGGCCGGTGGGCGGGAGCTGGGAGGACGACCTTCCCCGGAAGGCCTCCCTGCCCGAGCTCCAGCCCCCACACCAGCCTCCTCCTCCCGCCCCTCCCTCGGGCATGGCCAGCAGCGCCCCACACCTCACTCAGCCTCTGCTCAGAGAGGCGCCTTCACGATGGTGGTGGCGGGTCCCCCTTCCCAGGAAAGGCAGGTACCCCCGCATTTCCCCTACAAAGAGCAGACCAGAGGTGCGCTGCTGACACTTCAAAGCAAACGTGTCCCTCAAGGACCACCAACCCCACAGAGGGCGGGAGATCCCAGGCCCCACGAGACACCAGCTCTGATCACACTGAGCACTTGGTCTTTAGCCCTCAGGAAATAAGACCAAAAAGCCAACCAGGCACACACCACTCTGCGCTTTGGTGCTGAAAGGATCCGGCACCCCCACTCCCAGAGCAGGGGGCTGGTCCCGGCGCAGGCCCCGTGTGCAGGCACTGCCCCCCGTGGAGGCAGGCAAACCCGTCTGGTGAGATTCTTCCTCCACTTCCGGATAAACACAGCCGGCCCTGAGCCTGCAAGACTGTGTCCTCCCGTCCTCCCTCCCGGCTGGGCACTCCCTGCCAGCCAAGGCCTCAGGCCTCACTTGGAGACGTCCTGCGTGGGGGGATGTCATGCCTCGCAAATGCCTGAGTCCAGAACTCGGGGAGGGCCCCCCAGGACAGCAGACGGGAGTCCTCTGACCCTCCTCCTACCCCTCAGAAGATGGTGCCCTGGCTTGAGACACTCCCCAGACTCAAGCTGAGAGACGGCACCCACACCCACTCGCCAACAAGGCACCTGCCCCACGCCTGCCCCAAGGCCCCAGAACTGATCAGAAAAGGGCCTGGTTCCTGGGGCGGGGGGAGCAGCCAGGTTTGTGCCTGGCCTCAGGAGAGCAAGGCAGATGCAGCCGGGTGGCTGGAGGGAGGGGGTGAGGCCAGGCCAGAGCCTGGGCAGCCAGGCAGCCTGGGGACCCTGGGGACCCTGGCTCAACCACAGTGGTCTCTCATCACTGCTTCCGCCGGAACCCCAATACGCAGGGTGCAGCAGTGGAGGGGCACCAGGCGCTCCAGTCCCCGCCCCCAACAAAGGCCCGAGGACGGTCACCTGGGAAACTCTAAGGCCTCTGGGCAGGTGGCCAGGGAAGACAAGGTCACCAGACGTCACCAAGGCCTAGGCGGAGCCCTGCCCCTGCCCTCTGCGTACAGCCCCTGGCCCTGGAATCTCTGCATCCATGGGGTGGTTAGGCCATGGAGCCAGGAAGAAGAGCACAGAGGGCCACCAGCTGCCCCCACCCAGAAAGGACTGCTCCCTGGCCTGCCTTCTCCTGCTGGGAAGACAAGAGGGGCATCTAGGAGGTGCTGAGAAGGCCTCTGGAGCTGGGAGAGTGGCCTTCAGGAGCTCAGGGCAGAAAACAGCCCCTCGGCAGGCTCCGGATGCCCCACGTGGTGATTACAGGGGCATGGGTGGTGCCCCCAGCCCCACAAGGTGACACCCCCACACCTCCACACAGCGTAGTGCCCCCCAGGCACAGAGAATCCACACAAGGCCTGGCTGGAGATTCTAGAAAGTGCTCGTAGTAGAGGCCGACAGTGAGACGCCGTCCCCGGGAACAGGCCCCCACACCATGTCCCAGGTCCCGGGCGCCTGGCCACGCACACAGCCTGCTGACGACGGAGTGCGCACTGACCCAGGAGGAAGATTTGGGGGGTCACAGGGGGCAGGGCTGGGCCAGTCTGGGGAGTTGGGGTGGGGGCTTCATCTGAGGGTGGGAAGCTCACCTCGCCCTCCCTCCTTTAATGTCCTGGGATGGCCTATCCGCGTGCAGGAGGAGGGAGATGCCCGCTCTGATCTTTGGAAAGAGCAGTGAGAGTTTGTTCCCTGAGTGAGTAACGCAAGACAGGGCCTCAGCCTGGGCTCTCCCCTCCCCAGGATCCGTCAAACCACATCCCTGACTCCAAACAACGACTGAGAGCATGAGAAGCTCCCTTCCGGCCTTTGAAAAATGGCTGCCAAACACAAACTCGCTGTGTGCTTCCAACAAGCACCAGCGGTGGCTGGCCTCCTTGCAGTGCGCCTCTTGTGTGAATCAGAAGCGCAGATGGCATCACCAGTGAGGGCAACCATTTTCCAGACGGCTGGGGCCCCAAGCAAGCCAGCTGAGGGGCACAGGCGGCGGCTCCCTGGGCCTCAGGGCCCGGAGCAGAGGCATGGCCTGGACACAGGTGTGAGCTTGGGCCGCTGGGGGGAAGGAGGCTGCCGCTGGCACACTCACCTGGTCAGGGAACCAGTTACGTTTCAAACTGGGTTAAGAGCTCCCTGATTTCCGGGGCCACGTGTCTTGCGGCATTTGCAGCCTCGGTTATAGCTTTCCGATACATCCCCTTCTTCTTACGATTAAATCTCAGTTTGAAAAATTCAGAGAAAGGGGAGAGTTTTGAAATAGACAAGAACGACGTAGTCGGAGAACCAAACCACGAGACCTTCGCTTCTCGCCAAGACGGCTCTCCGTCCTCCTTCTGGCCGAGACTGATGTCAAGAACACGCGCCGGCCACCAAGGAAAACCATGGATCTTACCCCAGACGATGTCCCCCACGGCCACAGTCCTGCCGTCCTCCGTGATGCACTCCGACACGCTCTGTGTGTGCAGCCTGACCGTCAGGGGCGGCACCGTTTGGCGAGCCTCTCTGGACACCGAGGGCGCTGACGCGCCGTGGCCAGGCGAGAGGTCACCCGTGTCTGCCGGCGTCCCTTCCGAGCCGGACGATCTGGCCTCGTCCAGGCTGTCGCTGCTGCACGCCGACTCACTGGCACAGTCCGCTCTCCCCTCAGGGCAGCTGACGAGAAAAGCCAAGCCCTCGCGTCCCTGTGGACCCTGGGGACAGCTCTTGAAGTCATCGTCCTCACCCGAACTTCCAGAAGACAAGTCCGCCAGCCCACCGGCAGGGCCGTCCGCACAGGGCGCCGGCGAGCTGTCCCGCAGGTACCCGTTCAGCTCCCCCACCAGCTCGGCCCGGTACACGGGCTCGTGCTCGCTGTCCCCCAGACGGTGGGGCTTCAGGCGGATCTTAGGGGGCGGCAGGTCCGCGCCGGCCGGCACAGGCCGTGTCAGTTTCAACTTGGGGATGGAGGCCGAGGGCGCGCAGGACGGCCGGTCCCGGGACTCTCTGTCCAGCACCTCGGGGTCCTGGCTGCCGTCGTCCTGCGGGGCCTGCTGGGGACGGAAGGGCTCCAGAGAGCCGTGCACGCGGGAGGGGATCTTGACCACCTCTCCCTTGCCCTGGGGCGTGCTGTAGGAGATCTTGATGACCGGGCTCCGCGGGACCTGCTCTGCCGGGGCCCTGTCCTCCTCGCGCCTCTCCCTCTTGCTCCTCCTGGCGGTGGCCGCAGCCGTGGGCTCGCCGTTCTCCGGCTCCTCCGGCTTGCGGAGCTCCCTGTCCGGGCCGCTGCCCAGCCTCCTGCGGGCCCTGGGCGCGGCTGGGGGTCCGGGGCTGGCCTCCGGGGGGCTCAGCGTGCTCTTGCACTTCTCACAGAGCACCTGGCGCGGCCGCAGGCGGATGGTGCTGAGGATGAGGCGCCCCGGGTCGCGGTTGCGGGACAGACGCCGCCGCGTGCGCTTGATGGTCCTGGGCGGCGGCTGGGGCACCCACAGCTTGTACGTGTCCCGGAGCCACAGCGGGTGAGGGAAGGGGGCGCCTTCGAAGTAGGGAGGGTACGGGGGCAGGCTTCCGGCGGGCAGCGGCGGCACGAGGGGCGGGGGTGGCTCGGGGCGGGTGGTCTCGGGGGGCTGAACCCCGCGGGCAGGAGGGGGGGAGCTGGACCCCAGCTGCATCACCTCTGCATCCCCCTCCTCGGGAGCCCGGCCATGGCTGTCGTTGACAGGGGACTCATCGACCTGGGGCAGCGGAGCCAACGGGGGTAGGCCAAAGAGGCCGGACCTGGCAATGGAGAGAGAGAAACCACAGTGAGAAGGGACCCTGGCACATCTGCCACCCGCACCAGCCCCCAGAGCCAAGGCCCCCGACCCATGCTCCGGCAGGTCTGGGCAGCGAGCCATGCCCTGAGTCCAGGGCTGTATTTCAGGACGGTAAACCAATGCCCATGCTCCCTACGTATGTCCTGGGTTGGACACAGCAGGGCAAGACATGTGCCTTCCAAAGCCAAGCAGCATATGGCCGGGAGGTCAGCTGCTTCCCTGGCCAGAGACAGGCCCAGAGGCTCCGAATCTCAGTCCATGGCCCCAGGGGACATGTGGACCCCAGCAGGAATGCTCCCAGGAGGCCTGACCTGGCCCGGGGAGGGGTCTGGCTGCTTGTGACCCATGGCCCTGGACCCCAAAACTCAGGCTCCTTGCTCACAGGCTCAGCCGTTCCCTCCTCTCCGAGGGGCTGGGGGACTCAGGGAAGACAACCCCTAGGGCCAGGCAACGCTTCAACCCCCAAAGCAAGCCCCTGGAGAAAGCTCCCTGCAGGAGCCCAGAAGAATGCCGTCCTGCAGGAGCCCTGGAGAATGCCGTCCTGCAGGAGCCCTGGAGAATGCCGTCCTGCAGGAGCCCTGGAGAATGCCGTCCTACGGGAGCAGGGTTCCAGGTGCATGACGTGTGTCTGGGGTGGGGCTGCGCGTGGCCCGGGGCTGAGCCCTCTGGAGATGGCCCAGATGCTTTCAGTGGCCCCGAGAGAGCCCTCATCCCCATCTGCCCACCTGGCACCCTCAGGTCCTGCCCTGCTGGGCCACACGAGCTGCAGGGGAAGGGGCACAGGGGGCAGGAGCAGCCACTGCTGGGGGAGCCACAATTAAGGCCCCGCGGCTGCCACAGCCGGGACACCAATCCCAGTTGTAAAGGCCTTCTCATCCTGGGACTCGCTGGGCCGGGCAGCCTGCGCTTAACGGCTAGTGCCCAGCACTGTGCGTGGCTTTGGGGGATTTGTCCTCAGAAGCAGCTCACGTCCTAGAGTGCAGGCCACCTCGCTGCACGGGCACCTGGCTGCCCCATCATTCTCGAGGCCCAAGTGCAGCCAATGTCCCCGAGCCCTGTCCCCTGTTGGCCTCATCCCGCCCAACAAGCTGCTGTGAGCGCGTCAGGAAAACAGTTCTGCGAACGCTGATGTTACCACAGACCATGGAAAACGGGTCCACAGAATCCACGTTTCCACAGGGAACACGCGTAACTGGTAACAAACCAGATGCAATTTTCAAGACCGCTCTAGCTAAACCAGAGAAAAAAGAGAGGGAGATGGAGAGAAAGAGACAGAAAAGCAACACAGCATTGCGACTCGCCGGGGAGGGCACAGCAGTGGCCTTGGGGCCTGTGAGGGGATGAACACGGGGCGGGGGGTTCTGCTCTGTGGTGGGTGGGGGTGGTCAGAGTGAGCGCCACCCGCCCCATTCTCCTCTGGCCAGGCACCGCTGTGGGGCCTGCAGCCACGGGCTAGCAACGGCAGGAGCATCTCTGGAGTGCGGGCTGGGCCCCCTGTGCAAATGGTCTCACTGAGCCCTGCAGCAGCCGTGGGAAGCGGGCTGCCTTCAACTCTGATGGGCTAAGACTTTCGCGAGAAAGGGAGGCCAGTCCCGGGCGGTGCCCTCACCAGTCCCAGCCAGGTGCTGGCGCCAGGACCGAGGAGCACAGACCCCATGCACCCCGGGGGCCAGCGGGCCACACCTGGCCGCTCCAGCGTTTGTGAAGAAAGTTTTACTAGCACACAGCACAGCCCCCAGGTTCCTTTATACGCTGTCCGTGAGCCAGGCCACAGTGGGGCCACCCAAGCCGGCGACTTTCACTTACAGAAAAGGTTTGCCAGAGTTAAGCTGTGGAAGATGAGCCTTTGCCCAAAACCAGCCCCCACCCCCGCCCAGGGTTGCAGGCTGATGTCTCCAAGTCCCCTGGCCTCATAGCCAGAACTGGCCTCCGTACCCAAATCAGCAGCCAGTTCATCATCTTCCATGAGCACCTTGTGAGCATTTAATACAGGCTGAGCATTCTGAGAACCAACTTCGTGTGCTCACACAGAAGCACGTCCATGTGCATGCACACTCCTCACGCTGGTGCACACGCCCGCTGGTGCACGCAGGCACCCTGAGCTTCTGGGCCAGCATGCTTACGGCCCCTTGCTGTTGGGGGAGCCAGGAACCCCTCCATAGGACCCAATGAAAGGGCCTCAAATGAGGGCAAATGAGGGGATGTTGGCAAGGAGAAGGCCTCCCATGGAGCAGAAGCATCCCTGCCAGAGGACGGTGGCTACGACAGCCAGAGGGAGGGGGCAACCCCACTAGGGCTGGGGAACATGGCACCCTGACCACTCGGGGTTGTGGACTGGGCTGAAGGTGCCAGGACCCTGAGGAGGCCCCACAAACGGAGCCAGCCCCATCCCTTGCCCCAGGATCTTCAGCCACAGGCCAGGGGTTAGTCCCTTCCCAGGCAGATCAAATGGGTGGGGGGCAGCCTGAGCTTTGCCATCCCCTTTGGGACCCTGAGTCACACCTGCATCAGTGCCCAGGGACTGGACAAGCCAGCCCTACAAAAACGGCCGGTGACCCTGGCACGTCAGGCAGCCATACTTCCTTCCTGGAGCTGCCGCCCTGCCCAGGCCGCACCCCAGCGCACTGGTGGGTAAACAGGGTGGGAACAGAACAGGGTGGGAACAGCTCACTCCGCAGGCTGGGACGGGTAGGGGAACCCAGCCCTAGGGATCTTGCAAAGCCAACAGCAGAGCCCCCAGGCTGCTGGGACCTCGGCTCCTGCCCTCCTTGAGCAACCCCATGAGATACAGATCACAGTCTTCCCATTTCGCAGATTGGCCAGTGAGGCCGAGCGAGACCAGGGAACGTGCCTCCAGGCTGAGTGGGTGGGTACCCACGGGGGTCTCCAGGCACGGGGACGGCGCTGGCACAGGGAGAACCTCAGTGGCTTATCCTGGACCCTGGGACGTGAAGAGTGGTCCTTCTGGAAGTGCACAGGTGCAGTGTAGTTCCCCACACACCCACCCCCTAGGGACAGGGGCCCCACTGGCCTGGCTGTGACCCACAGGTAACACCGAGCCTTGGCAGGTGGGAAGATGGAGTGGCCCTGGAGCTAGATGGGCCTGCTGGGTCCAGGCTGCCCTTTTAGAGCCATCCGCTGGGCCTTGCCTGTGGGGAAGGGAAGGACATGTGGGGGCCCCATGGGGGCCCTGCCTGTGGGGAAGAGGACATGCGAGGGGCCCCTTGAAATAAGCCTCACGCGACATCCTTGCGAGCTCAGGGACAGAACAAATAACCTTTGCTTTGAGAAAGGGCTAGGGAAACTGAGGCAGGGGTGAGACGCCCTGGAGTCTCTAATTGCAGAACGGACCAGACCCCAAAGCAAAAAGTACGCCAGTGCCACTCCCAATGGCACAGCAGTGTCCTGGCAAGGACACGGGGGCCCTGGAGACCAGGCCTGAGGTCCTCAGCCAGACACAAGTGGCCGAGCCTTAACTCAGCCGTGGCGGCCCTGGGGCCTCGCCTGGATGTCAGGCTCAGCCAAACTCCCAGAAAGGCCCAGGCCTGAGGTCTGCCCGGGACCATGGCCGGGAGGAGCACAGCCCTGGCTGCCTGCCCAAGCCCCCTGCACTCGCTGGCAGCGCCTCCCCACGGCTTCCCCATTCTACAGACCAGGGCCATGAGATGGCAGATGCCCACATGGCAGCCCCCTGCCTGGCCTCCCGGGCCCACATTCACCCTGGACCTTCCTTCCTCACTCTCTGATCAGGAAAGGACACCCTGTTGTGGCCTAAAGAGGTAAAGAAAATGCGGCTCCTGGAACAGGAACAGGCAGCCTCAGCGCAGCGCAGGACAGCCTGAGTCTGGCACCCAAGGCCTCGGCTATGCTCCAGTGTCAGTCTAGAAAGCGTCTGCAGTCTCCCTGTAGCCCTGCAGACACCCACAGCAGGACAGCATGCGGGAAAAGGGCGGGCAGGTCAGGCCTGCTGGGGGCAGTGGGGTCTCCCCAGGCCAACTCTCTCAGGGGTTAGGGAAAAGCAGGCTGGCAGGAGAAGCCACAGGCTAGACACCAGGGGAGCGCCTCCTCCAAGGCCCCACAAGGGGAGCCTGCCTCACCCTGTGGGCACCTGCCCCAGGATCTCCAGGGGAGAGCAGGTGGGGCCAGGTGGCCACGGCCGGCCCCCTGTGTCCTGGACTCAAGGGTTTATGAGCCGTCAGCATAGTCCCTCTCTAAGCCCTGTGGGGCTCCCCAAGTAGCACAAGGCCAGGCCCCCACCCCACACCCTCCTTACCCACTCACTCAGATGCCATCCCCTCGAGACGCTCCGAAGACCAGCCATGCTAGCCAGGCCTCCTGGTGCCCTGGCCTTCAATGCACTAGGCCTGTGTCCCTCTCACTCCCCAAGGGCAGGGGGCACAGCCTATCACCACTGCAGCCCTGGCCCAGGTGCTCCCCCGCTTGGTTGTTGAGTGAATCATCCCAAGAGCAGCCCCCAGCAGTGCAGCCTCCACCTGGACAGGTGAGCCCAGGACAGAGCTCAGGGTGCCCTTCTGCCGGGACAGGCAGTGTCTGGGGTTCTCAGTGTGGGCCAGGGTGTCTGGCCTAGGGTGTGGTTCACAGAGGACAGTCCCCTGACCTTTCCAGCAGTCTGTGTCTGGAACCATAGGCAACCCACAACTGGGGGAGGCCGATAAATACCAGCTCAGAGATGGAGCCAGGAGGCTCTGGTGGGGCAGGCCAGCCCTTCCGCACTCGGAGCCTCGTCTGTCCTCAGGCCACCCCTCAGCCAGGGCCACCCCACCCAAGATCCTCAACCAGAAGCATGTCCCCAAATCACCCACAAAACAACGCAGGTCAGGACAAGGCTTGTGTCATCGATGCTCTGGAAGGAACCACCACCACATTGGCCCAGACTGGGGGAAGATCACTGGAGGCCGCCTGCTCCGGGCTCAGCCCACTTCCTGGCACACAGTAGGTGTGCAGTGAACTCACCCAGATGTACACGCAGGCTGACACTCAAGAGAATCTTGCTTCAGATCACATGGCCCTTGTGGCACAAGCCAGGCAATTCCACCCACCTGCCAAGCCCCTCTCCCCTCTGCTTTGCAAGCAAGGGAGAGAATGCCATCTCCCAAACCGGCCGACAACAAACGCTGGCTGCTGGGCCCACCTCAGCCCTGCATCCCGGCGCCTGTGTGAGCGGGGCCGCCATTCCCGTGGGATTGCTCTGAACAGGTGCCTGGCTGCCCGCCGCCTGCGCTCAACAGCGCCGGTTGTGCTGGGACCCACAGGTTCCCTGAGGTGGGCGGACACCTGTCATAGGGCTCCCAGCAGCTCTTCCCTGTGAGTCAGCACCCACACTTGGGGACTGGGCCTCCACTGTCACATGCAGGGGATAAGGGCGGGCACCACGCCCTGATGAGAAACTGGCACCTGGGGAAGGCAGGTCAGCACCCTGCGGTCCGAGGCAGGGCTGGAAACAGGAGCCCTGGGACTCGGAATACAAGGGCAGAGAACCGGCTGGAGACTCAGGCTCAGGGGAGATGAGGGAGGGGGCGGGGGTCCTTCCAGGACAAGCCTCAGGACTGGGGCTGGGGGAGAGGAGAACAGCCGGACAGACTCAGGCACAGGGGAGATGAGGGAGGGGGCAGGGGTCCTTCCAGGACAAGCCTCAGGACTGGGGGTCGGGGAGCCTGCTCTACCTTCAGATTCCCCACAAGGACAAGGGGGCCAGCCCAAGGCAGCAAGGTTGGCTGCTAAGTGGCTGTGCCCGCAGAGGCCCAGCGCCCGGCTCCGTGGGCGGCTCTGGTTACAGCTGAACGTGGCAGGCAGGGTTGACACCCATGCATCCTACAGCTGCCAGTTCCCACGCCGGGGGTCCCATCGGGCCTGGTTTTTTCCATGAAGGGGAGGCGGTGGTGTAGATTTGCAAACCAGGTTAGCCATGGGCCTCAGGGAGGAGAGCCCGAGGCCACTGCAGATATTCTCAGCCTCCCTTGTCCCGAGTCAAGGAACCTGGGAAATGGGGCAACCCACTGCCGCTCGTGCCCCTCTTCAGGGAGGAAAGGCCAGGCAAGGTGGTGCAGGTCTGGCAGGGGTGCGGCCCTGCTGACCAGGACCAAGCCCAACCCTGCCCGCCAGAGGAAGCTGAGGCCGATGGTGGAGGGGATGGCAGCTCCCAGGTGGCGATTCTCACCCCCCGAGTGTCCCTCCATCCTGCCCGTGCACTCCCAGCGGTAGCCCACACGGAGCGGGCAGGAACCACACGGGAGCCATATGTTAAATCACGTGACTTGTGGATAAATGGCTTCTGGCACATCTAATGAAGAGATAACGTCTGCGAAATAATTGTGGAAGGAACACGGTCCTCTCTGCTAATTCATGTCACCAGGCAAAAATCTGGGCTCCACGGATGGAAAAAGTTGGGCCTTTACAAGAGGAGCCTTTCCCTGCTCCCAGTTTCAAAAGAAAGCCCTGCAGGAGCGCAGCGAGGCCACAGCCTGATTCATGCCTAATCATTGATCTGGCAGCGACAGCTCCCTGCCATGTGACGCGGTGTCCAGGAGGCTCATCTGCACCGCATGGGTCCCTGCAGCCCGTGCACAGGTGCCTCTCAGGAGGAACCGCCCCGCCCTGCCCTGCGCCCCCCACCCAGGAAGCCAGGGCTCCCGGGGGATGTGCCCACGGCTCCCACAGCTTGTACCTCTTCACGCCCCCATGACTCAGGGCTCCCTGGCCTGAAACTGTTCTTAAATCGCACAGCTGGGCGCAACTGCTCTCCCCGAATCCAAACCTCAGCCGCGGAGTCACTCCCAGCAGCCAGGGGCCCGTGGCCTTCGACAGGGCACCCCCACCTGTGAGGAACTGCCAGGGCAAGGCCACGGCGCATCTGACCCTCCCCTGCTTTAACGACAATTCTGCCAACAGTCGAATTCAACAGTGGCTCTGAACAAAGAAAAGTGCATTAATTATGGCAGATGTGTGGAGTTCCGGGACCCCGGCCCCGCGCCCCCCGCCCCGGCCCGCCCCGGCCCGGCGCCCGCCCCGAAAAGTCGCGACGACTTTGAGAACCACTTTTGCCCCCCCGAGTGGCGGCCGCGCTCGCGCGCCCCGAAACTCAGGCTCGGCAGAAACCGAAAGCGGGCGCCGGGGCCACGCCACCCCCAACCCGGAGGCGGGTCCCGGGTCTCCGGGCGGCGGAGGCGGGTGTCGCGTGGGGACCCCGGGGGTGTCCCGGCCCGCGCCCCCGCTCACTTTTTCGTGCAGTCCAGCAGGATCCCCGCGAAGCTCCGCTCGCCGCAGCTCACCGTGACCACCAGCGCGCCGTTGACGACCTGCTCCACCCGCACCGGCAGCCGGCAGCCGGCGCGCGGCTCCATGCTCCCGCCGCGTCCCAGGCCGCCCCCGCCCCGCCGCCGCCGCCGCCGCCGCCGCCGCCGCCGGGTCAGCCCCGCGCGTGACGCCGCCCCGCGGCCGCCTGACGTCACAAAGCTCCGCTGGGGCGGCCGCCACAGCCGAGCCGAGCCGGGCCGGGGGCGCGCGGCCGCGGGCTCCGCTCCCGGGGACCCCGCCCGCCGCCGCCGCGTCCCGGGAGAAGCCGCGCCCGCCCGCAGAGGTCGGCCGGACGCGCGGTGCGGACCCCCGGGCTGGAGAGGGGGCTGCGCCCGGGCTCGCGGCCCACGCTGGCCGGGAGTGTCCCCTGGCTCGGGAGGACCCGAGAGCCACGAGCCCGGGGGCGGCGGGGGGGACACCCGCCGCGGCCGGAGCCCCGGGACCCCATCCCCCCGCTCCCCTGCCTGGGGCCGGTCCCGGGCCCCCCTCCCCCTCCGGGCCCAGCCCTGCGCCCTCCCTCCCTCCCCGGTGGCCCGGATCCTCCCGCCTGGGGTCGGCCGCCCGCGTGTCCCGGCAGCGCCCCGCGCTGGGCTCTGGTGGCCCCGGGCACTGCGGCGAGGAAGTCCCGGGCGGCGCGCGCAGGAAGCCGGGGCAGGCGGAGGGGACGCGGGGCGCCCGGGGGCAGCGGCCTAGTGTCGCCCTCGCCGCGTGGGGGGCGGGACACTGGGTCGCCCCACTGGGCTCGGCGCCTCTCGGGGCGACAAGCGGGCGCGCGCCCGGCTCAGGGCCACCCTGCGCGCCTGGGGGTGGCCGGCACCGGGGCCCGGGGGGTTAACTCCCTCCGGAGGTCTCGGGCGTGTCTCTTCGGGTTGCCGGGCCCAGGGGCCAGGCGCGCCTCCGCCAGTTTACAAAGGAAACAGCCTCCTTCCCCCGCGGCAGGGGCTCCCCGACCCGCGGGCGAGGAGTGGGAGGTGACGGCGCCGGACCCCCTTCCCCCAGGCGCCCGGCTCCCGCGCCTTCAGGCGTCAAAGCCCCCGACTTCCCCGAGCACCAGCACGTCCGCACCCGGCTCAGAACGCAGGGGCCCGGCCTGCTGCGGTGACCTTGGCCCCGGGCCGGGCTTCTGAGCCGGACTTGCAGCGCCTGACGAGGCCTGGAGGCGGGGCGGGGGACCGCGTAGTTGTCCTGGCGACCCAGCGCCGCCGGGCAGGGCTCCTCCCAGCCTGGGAATTGAGGACCACCGCCCCTGGTGCCACTGGGGACCGTCGGGTCGCTGGCGCCTGTCGACCTCGCCCTCCGGCGGCCGCGCGGCAGTGGGAGCCTCAGAGAGGAGCCAGGGCGGAGTGAGGGAGCCCGCGGGGCCTGGGACACCTGACCGTCCGGCTAGAACAGGGGTAGGGACCGAGGCCGAATGAGCCAGAGTTCTGGCCGGGGACAGTCCCAGAGGAGGCCTGGAAGCCCAGTGAGTGTCTGTCCTCCTCTGTGTGGCCTGGGGCTCCCGCCAACACTAAGCCCTTCCTGGGGCCTCAGGCACCTCAAGGCGCCCCGTTCTCCAGGGTCAGCCAGCCCCTGCCCACTGGTTGCCAGGCTTGCAGTGGAGCCTGCCTGCTGTCCTGCCCACAGGCCTCTGCAGCTGCCCCCTCCAGGGGTGGGGCTGACTTTGGAGGAAAAATGCCAGGCAGCAGGGACCCCCTCGCCACCCTGCTCCAGGTTGGGCTGAGCGGCCATCCTGAGGCTGCCCACTTGCTTGGCTCTTCTTCCTGCCTGCTGGAGAGGCCTGCTGGGCACTGCCCTTTCTGAGCATTGGGGACTGCCAGGGTGAATCAGCATTCAGGCTGGTGGGGCCAGCATGGGGTGGGGCTAATGCACAGGGGGCTGTATGTGGGTGGAGGGATCCAGAAAGAGTGTCCAGGGGAGCACCAGCATTCACCAGGGCCCCACCAGGTGGGCAAAAGCAAGGGCTTCCGAGGTGGGGGTGGGGGTGGGCAGGATCCTCTGCAAGGTGTCTGCGTGCGCCTGGGGCTCCTGGTGACTTCCCACGCCAGCAGGAGGAACAGTTTGGGGTGTGCTGAGGGACCCACCTGTGGACTTGCTGGGCTTTGAGAGGAACCAAGGCTGGGTGGCGGCGGGCAGGACAGGGGAAGAGGGTTCCGGGGCACAGAGGGCCAGACAGATGCACCCAGCAGCTGGCAGCTCTGGCTGGAGAGGGGAAGAGGGCAGTGAGAAGCACGGCTGGCCCATGGTACCTCCTGCCCCTCTGCCCTGCCCGCCTTCCCTCTGCCCTGCCCACCTTCCCTCTGCCCTGCCCGCCTTCCCTCTGCCTCTTCCCCTCTGGCCCGTGCTATTTACTGTGTATTGTTAAGTGAACTTGGAAGCCGTTTTTAAAACCTGCTCTCCACTAGGTAAGGTATAAAAAAGACCATCTGCAGACAGGGAGACCATTTTTGCAACTTAAACGGTGGCTGTTCAGGGCCTCCCCCAGCAGCCCTGCCCCCGCACCTGCTCCCACTTGCTTCCCGCCCCGCTCCAACCTGCTTGTTGAAGAAGAGGCCATGGGAGTTTCCAGAGTCCCCGATTAAAGTGCAGGTGTCCTTGGGGACCTCATCAGCCCAGGTATCCCCTCCTGTCTGACCCTGTATTCGGGGGTTGGGAGGCTGTCCTAGGCTTGCTGCTCTGAGCATCTCCCCAGAGGCCACCCTGCTCATGCCAGTCAGTGAGGTCTGCCCAGTTCTGGGAAGCACCCTGGGTACTGGGGCTGGTGCTGCCCACAGTGAGAGGACCCTGAGCTGCCTGGCTGGGCTGGAGAGGAGCCTCGGGAGTACGCCCCTGGCTGGGGTGAAAAGGCCAAGAGTGGGAAGAGACACCTCCGAGGTCTTTAGACTTTGTCTTCAAGAGACTTGATCCAAACAAAAGGTCCTAAAGCCTTTGGTCCTCTGGCTGTAGGCACAGCCGCAGCAAGGCCTAGGACATGCCCAGCTCGGGACGGCCCAGCCAGTCAGATGGGGTAAGCCAAGGGGACAGGAGAGTGTCCGGAACTTCCACCGGGGCTGGGGGTGGGTGACCAGCAGTTGGCAGGATGGGTGGCCTGAAGGGGTACAGTTGAGGGAGGGACAGGTGGCTGGAGGAGGAAGCAGGGGCTGGCCTCTATGTCCCCTGAGACAGCAGGGGAGGAAGGCAGGAACCCCGCAGGCCACCTCCCCTCAGGGTCTGCCTCCCCTGCGGTCCTTGGAGGAACTCCAGGATTTGTCCTCCCTGGCAGCCTGGCTCACTTGCATCACCAGCTCCATGCCCGCCCCTCGTCTTTCAGGGTCGCTCCCCCAGGTCCGAGCTTAGAGGGCCCTCCTGACTGCTGGACCTGGACCTGCCCAGCACTGTCCTACCGCACTACATCATCACTGAGACTTGGGAAGGGCAGTGGTGAGCAGGTTCTCAGCCTTTGTTGGTCTCTTCCACGAGATGAGGCTTACAGCGGCCTCCCCATGACTGAGGTGCAGCCACAGCCTGGCCTGTGTCCAGCCTGCTCCAGAATCACCTGGTATCCCCCCAACCCCCAACACACCTGGGCTTGCTTGATCTTACTGGAGCTCACCAGGGCCTGGCTGTGTGCAAGTCTCATGCAGCATAGTGAGGTGCTCCTGAGATGCATCGAAGGTGTCTGGTCAAGATGGAGGCCTCGCAGGACACAGCCATGAGTCAGAGACCACAGATTTCTCCAGAGCTGGTGCCCAGAGGCCAAAGGCAGGGATGGGCCTTGAGGCTGGGACCCAGGTCGCCTCATGGCAAGCCTTTTGCCCACAGCAGCTGTGGAAGGCAGGAGACAGGATAAAGCCTTTAATACAGAGGGCCTGCTCTGATTTCAGTAAGCAACCATTCATCACTCAAGAAGCCTGGACAGACTAGGGAGCAGGAGCACGCCAGGCCTCCTCCAAGGTGTCTGGCAGGGAGGCCGGCCTGGGGAACACACTCCTTGTCCCTTGTCGTGTCGTCTGAGGCAGGGGCTCAAGGCAATCTTTGCAGATGCTGAGCCAGGAACCCTCGACCTTCTAGCAGGCCACAGATCCTTTGGGCAGTGTTTGTTTTGTTCTGCTCCAGTCTGGAAGCCCTTGGAGGGCAGTGTGGGTCTACAAGGCCAACTTTGTCTTGTCTGTTCTGGAGCTGTCTCCCTGCCCCTTGGGTTATCAGGATGATATAGGGTCACATCCCCTGAGGCAGTATCTCAAAGGACCGGCTGGGAACAGAACCTGCCAAGACTCCACTCGAGGTGGTGCAGAGAGCTGGGCAGGCACATAAACTCTGAGGCCAAACTGCTAGAGTCCTGCCATGTGACCTTGGGGAGACTGCCACCTCCCTTGTGCCTCAGTGTCCTCATCTGTAAAGTGGGAAATATGATGGTACCTACCGTGTAGCCTCGTACTGAATATTAAATGAGTTAATATTAAATGAGATACTTAGTACAGCACAAGCCCCAGTAAAGCTTCCATGAGTTAGCTGCCATCACCATCATCAACACTTTTGTCATTATCAGCATCACCATCACCACCACAGTCTCCACCATCACCGCTACAGCCATCATCACCATGAGCATTACCATCCCACCTCCCCCATCACTACCACCACCATCACCATCACCATTGTCACCACCGTCACCATCATCACCATCACCATCACCATCATCACCACCATCACCATCATCACCATCACCATCATCACCATTACCACCACCCCCATCACCACTACCATCACCATCACCATTATCACATCACCATCATCACCATCACCATTATCACCACCACCACCTCCACCATCACCATCACCACTACTGCCATCATCATCATGATCACCATCCCACCTCCCCCATCACTACTACCACCATCACCATCACCATCATGACCACCATGACTATCATCAGTATCACCCCACCACCATCACTATCACCATCACCATTGCAACCACCATCACACCACCATCACCATTATCACTGTCACTGCCACCACCATCTCCACTATCATCACCATCACACCACCACCACCATCCCCACCATTGTCACCATCACCACCATGACTATCACCACCACCATCACCACCATCACACCTACCATCACCACTACTATCAGCATCATCACCACCACCGCCATCACCATATCACCATCACCATTATCACCAGCAAAATGATCACCACCACCACCACTCTCATGATACTTGTATAGCTGGGCCCTCAGTGGGATCCTCGGGTACACCTGAGGCCTTGTGCTATGCTCAGGGCCAGGTAGGAGATGCAAACCCTGTGCCCACATGCTCTGTGTGCAATCTGCCCCTGCTGGTATCTGGCTGAGGCCCGTGATGCGGAAGAAGCCAGGCAGGTGAGTGGCTCCCAGGTAGCTGCTCTTGAAGCCTCCTCTGACCCCATAACCTGTGCTCTCCCACATCCTTGGCAGGGGAGCCGAGGCAGCCCCCAGGGCCAGGCTGGCTCTCAGCAGTGGCTGTGAATCCCTTCCAGACTCAGGTTCGAGAGGCCCTGTGGCTGCAGCATCTGGGCAAAGATATTTCTAGGGTGGGGCATCCCATCCCCAGACAACTGCTTTGGTTTCCAAACAGTGGATGTGTGACCCTTCTGTTTCTGAAGGAGCTGGCTGTTTCTCAGCAAGACCCGTGCTGTTCTCCATGACCAGAGAACCAATCCACAACACCCGAACCCAGCCCAGGGCCCCTGGGATCACAGGCAACATAGCAGCCTCGCTTAGCAGGTTGTAAGCTCTCTCCTCCGAAGGCCATTCCCAGGATCTAAAGTCCTCATTTCCTGGCTTGAAGTTAACCCTTGAGGTCCTAATGTTGGAGAGAGGAAAAGCCTCCCCCATGTTGATCCAAACGGCTTGGCCAGACATGGATCTCTCTCAGAAGAACCCACGACCAAGGACGCTGGCACGTTCCTGGTGAGGTTCTCCACGAAGAGGTGCAGTGTGAAGTGGCCTGTCACAGAATAAGAGTCCTAAAGCTTACGTTCCCATAAAAGCCCCTGGCCTGGGAAGCAAACACAGACCGGGAGGCCCCTGCCTGGCCTGGGCAGCTCACACAGACTGGGAAGCACTTAAAAGCTGGAGGCCCCTGGAGCTGCTGGTCCACAGGGAGGTGAAGCTGCACTCCTGCCCTAGGGTCTTCCAGGGTGCCTGCTGTGGAGGTTGCTGGAGACGAGCCCACCACTCTAGGGTCCGGGCACCTGGAACACAGCAGGCACTCGGGCGCTTCCAGTCCAGGAGAGGCACCTCCCAGACGGCAGTCTTCTCTGATTGCTTTCTGGAGTTTGAGTGCGGAGGAGGACGAGGTGAGGGAGGCAGCCGAGCTGTGTCCTGATGCATCTTCCAGAGGCACTCTGGGTGGACGCTGGGCCCCTTGGCCTTGCCAGGCTGGGGTCTCCCTTCACAGAGCCCATGCTTGTGGGCCCCACAGCCAGACTAGCACCTTTCTGTCAACACAGCCATGGACACCATGAGAAACTCCCACAGTTAAACACTGCCCAGAGCCCCAGGCCACCTCCTGGGGTGTCATTTTGTAAGGTACCTCACCAACCTCATGAGAAGTCTTTGCTGTAGGGACTTATTTATTTTAAATGAATCAGGGTCTTGCTCTGTCGTGCAGGCTGGAGTGCAGTGGCACAATCATGGCTCACTGCAGCCTCAAAAACTCCTGGGATTAAGCAATCCTCCCACCTCAGCCTCCTGAGTATCTGGTGGTGTTAGCCACCACATCTGGCAGATTTTTTACTTTTAGTAGAGACGGAATCTCGCCATGTTGCCTAGGCTGGTGTAGAACTCCTGGACTCGAGTGATCCTCCCACTTCAGCCTTCCAAAGTGCTAGGATTATAGGCTTGAGCCACCATGCCCTGCTTGTGGGTTTATTTTTTAATCTGACAGTTTTGCCAAACCTCATACTAGAAGGCGGGGCTTCTGTTTGCTAAAAACACCATGATATTTCATCATTAAACCAGTTGTTATCCACATCTGGGATACTTGGAGAAAACCCTCTCAGGGTATATTCACATTTCACGCCCAGCTTGCAAAGGCACCTTCATGCCTTCTGCTCCCCGACCCTGACCTCCCACTCACCTAACGAGCAGGAGCTAGCCTGTGTCCAGAGCGGGGCGGGCGGTGGGGAGGGGGTAGGTAGGAAAGGTCCTGTGCTGCTCCCTCCAGGCAGAGACTCCTAGGGGAGACAGTGTGGTGGCCTGGGGCCCAGGGGCCTCCCTGCAAACTCTTTCCCCTCAAACCCTCCTCCTGGTGGGTGTGGCTATGCATTTGTCCCGACCCCTCCACATGCAGAACCTGGCATGAGCCCTGGGGCGTGGGGACAGACACGGAGTCCAGGTGACCTCAGGGTTGTCCTGAGCTGAGGTGTAGACCCCAGGCAGACCCACAGACAGAGTGGGGCTCTCCGAGGTGTGGTTGGAGGGCCGAGAGCAGAGCCCTGTGCTGGATCTAGGGAGGCACTGGTGTGTCAGCAGGTGCAGCAGCGTGCAGCTGGGCTGGGCTGCGGGGCTCCTGTCCTTGCCCTCCTCCAGTGGCCAGGAGAGGCCAGGTGTTCGTGCTGTCCCCCACAGGATGCCTGAGGGAGGAGGTGCAGGAAGGAGCAGGATCCCCTGGGCTAGGGCTGGAGGGCGCTGGAGGCTGTCGCCTGCGTTCTCCCAGGTGCACAGAAATGAACACCTTCTGGCTGAGAAAGGCTGACTGGGGGGCCTCTGGGCAGCCTGGGGCCTGAGGGGAGCAGAGCTTGCTGGGAGGGCCTCATTCCTTCCCGGGTGGAGGGAGCAGCCAGGCAGCACCCTGACAGCTCCAGCCCTGGATGGAGAGCAGCCCCCACACTGGGCTCCAGCCCTGAGGGGTCTCCCCAGCCTCCTGACCCCACGGAGGAACTGGTGAGTGTAGTGGGTGCAGGGCCAGCTTCCAACAGTGACAAGGGGGACCTGAGCCCAGCTGCCCCCAAGGCCTGGCCAGCACTTGGGGAAGTCCGGCAGGGTGTCCTTGAGGTCACGTGAACTCCGCTTCTGGCCTCACGCCCCAAGGCCCACGCCGGGTTCTGCGCTGTGTGTCCTGAGACCCGGACCGAGCGCATGGGGCCTGAACGGCACCTTCCCTGGCCGGCTGCCCACGGACGTTTGTGGGCTTGGCCCTCCTGTTTTGGGCTCACTTGGGGTGCAGGACTCAGGGATCCACACAGGAGATGAGCCAGGCTTCCTTGAGGGAGCCAGGAGGGCCGGAGTTTTGGCCGATTGCTTTCTCAGCCTGAGACGTTGCCCTGTAATGCTAACCCTGTTGCCATGGCCTGGCGTGGGACCTCCAGGGCCGGGCAGCTGCTTCCCTCAATGAGAGCCCCCGAGCCCCTGCAGGCGGCTCCGTGGTGCGCCCCCTCACCCCCGCATGAGCCCCCCGCCCCCGCATGAGCCCCCCGCCCCCGTATGAGCCCCCCGCCCCCGCATGAGCCCCCCCGCCCCCCGCATGAGCCCCCGCCCCCGCATGAGCCCCCCGCCCCCCGCATGAGCCCCCCGCCCCCCGCATGAGCCCCCCGCCCCCGCATGAGCCCCCCCGCCCCCGCATGAGCCCCCCGCCCCCGCATGAACCCCCCGCCCCCGCATGAGCCCCCCGCCCCCGCATGAGCCCCCCGCCCCCGCATGAACCCCCCGCCCCCGCATGAGCCCCCCGCCCCCGCATGAGCCCCCCGCCCCCGCATGAGCCCCCCGCCCGCGCACGAATCCCCCCGCCCCCCGCATGAGCCCCCGCCCCCGCATGAGCCCCCGCCCCCCGCATGAGCCCCCGCCCCCGCATGATCCCCCCGCCCCCCGCATGAGCCCCCGCCCCCGCATGAGCCCCCCGCCCCCGCATGAGCCCCCGCCCCCGCATGAGCCCCCCGCCCCCGCATGAGCCCCCCGCCCCCGCATGAGCCCCCCGCCCGCGCACGAATCCCCCCGCCCCCCGCATGAGCCCCCGCCCCCGCATGAGCCCCCGCCCCCCGCATGAGCCCCCCGCCCCCGCATGAGCCCCCCGCCCGCGCACGAATCCCCCCGCCCCCGCATGAGCCCCCCGCCCGCGCACGAATCCCCCCGCCCCCGCATGAGCCCGCGCCACGCCTGGCCTTGGAGCGCCACCTGCAGGTGAAGTCGGTTCACGGGAGGCGGGGCCTGCGTCCTGGGGCCCCAGGGCTGGTGACGCCCATCAGCACTCCTGGGACACCGCCTGTGACCCCCTGAGAGCATCCGCCAACCACATTCACGTTTCTCACGCACTGGCTCCCTGCTGCGGCTGCTGCTCTCTCCAAGCCGTGGGCCTGCGACCACCCCAGACCATCTGCCTTCTGCAGCACAGTTCCTGCCCCTGGGGGTTCTCAGGCCTGGCTCTGGGCTGTCGCCTCCCTTTTCCCTTCCCAAGGCAGCTCGGCAGAAAAATGAGAAGTCCCAGAAGCTCAGGACGCCCTGAGCTGGAAGTCAACATAGACGGTACTCACTCAGTAGCTAAGGGAGGCAAAGAGAACAGCAGAGCAGGAACCAGGGGAGGGGGACTCCACCCAGACATCCCAAATCCACCAGGGGAGGGGGATCCCACCCAGAGACCCCAAATACACCAGATAGAGGAGTACCTCCCACCCAGACACTCCAAATCCACCAAGGAGAGGGGTACGTTCCACCCAGACACCCCAAATCCACCAGAGAGAGGGGCACCTCCAACCCAGACACCCCAAATCCACCAGAGAGAGGGGTACCTGTCACCCAGACGCCCCAAATCCACCAGAGAGAGGGGTATGTCCCACCCAGACACCCCAAATCCACCAGGGAGAGGGACACCTCCAACCCAGACACCCCAGATCCACCAGATAGAGGGGCACCTCCCACCCAGACACCCCAAGTTCACCAGGAAGAGGGGCACCTCCAACCCAGACACCCCAGATCCACCAGATAGAGGGGTACCTCCCACCCAGACACCCCAAATCCACCAGGGAGAGGGGCACTTCCCACCCAGACACCCCAAAGCCACCAGGGAGGGGGGCTTCCGCCCAGACACCACAAATCCACCAGGGAGAGGGTTGCCTCCTGCCCAGACACCTCAAATCCACCAGGGAGAGGGGCACCTCCCACCCAGACACCCCAAATCCACCAGATAGAGGGGTACCTCCCACCCAGACACCCCAAATCCACCAGGGAGAGGGGCACCTCCCACCCAGACACCCCAAATCCACCAGAGAGGGGAGGCTTCCTGCCCAGATACCCCAAGTCCACCAGGGAGGGGGGGCCTCCTGCCCAGATACCTCAAATCCACCAGGGAGTGGGGGCTTCCTGCCCAGACACCCCCAATCCACCAGGGAGGGGGGCTTCCTGCCCAGACACCACAAATCCACCAGGGAGAGGGTTGCCTCCTGCCCAGACACCTCAAATCCACCAGGGAGTGAGGGCTTCCTGCCCAGACATCCCAAATCCACCAGGGAGAGGGGCGCCTCCTGCCCAGACACCTGAAATCTATAAGAGGTTACAGGATCCAGAGAGGCCGCAGGGACTTGCTGGCTGCAGGGCCCCATCAGGAGCAGGGCCACGTTCAGAAGATGGGCTGAGTCACAGGGTGGAGGGTGGGTGCCAGGGCCTCCAGCACCGTTTCCCCACCAGCCTGTAAGCACCTTCCAAGCAGGGGTCTGGGTGGTGGCTTCTGTGCCAGCTCCTCTACCCTGCCCAGCAGCAATTACCCGCCACTGCCATCCGGGAGGCAGGCTCTCCCGCTCCCCTTGAAATGGGGCCTCTCACAGAGTGAGGTCGGGGTTTAGAGGGTGAGAGAGGGCAGATGACCACGGGAAGGGTGATGTGGAAAATGAGGGCATGAAGGTGGCCTCCGGAAGACAGGCAGGAGGACATGGATTCCCATGGCGGGCCCTCCCGGAGAACAAGTGGCCAGCTCATCCCTGCCTCCACCCCGCCTTCCAGCTGCTGCCTCTGCCAGGAGCCCGGTCCTCCCTACGGAATATGCAGCCTCTCCCCAGGGCCCATCCAGCAGCACCTTGTCATGAAAGCTCCTTGACCCACAGGACTTTGATTAGACGGCAATGTTCAGGCTGGGCTGTGCCCAGGGCCTGAGGCCAACACAGGGCGCACTTCTGTGTCACAGCAGAAGCAGTGATTGGTGGCTTCAAGTGAAAGGTGGGCAGCATCTTGGCAGGTTCATACAAACAAAAGGTCTCAGGGGACCCCAATTGGAATCCCCCAGACAAGAGTCGGACAAGGGGGCACCACGTGGTGGGTGCACCTCACTCTTCCTGTCTCCCATGAAGACCCAGCTCCAGGCACCCACACCCCATCCTGGAGATGCCAGGACATGGAGTGGTGCTTGTGCACGTGTTGCCCAGAGGGGCGATGTCCGCAGCACTGGCCAGAGAGCAGGGAGGGCCCTGACGCACCACCCATGGCTGGTAGCCAGGCCTGACCCAAGCCGGGCCTGACCCAAGGAGCCACCAAAGAATCGCCTCCCATCTAAAGGCACCAGTTCCCGAGGGAAGGGTACTTTAGTCAAACAGACCCGTGCCAGAGAGATGGCACCAGCAGCACCAGCCAGGGCCCAAGGGGACCCCAGCACGGCACACCCCACACGAGACTTCTAGAGCCAAGAAATAAAGGGTTTTCCAAGGACACATCAGCAAATGAACCGACAGAGAGGATGCGAATGTTGGCATCCAAAGGAAAAGTGTGAAAGAGGAAGTAGAAAAAAGTCCACAAATACTGAGCAAAAGGAAGGAAATGGAAAGAGTGTGGCTCGGGGACACAGCCAGAGCTGAACAATCCATCAAAGGGGCCCCTGAATGACAGAGGGAGCAGGTGGAGGAGAGGCCGCTATTTTTGAAAGAACAGAAGCAAACAGCTTTCCTGAAATGGAGGAAGAGCTGCACCCACAGCCCAGGGGCTCCTGACGTCCCGGTGTAGCTGAAGAGAAAGACCTGAACTCAAAGGCTGGTGAGTATACCATGGCCTCCAGACAGACAGGAGATGCCTCTACAGAATCCTGCTGACCCAGGCTGCGCCTCCACAAGTCTGGGAGCCAGAAGACAGAACAATAACATCGACTCAGAGAGACAAGGATGAGACTCAGCACTTCCGGATCCAGCCCAGGACAACTCACAGCATCCACGCACAGGGCAGGAGGCAGGCTGTGGTCGCTGCCTGTCATTCTACAGAGACCTGGGCTGCCCTGGGACTCACCTTCCCCAGGAGAATACGGAGGAACTGGGGCATGCCAGGATAGGCCCAAGCCTTTGGAAGGCCTGGACACTCCCACTCTGCACTTTTAGAGCCCTGAGCCTCCATGGAGGAAGGCCAGGCACCCTGCTAGAGACCCCAGGGAGGGACCATGGGAGCCAGCGACGTCCTGAGAAAGGTAGTTCCAGTGATCCCAGCATCCCATCTGAGACCAACCTTCCAGGCCACCTGGCCAGAGCGCCAGGTGTGTGAGGGTGCCGTCCTGCACGTCTCAGCTCAGCCCGGCCATCAGATCGCTGGTGCCCCCACGGACAGCCTGAGGACGGGAGAGCCGCCCTGCTGAGCTCGGTCAACCCAAAGCATTCTGAGATCAGGGGGAGGCTGCTGTTTTCAACCACTAAGTGGTCTGTCACAGCAACAGATAACTGAGACGGTGGAGAGAAACAGGACATCAGGACTTCTAAAGGCCTCAGCCGAGGCAGGGGAGAAGAAAAGGAAGGGAAGAGAAAGCCCAATTTTCAAAAATTAAGAGAGAAATATCTGTCTGATATGAGAGAAAGTGGGGGAATGGAAGAGCATAGAGGGACTGCAGGTTCCCAAGAACAATGGAATGAAGAGACTTGATCAAAACAAAGATGGAGGGAATGCAAGCAAGTGTGTGGTTACCACATTACATGTGAATAACCTGGAATTTTCTATCAGCTGTATTTTTTAACACAACCTAACAGGCTTGGAGTTTTTCCTGTACACTGTTTTAAGAAGCATAATTAAAGCAGAGTGATTCTTTTAAAAAGATGGCAGTGAATGAAGTGCGACTTCTGGGCCAGGTGAGCGATGACCTCCTGCTCTTGTAGCCACCAGGGAAGGCCAGACGCAGCAGTCAGAGGAGACGCAGGAGTCACGGGGTGCGTGTGAGGCTGCGAGCCAGGGGCAGCCCTGGAGGGCCTCGAGGGGGACTGGAGCTGCTGCATCCCGGCCTGCCCAGGCTGAGGCCCAGGGCGTCACAGACAGGAAGCAGGGCTGCTGGAGGCCCTGGGGCAGGGTCTAGGGCATCAGAGGCACGGCTGGTCCCCCAGACTATTTTCAGGGTCTGGTACCAGCACAGGAAGCTGAGAGGCTGTTCTGGAGACAGGGTGAAATCTCGGGTTCACAGCAAGCCCAGGACAGGTCTCACCCACCAGCCTGCCAAAGGCAGAGGCTGACCAGGAGTAACTGAAGCTGCGACCCAGTCTCCACCCAGCGCAAGCCCTGCCGGGATGAAGGTGATAAAACCTGTCCCCATTTATGTGCTTCACAGAGGAAAGGGCCAGTCCTCTCACGGAAACCGGCATTGTCCTTAGTCTCTGTGGTTTGTTTACAGAGTTGACCCTTGAACAACGTGGGGTTTACGGCGCGCTGATGCCCCACGCAGCTGAAAATCCACATATTGCTTCTGACGTCCCCAAAATGGAACTACTAATAGGCTACCATTGACGGGAAGCCTTCCTGGTAACATTAACGTTCAATTAGCGCATATTTTGTATGTTATATTACATATTGTAGTCTTACAGTAAGACAGAAAATCATCAGGAAGAGAAAATCTATTTACTACTCATTAAGTGGAAGTGGATCCTCATAAAGCCTTTGTCCTCCCCCTCTTCAGGTTGTGGACGGAGGAGGAGGAGCTGGTCCTGCAGTCTCAGGGGTGGCAGAGGCAGAAGTGGGGGAGGAGGCAGGGGAGGCAGGGGAGGCAGGCACACTCGGTGTAACGTGACGGACATACATGTAATTTCTGCCTGACGTTGCTCTTTCATTTCTCTAAACTTTCTGTGCGGTCCCAATCCTCCTTCCAGCGCTGGCTTTAGTTTCCATGCCTGCATCATAGAAGGGCCCATGTCCTGACAGAGGGCAAAGGCAGCTTGAATGACAGGAATGCTCCTGCCAGGGTCCCGGGTCACCTTCTTTCCCAGCACTGCTTCCTCTACGTCTTTCTCCTCCTCGTGGCCTGGTTTGGAAACACTCATCTCCCTCAGTCTCTCCTGTTCATTGCTGTGGTGCAGCGTCTATTAGCTCTTGAATTTCTCCAAGGCCTGTATCTGGAAACTCTTCACCCTCATCTTTTTTGCTATCTCCACAATTTCTTTAATTGATATATAATAAATGTACATATTTTGGGGGCACATGTGATAATGTGATACACTCGTATAACGTGTGAAGATCAAGTAAGGGTAACTGGGATGCCCATCAACCTATTTCTTCTCTTTCTGCTAGGAACATTGAATGACTCTCTTCTAGCTATGTCGAAATGTGCAACTGACTAACGTTAGGTAGTCACCCTATTGATCTATTGAACGCCAGGTCTTATTTCCTCCATCTCACTGTGCATTTCCACTCATTAGTCACCCCCTGCACTCCCCACTTCCTGGCCTCTGGTCACCACCAGTCTGCTCTTATCTTCGTGAGATCCACTTTTTTAGCCCCCAAGAGTGAGAACAAGCGATGCTTGTTTTTCTGTGCCTGGCTTACTGCAAGTAACATAATGGCCTCCATTCCATCCAGGTGGTGGCAAGAGATGGGATTCCATTCCTTTTCCATCATTTCCGTAATTGGCTGCCATCAATGCTGGGAAGTCGTACACAACATCTGGACGCGGTTTTCCCCAGCAAGAATGTGCCATTTCAGGCTTCGTGGCTTTCCCAGCCTTGCTGCCAACCATGACGGCACGTCTAGTGTGTAATCCCTCAGCCTTTCATGGTGTTCTCCCCTGAGGTTCTCTTCGCCAGCACTGACACTTCTGTCCATACAGTGCCACATGCAATGAGGCTTCCAGGTCCCTACGGCCTCTGGGCCAGAGGCTGCATTGGAGACATATTTGGGGGCAAGTGGGCTCCTTTGACACCTTCAGTGTTGAACTCATGGGGTTCTGGGTGGCCAAGAGGCATTGTCCAATACCAGAACTTTAAAAGGCAGTCACTTACAGGAAGCAAGGTACTTCCTGATTACAGGGACAAAGCATCGATGAAATCAACCCAGAAAAGAGGTTCTTGTCCAGCCTTCTTGTACAACCAAGGAGAAGATGGTGTTTTTCTTTTCCTTTTAAGCTCAGCGGTTAGCAGCTTTCTAGATAAGGGCAGTCCTGATCATAATCTGACTGTGTTTGCACAGAACAGCAGAGCTGGCCTCTCCCCTCCTGCCCTAAATTCTGGTACTTGCTTGTCTTCCTAATTCATGCCTGTGGCATTTTTTTTTTTTTTTTCAGAATAGGGGACTTATGTCTGCATTAAAAACATGTTCAGGCAGATATCCTTTCTCCTCTTTCTCCTCAGTGACTTTCTTCATGGTTTCCGTATCCAGGAACTTGTCTGCTGCCCCTTGGCCGACAGAAGCTGCTTCTCCTGTTATCTTGACATTTTTCCAGCCAAGCCTCTTTCTAAAATTATCAAACCATCCTTTGCTGGGATTAGATTCTCCAGCTTCAGTTCCTTCCCCTTCCTTTTGTTTGAAGAGACTACAGGTACACCTTTCTCAGTGTATTAGTAAGTATTCTCTAGAAGGACAGAATAGGATATATATACATATGAAATGGAGTTTATTAAGGAGAACTGAGGCACAGGATCACAGGGTGAAGTCCCACAATAGGCTGTCTGCAAACTGAGGGGCAAGGAAGCCAGTAGTAGCTCAGTCTGAGTCCCCAAACCTCTAAAGGAGGGAAGCCGACAGTGCAGCCTTCAGTCTGTGGCCGAAGGCCCGAGAGCCCCTGGCAAAACACCAGTGTAGGTCCAAGAGTCCAAAAGCTAAAGAACTTGGAGTCTGATGTTCAAGGGCAGGAAGCATCCAGCATGGGAGAGAGATGAAGGCCAGAAGACTCAGCCAGTCAGCTTCAGCCACCTTCTTCTGCCTGCTTTTTCCAGCCATGCTGGCAGCCGACTGGATGGTGCCTGCCCACACTGTGGTGGGTCTTCTCCCAGTCCACTGACTCAAATGTTAATCTCTTCTGGCAACACCCAGAAACAATACTTTACATTCTTCAATCTAATCAAGTTGACATTTAATATGAACCATCACACACAGCAATCCTATACCCACATAAAAGCTGCATTCCCAATACAAGATAAAAAGGTATTTCACAGAAAGTGTTAAGGCTTTTGTGCCTGCTCACAAATTTCCTTATTTTTTTACTATGGTCCTTACGCTGGATTCATTTATCTTGAATTGGTAGGCAACCGCAGCTGTAAACCTCAATCTACGGAACATATCAAGAAATTCAACTTTTTCTTGAAATGTCATGACTTTTCTCTGCTTCTCAGGAGCTCTTTGGCATGACTGGTGGCACTCTATGGGTCCCAAAGTGTTCTTCAAGGTTTACAGTATTGCGCTCAACATGAAAAATACACAAGAACATCCCGATGTCCCCTTTTTTTCAAGTTGGGGTCTCACTCTGTTGCCCAGGCTTGAGTGCAGTGGTGCAATCACAGCTCACTGCAGCCTCGACCTCCTGGGCTCAAGGGATCCTCCTGCCTCAGCCTCCTGAGTAGCTGGGACTGCAGGCGTGTGCCACCATGTCCAGTTAAAACAGATCACTTTTTACCGTGATACACAATGTACTGAAGACATGAACCGCTCGTGCAGAGATTAGCACCACACGATGTTTTAAGCGGATCCTTGACATGCTTGCGCTCACTGCAATAGCAACAGGAGGTGGCTTTGTAATTATTCCAGCAGCACACTGTGGACTGCAGTTAATTTCATGCAGTTATAATTTAATGCTGCATTTTTTTTTTTTTGAGACAGAGTTTTGCTCTTGTTGCCCAGGCTGGAGTGCAATGGCGTGATCTCGGCTCACTGCAACCTCTGCCTTCCGGGTTCAAGTGATTCTCCTGCCTCAGCCTCCCAAGTAGCTGGAGTTACAGGCATGTGCCACCATGCCTGGCTAATTTTTTATTTTTAGTAGTCACGGGGTTTCTCCATGTTGGCCAGGCTGGTCTTGAACTCCTGACCTTAGGTGATCTGCCCACCTCGGCCTCCCAAAGTGCTGGGATTACAGGCGTGAGCCACTGCACTCGGCCAATGCTGCATCTTTACGGCGACATTTCTCTCTACTGTGAATGGTCCATGTATGGTCTGTATATTTTATGCATTCATGACATAACTTTTTCTTTTTTCAGATATTTCTAGGCTATGTGGCTCATCTGCAAAGTTTTTCAAATTGTTGCAAATTTCCAAAAATTTTTGCAATATATATTTTTTTAAAAATCCACTTATAAGTGGACCCTTATAATTCAAACTCTTGTTCAAGGGTCAACTTATACAATGCTGGACACTCACTAAAAACTTATTAGAAAAATGTAATATATTATAGAAAAAAGAAGAAAAGAGATATAAAGGAAATGAAAAGATGGAGAATTTCAACAGAGAATCGGCATCCACAAAAAATTACCAGACACCTTAGACCTGAAAAACACAACATCTGAAATTTAAAACTGAAAGAAAACACTTATTAAAAAAAAATCATTATAATGATGATGTAAAAGGATCTAGTGGAAAAGGTGGATGGCATGCACGAGCAGATGTGGAATTCCGGCAGAGATGAGAACGAGAACACGGAGGTGAGAGGAAACTCTGGAGAGGAGCAGGATGGGATCTGAGACCACGCACTCCCCGAGAGCTCGGAGGTGAGAGGAAATGCTGGAGAGGAGCAGGATGGGATCTGACACCACGCACTCCCCGAGAACACGGAGGTGAGAGGAAATGCTGGAGATGAGCAGGATGGCATCCAAGACCACGCACTCCCTGAGAACACGGAGGTGAGAGGAAACTCTGGAGAGGAGCAGGATGGGATCTGAGACCACGCACTCCCCGAGAACACGGAGGTGAGAGGAAACTCTGGAGAGGAGCAGGATGGGATCTGACACCACGCACTCCCCGAGAACACGGAGGTGAGAGGAAATGCTGGAGAGGAGCAGGATGGGATCTGACACCACGCACTCCCCGAGAACACAGAGGTGAGAGGAAATGCTGGAGATGAGCAGGATGGGATCTGACACCACGCACTCCCCGAGAACACGGAGGTGAGAGGAAATGCTGGAGATGAGCAGGATGGCATCCAAGACCACGCACTCCCTGAGAACACGGAGGTGACCGGAAACTCTGGAGAGGAGCAGGATGGGATCTGACACCACGCACTCCCCAAGAACACGGAGGTGAGTGGAAATGCTGGAGAAGAGAAGGATGGCATCTGAGACCATGCACTCCCTGAGGCTCACCAGGAAGCCTGACTCGGCCGAGGAAAGACACGCTGCTCAGGGCCTGGGATGTTTCTTCTGAGTGCAATGGTACAATCGTCTATGTTTGTGTTTTTTTCTCTATCATAAAGCTGCTGTTTTTAATGTTAAAAAACCTCATGGGTTTTTCTGTGGGACACAACAGAAGACAGGATTCGTAAATCTAAAACCACGTAGACAGGAGGCATCTAGCCTGATGTACAGAGAGGAATGAAAAATAGAACACATGACAGAAGAGACGTGCAGGTTACAGCCACACACACTCACATATGCACATACACACGGGCGCACACATGCACACACTCGTACGCACGAATGCATACACACATGTGCACACACACACAAAACTGAAGTCTCAGGGAGAAGAGGGAGAACAGGGGAAAAAATAGTAAAAAAAAAAAAAATGGCTAAGAATTTTCCAAAACTGATGAAAGATGCTAACTCCCAGATTTGAGTTCTGTATATTCCAAGAAAAATACGTAAAAAGAAAATTACATCCAGGCACAGCACAGACTGCTGAAAACCAAAGATAAGGAGAAACAATTTTAAGACAAAGAAAAAAGACCCATTACCTTCAAAGGAGCAACAAATAACAATGAACATTGAATCTTTTTTTTTTTTTTTTGAGACGGAGTCTCGCTCTGTCGCCCAGGCTGGAGTGCAGTGGCGCGATCTCGGCTCACTGCAAGCTCCGTCTCCTGGGTTCACGCCATTCTCCCGCCTCAGCCTCCTGAGTAGCTGCGACTACAGCCACCACGCCCGGCTAATTTTTTGTATTTTTTAGTAGAGACGGGGTTTCACCGTGTTAGCCAGGATGGTCTCGATCTCCTGACCTCGTGATCCACTCGCCTCGGCCTCCCAAAGTGCTGGGATTACAGGCGTGAGCCACAGCACCCGGCCTGAACACTGAATTTTTAACAAAACACATGGGAGCCAGAAGACAGTGGAGCCCATCTTTAAAGTTCTGGGAATGGCAAAAATCATCCACCTAGAATTCTGTCCTGTGCAGAATAAAGGCGAACTAAATTTATTTTCAGACAAACAAAAGCTGAGAGAACTTACGGCCAGTCAAAGCATAACCATGATACAAAGAAATACTTAAAAAAAAGTTATTTAGCTAAATGAAAATCAGCCCTCATTGGAGCATGAAGCTGCAGGAAGGAAGAGCATCGGGATGGGTAAAGTGAAGCAAACACTGATGTCTAGGAACAGCGAGTCAAGACACCGTTGGGGCACACGGTACCTGTGTCTTGCGTGCTTACCTGTGGAAGGGAGGCGGACGAGAGCAACAGCATCAATGGCAGGGAACTGGCAGATGGGAGGGACCTTCTCAGGGTCATTGGCTCATTCAGGAAATGCTAATGAACTCAAGGGCATGTATGAAATCTCTAAGGCAACACCCAAGAGAATAATATTAAAAGATATTACTAAAACTCTAATACAAGAGATATAAATAAAAAAATTGATCACTATCAGAAAGCAGCAAAAGAAGAATAAAGGGAATAAAAACATGAGATGGGCACGGAATCCGCCGTACGCACACGCACCTTAAATGTGAGGGCCAAACACTGTAACTGAAACACAGAACTGGCAGCTAGAGAAAGAAAAGGAGTCCCGAGTATATGATGTCTCTATAAGGTGCGCTTTAAATCCAGTACAGTAGAAGGAGGGAAGAAGATGCATTATGAAAACGCTGACCAAAACAGCAGCAGTGTGCCTGGATTAGTATCAGACAAAATCCACAGAAGGCAAGAAGTGAAAAGGAGAGGCGAAGAGAAATAGTTCATAATAATGACAAGGTCAGTTCGACAGGAAGATAAAACAATCCTAAATTTGTAGGCATCTGACAAAATAGCCCCAAAACACGTATAGCAAAAACTCACATAACTAAGAAGAAAACACATGTTCATGATCATAGCTAGAACTGTTCACAGGCCTCTCTCAGTAACTGAGAAACCAGGCTTAAGTCAGTCAGTAAGGGTACAGGAGCTCTGAGCAACAGGATTAGTCAATGTCACCTGACACACACAAAACAATGTACCCAACAACTCAAAATACATTCTTCTCAAGTGCACAGTCTACATTTACCAAAACATATCCTGCGGCAGGCCGCGGGGCGAGGCTTCACAGTTTCAAAGGACTGGGATCACAACGGACAC
The DNA here is from genome assembly GCF_000001405.40 of Homo sapiens. Taxonomy (NCBI): domain Eukaryota; kingdom Metazoa; phylum Chordata; class Mammalia; order Primates; family Hominidae; genus Homo; species Homo sapiens. The sequence goes on along the minus strand of NC_000010.11, from coordinate 132,376,640 downwards.
GCTCTCTGATCAACAACCAGGTGAGCACCTTGGAAGCTGAGCCCCAAGCCCAGTTAAACCTTCAGAGGAGAGCAGCTCAACCCACGGCTGACTCCAGCCTCACGGGAGACCCTGACCAGCAACGCCGGCTGAGCTGCTCCAACGCCTGCCCTCAGGCGTGAGAAATGGCAAACGTCTGCTGCTCCAGCCGCTGGGCCGCAACAGGTCACTGACACCTTTTCTAGCTTCCTGAATGGAAAGCTTAGGTGATAAATTTCACGCCCTTCTTCTCTAATACATGGGTTTGGAAGTGATGCATTTCTCTCTAAGCACCAGTTAAACTCTCGGAAAGTACGAAGTGCAGGGCGCAGAGACCCATGAGACAGAAGACAAACAGCAAATCCAGTGAAGCCAAAACCTGGGGCTTTTGGAAAAGAGGAACAAAATTGATAAATCCATAGCAAGAATGATGAAGAACACCAGGTCAAGAATAAAAGAGGGGACATTATTACGGATCCTAAAGATACTGAAAATAAGAGGAACTTTATGCTGATACATTGCACAACTTGGATGAAATGAGGAAACTCACTGAAACCATATTTACCAAAATTAACACAAAAATAAACAAAGTCTGAATAGTCTCACCTCTGTTAAAGAAATCAAACCAAAGATGTTTTCAAGATCCAAGCAAACACTCAGCACAAGAGACTAAGTCACACAGAATCTACACAGCCTGGGCAGACAGAGCATGAAATACGGCTGATCTAGCATGGGGAGGTCTGCAGACCCTGCCGTGTCCCTGGGGTGGAGTCCACTGAGTGGCAGCCTGAGTGGTAGCAACCAGGAAGGGGTCAAGGCTGAAAGGAGGGCCCCGTAGCTGGGCAGGGAGCAGGGGAAAGGAGGGCCCCCAGGGGAAAGGAGGGCTTGTCACTGGGCAGGGAGCAGGGTAACCACTCCCCCGAAGCCCTTTTTGGCTGTCACCCCTCCCTCCTAGCCAAAGGTGGTGCTGCAGGGACTTCCGGCTTGGCGGGAATCGGGTGACCTGGTCTCCTCTCCCACACTCAAATAACTAAGTGAAGGAAAGCTGTGAGTACTTTTGTAACAAGGGCTCCAGGACAGGAGAGAGGCAAGTGCCTGAGTGTGAGCACTCTGTCACATGGCTTGGCGGGAACCTGCAGGAAGAAGGGAAGGCGAGACCACGTGCTCACAGTGTCCTTTCTTTTAATACGGCTGAAATCTTCCACAGCCTCAGGAGAGGGACGTGGACCTGTCTAAGGAAAACAACAGGCTGCGCGAAATCAGCCCTCAGGGTAACACTGAACCTGGCGCTCTTCCGGCACCACACAGGAGGCGACGCCCGGGAAAGAAGACTGAGCGGCTCCTGTCTGAAGACGTCTCCATCAGTCCAGCCACCTGGTGTCACTGGTATCTGCGAACATTTCCTGATTCTCCATATTTTGTGTTAAAAAATGTATTTTGAGGCTGTGCTGCCGGCAGGCCAAGCGAAAGGTTTCCAGTGAGGGCCGCCCGTCGACGATCTTTGTTCAAGGTTAATCCCAATTTTAGCTTCAATACTTCATCCTGTAGCTCTGTGGCCTTATGGGAGACAAGGAGGGGGAGATGTTAGAAAGGCTGGCAGGACTTAGGGCGTCACCACGTCTCTGGCTCAGATTCCACGTGGGGCCCAGGCCATGTGGGCGTCAGCAGAGCCAGCCCCGCTGCCCCGGGGCCCCTGCAAGCCGCATCACGGCGCGGTCCCCCCTGCAATGGGGCCCAGCAGCCTACTTCCAGCCGGCTCCCAGGCCTTCTACCTCATGAGGACACCACCCTCTGCAGGCACACACATGGCCACTCATCCTGGTGTCCCCACGGCCCCACCCAGGTGTCCTGTGCATCTGCACAGGTCAATGGATGAACAGAGACTCAGGGCATCGTCCTGTGGGCAAAGGGAAGGCTGATGCCACACCCCGGGCAGTGTCTTGGCAAGCATCACCACAGCCAAGACCACACCTTAGAGCCGTAACTGTCCTGGGAAGCAGATGGGGCCACAATTGCCACCCCCACCCCACAGACACAGAAGCTGTGGATCAGGGGTTCCTACAGGAGAAGGAACTTGCTGAGCGTGAAACCAGGGGCAGGCTTTCTGTTCCAAACCTCATGGTCCACGGCCAATCCCCTGGGCAGAACAAAGTGAGGCTGAGGAGGGCACTGCGGGGGGCCCTCAGGTGGATAAACTGAGGAGGGGATCTTCCCGTTCCTGCCCCTCAGGCCCTCTGCAGAGTCCCAACCTCCCCCACTCCAAGCACAGGAGCCCTGGGCCACCCGGCTCCCGTCTCCCTCCCCGGCTTGCCTTGCTGGGGGCACAGGTTGGACACTACCTCCAGTGCAGGTCCCAGGAGACCCCTGCAGCCTCCCCGCCCCATACAGACATAATCACAGCAGGTCCCTGGAGCCACTGCACCCCCTCACCATGCAGCCATATCACAGCAGGTCCCTGGAGCCACTGCACCCCCTCACCATGCAGCCATAATCACAGCAGGTCCCTGGAGCCACTGCACCCCCTCACCATGCAGCCATATCACAACAGGTCCCCGGAGACCCCTGCAGCCTCCCCCGCCCCCATATCGTAACTGTGGGCTAGAGCAGCACTCACGGCTCAGCTCTGCGACTTGGTCAATGTTACTTGTTACTGACCCAGTAAGTAGTCATTGATAACGAATTTTGCTTCCCATAGAAACCTGTATTCCCTGTGGGATTCATAACTGCCTCCTTTTAAAATGTTTGTTTTCTACATCTGTCATTACATCCTCTCAAACTGTAAACCTCTCTCGACATCCTCCTCCACTGGCCAAGTCCTCAGACTGACCTGGTCTCCCTGTGGAGACCCCGCCAGGCTCCTCTCACAGTAGGGGGCGGCCGGGGGCTTCTGGGTCAGCTCCCTTTCTTCTGGAACTCTTACCTTCCTCTCTCAGCATCTACTCCCTTGTTTTGATAGAACAAATTCTACAGTAGCTTCTGGAGAAAGACTCTCTAGATGGGAAGCAGCATTTTGAGTCTTTGCGTATCTGAAAACGTCTTATTGTGTGCTGACCCCTGACCTTGCAATGGGAGTACCGAATCCCGGCGCCTGCTGAGGGCAGTGCCATCACCGCGACCAGCTCCCTCCCAGTGCCTGGTTCTGTGTGATCCTCTCCCCCCGCCCTCCCTGGAATCTCCGTGGGTCCGTCCTGCTCTGGTTCGGGATGCTGAGCCATGGTGCCGGCATGTGTGGGCCCTTCTAGCAGGAAGCACGTTGGTTCCTTTGTGACGAGCCCTCCTGCACCTTCTCCCTCCGTCTGCTCTCGTCTCTCCTGCTGGAACCTGCCGGAACCTGCCGGATGCTTCGCTCTGCTCAGGTCGTCCTCTAACTTCCTTTCCTCTTGTCCCATCTGTTTCCCACCTCCCCTTCCTGGGGGATTTATTCATCTACTAATTTAATTTTTTAAATTTTTTGCCACATATTAAACTTTGCCTTGGGAGTTCTTCTGGGTTACCTGAGTGTTCACTTTCTACAACAGCTTGCTGGGTTTCATGGCAGCAGACTTGTCTATTCCTACGGGGGGATTTTAATTCTGGCTTGTCATTTTTAAGTGTCCCCTAATGTTCGCATCCATTCGAAGCTCGCTCCCCAGCCGGCTGGCTTTGGCCTCTCCCTCACCTTGGGGCTTCCCTCAACAGCTGAGGAACCTCTCGTGACTGAGGCCCTGGAACGAGGCTGAGATCGGGGTGTCGGTGGTGGGCTGCTGGCTGCTCAGTGCAGGCTGGGGCTGTCTAGGGTACGCCCAGGTGGCTTCTGTCTTGGTTGGCTGATATCTCAGACAGCGCCATGGAGCTGGCCAGCCCTCCTGGTCGGTTGTGCACCTGACCTTCTGCAGGTCTCTTTAGGCCAAACATGGCTGCTGTCACCACTGTGGTGCCTGGTTGGTCAGCTTATCTAGAGGCAGCCCTGGCTCCTGCTGGGTAGGCTGGAGGAGTCAGTGGGCTGGGCAGAGTAGGGAAGCAGACCCAGGGCCCTGGCGTGACCTGTATAGACTCCGCTTCCTTTTTGTTTTTTGAAATGGAGTTTCGCTCTTGTTGCCCAGGCTGGAGTGCGATGGTGCCATCTCAGCTCACTGCAACCTCTGCCTCCTGGGTTCAAGCGATTCTCCGGCCTTTGTCTCCTGCGTAGCTGGGATTACAGGTGCACACCACTGTGCCCGGCTAATTTTTTGTATTTTTAGTAGAGACGGGGTTTCACCAGGTTGGCCAGGTTGGTCTCAAACTCCTGACCTCAGGTGATTCACCTGCCTTGGCCTCCCAAAGTGCTGGGATTGCAGGCGTGAGTCACCGCACCCCGACCCCCACTTCCCATCCTTCTGTGGTTGGTTTTGTCTTCCTGTGCTTTTCAGCTGGGATTGCAGGCGTGAGCCACCGCACCCCGACCCCCACTTCCCATCCTTCTGTGGTTGGTTTTGTCTTCCTGTGCTTTTCAACTGGGATTGCAGGCGTGAGCCACCGCACCCCGACCCCCACTTCCCATCCTTCTTTGGTTGGTTTTGTCTTCCTGTGCTTTTCAGGCTCTGGGGCTGCATCACTGTGCATCTTTGCTGGCATTTTGCTGGGCAGGCCCTTCATGCTGCACCACTAGGGGGCTTCCTTCGTGCAAAATCGTGCTGGCCTCCATATGTGCGAGGACAAGGGCTCACCTGCCAGCCCCCAGACGACAGCAGCTGAGACCAGGTGGAGCAGTGTGTCTGAGAGGACAGCACCCCCACCAGAGACAGACTCCTGCACACTGGCTCTGCAGCCCTGGCCCACGGCCTCCACCTGAGGGCTGAGGTGGCTGCCCCTGCTCCGGCCATCATGTTTGCATTCCAGCCAGGAAGGGAGGGGACAAAGCTCAGGAAGTTCACATTCATCTTCTGCTCACATCCTGCCGGCCGGAACAGAGCCACAGGCCAATGTCTGGCTGCAAGGGAGGTTGAGAAACGTGGCCATTTGTGGGGCAGCCTGTGCCCAGCTGAGACGTGGGGCTCTATTATTACAGGAAAGACCCTGGGGAGGGGGAGCCTCCTGACAAGCAGGCAGCCTCCTCTCCATTTCCTCATCCTGAGGAGTGAAGGTCGTTTTTGCTCCCTTTCCTGTCATTCTGGTGGCTTCTGGGCAGAGTAGAGATAAGCCTATGTGCAGAATGGGCCGCGTTGACCTGGAAGGGCCACGTCTGTTGGCTGGTTTGCTTTCAGCATCTCCTTTTCATACCTCTGGGCTTTCTTCTCTCTCTGCCCTGACCCGTCCACCCTGGTCCTCTAATCACATGCAAGCTCCTGGCTCATGGGCTGGACTCCAGTCCCTCCTACTTCCCCCATTTGGCATCCCCTTCTCCCACAGGCCAGGCTCCCGGGTGCATGGGGGGGTGCTCCCGACGCACGCCATGCCACCGAGGACTCCTTGCCAGCGCCACGCCATGCGCGGCACTGCGCAGATGCCTTGAAGGAAACACGAGGGGCCGGGGAAGAAGCCGGGAGAATGAGACCCTCTGCTTCTAGAGGTGCAGTGTGAACTTAGATGGTTCTCTGCCTGGGACATGCCAACTGTCTCACGCACATGCGTGCCCGCCTCCATACGGCAGGCTGGTGGGCCACACAGCCACGGAGCCAGGACTCGTCTCTAACGCTGCTGCGGGGTTTGCTCAGGACCTGCTCTAAGGAAAGACACACTCTTCTGGCAAAGCCCGAGACTTCACCTGCAGGGAGGGCTGGCATGATCGTCTCACCAGGATTATACAAATAGGTTCCCTACTGAGTCTAAAGAACACAGTACTTTCTTTTTTGCTAGTGGGCCTGTGTAGGCAGCAGAAAAAGGGAGGGTCATTTGAAATGGACTGAGCCTACAGGAGGTCCAGGTACTCAGAAGGCAAATTTCAGAAAAAAGCATAATTAAGATCGTTTCCTAAACATGCGGCCATCAGGCGGCACGGAGCCTGCCATGCTGTTCTGGTCTGTCTCAGGGACCCCTCTCCCCTGGCCCACCCGCCCGGCGCTCTGTGAGAGGCAGCGGGACAGAGGAGAAGGATGGCTGGAGCTTGTGGACAGCCAACACCACCTGTCTCAACACAATTCACCTCCTCTAGGGCAGGATCAGCTGCTTCCCAGCTCATTCTTGGGAGTTTTAAAACCCCTTCCTCTGGCTCTCCCAAGCCAGGACTGAAGTGAAGGGACCCACCTCATGGGCATCCTCTGGGCTCAAGGGCTGCAGGGAGCCTGTCATGGGAAGTTAGCGGGTGTTTATGTCCCTGTCTCCTGGGCAGGGTGACATAGCACATCCCTCCCTGGATCTTGGCAGTAACTTGGAGTTGGGCACACGACAGGAGCCGGTGCTGGTGACGTGAACCCTTCATCAGGAACTTCACATGAATTTTTTTTAATCACAGAGAAACACGAGACAGGCATTAAAGCACAAGGCGAATTCTGTGGCAATTCATGTCCCCAAGAAGACAGTGCAGTATTTGGACCTTGGCTTTGCATTCAGACCTACCCAGGTTGGACTGAAAGCTCCACCATTTACAGTGTCACCGTAGGGCCAGTTGTGGCACCTCCGTGAGTCTGGGTTTTCTGACCTGTGAAATGGGTGGCACCGCCTTCCTCCTAGGTGGCACGAAAGTCAATGGAGAGACAGGTGTGGCTGGGGCAGGCATTTGAGACCAACCGCCACAGTGTCCTTCTGGGTCATTCTCTTTTGTCTCATGGCCCCACTGCTCTGCATGTAACCAGGGCGGGGGAGCACGGGAGAACAGTGGGGGACACAAGAGCCAGCTCTCAGGTTTCAGATTTCCAAGCAGACTTTAAAAAACCCGGACTTGATTTTTCTAGAGCAGCCTTCATCCCACACTGGAGTGGTCCACTCGATGCGTGCACATGGACACACTGTTACCACCACTCAGAGTCCACAGTCGACATGCAGGCTCATGTGTGGGGTGGCACAGTCTGTGGGGTTTAGACAAACGCATCATCACATGGATCCAACAATACAGCATCATGAAGAGTAGTTTTACTGCCCTAAAACCCTTTTGTGTTCTGCTGATTCACCCCTCAATATCCTACTACCCCCACCCGGGCCACCATGATCCTTTCACCATCTCCATCTGTGTACGGCCTTTTCATGCTGGCATGTCGGCTCCCCCGTGTCTTCTCATTGCTGACGGCTCATTTCCTTTCAGTGCTAAGCAACGTTCCACTATCTGGATGTTCCAGTTTATCCAGTCACCTGCTGAAGGACACCTTGGGTGCTTCCAAGTTTTGGCAATTATGAAAAAAGCTGCTATGTCTGTGTGCAGGTTTTGGTGTAGACATAAGTTTTCATCTCCTTTGGGTAAACACCAAGGAGTGTGATTACTGGATTGTATGATGAGAGTGTGATTAATTTTGTAAGAAACTGTCAAGCTGTCTTCCCAAGTGGCTGTACCATTTTCTATTCCCAACAATTAATGAGTGTTCCTGTTGCTCCACGTCCTCACCAGCATTTGGTGGTGAGTGTTTTGGATTTTTTGATGGTGAATCTCCTTAACTTGCATTTCTGATGACACACAATGTGAAGCTTCTTTTCACATGCTGATCTGCCATCCATGCATCTTCTTTGATGAGGTGTCTCTGCAGATTCTTGGCCCATTTTTTAACTGGCTTGTTTGCTCCTTTTTGTTGAGTTTTTCAGAGTTCTCGGTATATTTTAGATAACATTCCTTTATCGGGTGTATCTTTTCCAAATATTGTCTCCCAGTCTGTGGCCTGTCTTATCCTTTTGGCAGTGTCTTACATAGAACAGAAGTTTTTGATTGTAATGAAGCCCGGCTTATCAATTATTTCTGTCATGGATCTTGCTTTTGGTGTTGTATTTAAACATCATCACCATACCCAAGGTCACTTAGGTTTTCTCCTATGTTATCTTGTAAAAGTTGTACGGTAACACGTTACGTTTAGGTCTATGATCCATTTTGAATTAATTTTTGTGGAGGGTGTGAGGTCTATGTCTAGATTCTTTTTTGTTTTTGGCAGTTGTTCCAGTACCATCTGTTGAAGACTACGCTTTCTCCACTGAGTTGCTTTTGCTCCTCTGTCATATCAGTTAACTCAGTTAACTATATTTGTGTGGGTCTATTTTGGGGCTCTCTATTCTATTTGTCTATTCTTTTGACAATATCACACTGTTATTGTAGCTTTAGAGTCTTCAAGTTGGGGGGTGTCAGTCCTCTGACTTTGTTTTTCCATCAATACTGTGTTGGATATTCTAGGTCTCATCCTCTCCATATATGCTTTAGAAACAGTTTGTCAATATTCACAAAATAATTTGCTGAGATTATGATTGGGAATGCATTAAATCTAAAGTTGGGAAGAACTGACTACCAACAATATTGAGTCTTCCTATCCATGAACATGGAATATCTGTCCATTTATTCAGTTATTTCATTAAAGTTTTGTCGTTTTCCTCATATAGATTTTGTATACATTTTGTTAGATTTTTACTTAGTACCATTGTTTTGGTGCTAATTTAAATGTTATGGTTTTAATCTTAAATTCCACTAGTTAATTGCTGGTACACAGGAAGGTGACTGACTTATGTATATTAACCTTGTATCCTGTAACCTTTTCTATAATCACTTATTAGTTTCAGGAAATTTTTGTCAATTCTTTGGGATTTCCTACATAATCATGTCATCTGAGAATAAAGACAATTTTATTTCTTGTTTCCCAATCTATATACCTTTTGTTTCCTTCTCTTGTCTTCTTGAACTAGCTAAGAGTTCCAGCATGAGGCTGAAAAGCAGCAGTGAGAGGGAATATCTTTGCCTTGCTCCTGATCTTAGTGGAAAAGCTTCTAGTTTCTTGCCATTAAGAATAATGTTAGCTGTAAGTCTTTTCTGGATGTTCTTTAACAAGTTGAGGAAGTTCTCAGCTTATCCTAGTTTGCTGAGAGTTTTTATCATGATAGGTGTTATATTTTGTCAGATGCTTTTTCTGCATCTATTGATAAAACCAACTGATTTTTCTTGTTTAGCTTACTGATGTGATGAATTGCATTGGCTGATTTTTGAACGTTGAATTAGGGTGTGTGATTGCTTTTACACATTGCTGGATTTGATTTCTGAATGTTGAGAATTTTTGCGTCTACATTCATGAGCGATATTGGTCTACACTTTTCCTTTCTTGTAATATCTTTGTATGGTTTTGGTATTAGAGTAATGCTGGCCTCAGAGAATGAGCTAAAAAGTTTTCTCTCTGTTTCTGTCTTCTGGAAGAGATTATCGAGAATTGGTATAGTTTCTTCCTTAAACCTTAAATGTTTGGTAGAATTCACCAGTGAACACTTCTGGGCCTGTGATTTCTGTTTTGGAAGGTAATTAATTATTGATTGAATTCCTGTAATAGATACAAGCATATTCATTTCTTCTGTAAGTTTTGGCAGATGTTGTCTTTCAAGGGATTAATCTATTTCACTAAATTTATCAAATCTGTGGCTAGAGTTGTTCATAATACCAAATCGACTTTTGTGTCCCTAATGTGAAGTGATGGGTTAAGACACAGATGTTTTGCAGCCCTAAGAGGCAGGGTTTGGGTGTCCAAGGACAAGGTCATACTCATAAACGATGGATTTAGAAAGAATAAGAGTTTATCTAAAGGCAGATACAAACTCCTTGGGCTGAGGAGGAAAAGAGTCTCAGAAGTGGGGTCCGAGTCAGGTTGGGTGGGGTCTCCATGAAGTGGCTCCACATCCTGCCCTCATGCCTCCTCTCTCCCATCTCCGGCTCTAGGAGAGAGGGAAACAGCGGAAATGGTGGGAATGGAGCCTGCAGATGGGGTGTGGGGACAGGAAGGCCAGGGTTGCTTCCTCCCCCGTGACAGTGCTGCGTGCTCTGGGGGCAGCCCCGATGCAGCTCGCACCAGCCTGACCTGTGTTCGGGCATGGTACACTGACCTGGAAGAGGCCACCAGCCAGGGGCCTTGGGTAGCTTGAGAGGACAGGCCAGAATCCTTATGGCTGCAGGAAGGGTGGGGACACGGGTATCCAGGTTCACTGCCAGGGACAGCAGCTGTGTCCTTCTACAGCTGGATGGGCTGGCCAGGCAGCAGTTCGGGCAGCAAAGCACTTTCCTTCATTCCTGCGTCTCTCCCACAGCCCAGGATACTCCAAGTACCAGGAGGTGGGCATCAGCGTATGCTGAGTGAATAAACAGCACTGGCGGTGGCTGAGAGGATGGTTAACATTCCAAATATATAGGAGCCACTTCCGTGAGCAGTTCTGCTTAGGAGGCTCCTGGTCAGGAGGCCTTGGATCCCCATGAATATCGGCCTCCCTACATAGACACCGAGCGTGTCAGCCATGGTCCGGTGGCCTCAGCCAGACCCCTCTCTGCAGTGACGCCCCTCATGGCCCAGCCCTGGGCCCACAGCCTGGATCAGCTGGGTGCAAAACCTCAAGCAAGGACCCCACAGACATGTGGAGAGGACTGGTTCCCAGTCCCTGTCAGCAGGCTGCCACTCCTGCCATCAGATTCCCAGTGCTGAGATGCCAAGGCCCGCCATGTGGCCTGGCACATTTGAGGGCTCAGCCCCTCGGCTGAAATGTTTTCCTTCTCATGTGACCAACTGTAATTCTGGGAATTTCTACACCTCATAAGACACATTCCACACAGTCCCACGGTTTTAGAGAGCGCATGCTCTGAAGAGGCACAGTGAGTTCTCTTTATTTTTAATAAAACAATGTTTTAGGCTGTGCACAGTGGCCCAGCAATTTGGGAGGCCAAGGCAGGTGGATCACTTGAGGCCAGGAGTTCGAGACAAGGCTGGCCAACATGGCAAAACCCTATCTCTATTAAAAATACAAAAATTAGCCGGGCATGGTGGTGTACACTTGTCCCAGCTACTCGGGAGGCTGAGGCAGGAGAATCGCTTGAACCTGGGAGGTGGAGGCTGCAGGGAGCCGAGATTGTGCCACCGCACTCCAGCCTGGGTGACAGAACAAGACTCTGTCTCAAAAAAACAAAAACAAAACAAAACAAAAAACACCCCACACTTTTTTAAACAGAACCAAGAAATCCTTACAATTTCCAGATCCTCGGCAGCCTTCCTCATCTCCTCCAGTGGGGCCTGGCCATGGAATCTTCTTTGCTCACGCATTTGGAGGACGTGCTGTTTTATCTTCTCTTCTAAATTTCTCTCCTGCAGGGCACTGAGAAACAAAGGGCAAAGAGGGAAATGACTTGACACATTTACTCTCATCCTAGCAACTCCCGCCATAACCAGGGAGAAAGCATGTGCCTTTCTTCCCAGACCAAACAGCGGTCCTGAGGCTCCCGCACAGCTGTGCCAGTTACTGTGGCGCTGCCCTGGGCCTCCCCGGCACCCACTCTCCTCCAGACTCACGCCGGGGGGCCTGGGCTGCCTCTCCCATCCCTTCTTCAGTAGTTCAGAAGCTGCCAGAACACACACTATTCTTATTTAAAAACCTCAAATTGATTTAAGATATGACACATTTAGGACACTGCACACTGCACCACATGAAGGGAAAAGCAGGTTTCTGTTCCCACATGGAATACACGGTTTTCCTAAATCCTTAAACAGACAAACAGAAAAGTGTATTCAATTATGATTTTAAACATATTTTCTGTTAGCACTGGGGCTCAGGGGTTTGGGGTTCCTTTAATTTTAAAGACAATGACTCAGGGTGGTAGAAAGAGCTGGGGATCTGCTGCAGGTGAGCTGTGGGGTGGCGGGGTCCACTCCAGTCTGCGTGAGTGTGGGGCCCCAGGGTGTGGGCGTGGAGGTAGATGTAAGGGTGGGTGTAAGTGTGGGTGGGTGTGAGTGTGGGCGTGGAGGTAGATGTAAGCATGAGTGTAAGTGTGGGCGTGGAGGTAGATGTAAGTGTGGACGCGGACTGCATGAGTGTGGGGCCCCACGGTGTGGACGTGGGTGTAAGCGTGGGTGTGCAGGTAGATGTAAGTGTGGGTGGGTGTTAAGTGTGGGCGTGGAGGTAGATGTAAGCGTGGACGCGGACTGCCTGAGTGTGGGGCCCCAGGGTGTGGACGTGGGTGTAAGTGTGGGTGTGGAGGTAGATTTAAGTGTGGGTGTAAGTGCGAGTGTGGAGGTAGATGTAAGGGTGGGTGTAAGTGTGGGTGGGTGTAAGTGTGGGTGGGTGTGAGTGTGGGTGTGGAGGTAGATGTAAGCGTGGGTGTAAGCGCGGGTGTGGAGGTAGATGTAAGGGTGGGTGTAAGTGTGGGTGGGTGTAAGCGCGGGTGTGGAGGTAGATTAAGTGTGGGTGTGGTCATGGGTGTGGTGTGGGTGTTGGTGCGGGCGTGGGTGCATGCGCCACTGTGAATACAATGGCACACAGTCTCACTCAGCCTCTCCGAAGACCCTCTTACTCCCAGCAGCAGGGTTTGTGCCGGTTTTGCTTGCTTTTCAGAGTAACTATGGAAAAGAAAGCATGATGTCCTCTGGAGTTCTACAGAACAGAGCCCTCAGGTCAGGGCATGCCCTGTGTCAGCGCCTCAGACTCCAGCTTTTACTGTGCCCAGGGTGATGGGGGGTTAGCGGGCCACTGTGGTCTGCTGTGGGCTTTTTAAAGGCCAAATATGGCAGGTAAACTCCCTGGAGGATGTAAGAGAACATTCAAATGTTTGAGACGAAATGGTTTTAGTCTAAGCCATTTTCACGAGGTTGGGGAGTTAATACAACCTAGTTGGCCTTCGAGATTTTCCCTAAACACTGTCAGCCTCCAGGAGGAACAAATTCTGCAGGAACAGAACATGCCCTTTGTCACCCACATCTCATCCCACCTCACCCTTCCTCCAGGTTTCTTACATCGCAGCCGGGATCCAGGGTACGTTAAACTGAGTGGGGAGCCCCCTGGCAGACGTACGCTGAGCAGCAGGGCCGGGGCCAGGCCCTGGGCCTTCCAAGCTCAGGCCCCACGGTCTCTTCTGCTCTGGCCTCTGAGTGCAGTGAGGCGCTTTCAGTGAGAGCCACAGCGAGCCTGGTGCAGGCCAGGAAAGCACGGGGGCACCGGAGAGCAGTGCTCATGCCCTGGGGTCTCCAGTGGTCTCCCTGAGGCCAGCCTTGGCTTCCCAGGACGCCTGGGAGGTGCGAGGGAGGGGCCCAGCTGAAGAGTCGGCATGGGAAATGCCTGGACAAGAAGGTGTGTCCACACTGAGGCTCCGTGTCAGCCTGGTCCTTATACACGGCTCAGAGGAGGTGGAGGCGACTAGGGAGCCCAGTGATCATCCCCAGGGTGCAGCCACTAACCCAGCTATAGAAGCTGTGAACGCAGAAAATCAAAGGAATGCTGCTGCGAGGTGAGAGGGGTGAACCCCGGACCCCCGAGCAGCTGTGAGGTGAGAGGGTTCATGAACCCCTGACCCCCGAGCTGCTGTGAGGTAAGAGGGGTGAACCCCGGACCCCCGAGCAGCTGTGAGGTGAGAGGGTTCATGAACCCTGGCCCCCCGAGCTGGTGTGAGGTGAGAAGGGTGAGCCCTGGACCCCCGAGCTGGTGTGAGGTGAGAAGGGTGAGCCCTGGACCACCGAGCTGGTGTGAGGTGAGAAGGGTGAACCCCATACTCCTGAGCTGCTGTGAGGTGAGAAGGGTGAACCCCAGACCCCCGAGCTGCTGTGAGGTGAGAAGGGTGAGCCCTGGACCCCCGAGCTGGTGTGAGGTGAGAAGGGTGAACCCCATACTCCTGAGCTGCTGCGAGGTGAGAGGGGTGAACCCCGGACCCCCGAGCAGCTGTGAGGTGAGAGGGTTCATGAACCCGACCCCCGAGCTGCTGTGAGGTAAGAGGGGTGAACCCCGGACCCCCAAGCAGCTGTGAGGTGAGAGGGTTCATGAACCCTGGCCCCCCGAGCTGGTGTGAGGTGAGAAGGGTGAGCCCTGGACCCCCGAGCTGCTGTGAGGTGAGAGGGTTCATGAACCCTGGCCCCCCGAGCTGGTGTGAGGTGAGAAGGGTGAGCCCTGGACCCCCGAGCTGCTGTGAGGTGAGAAGGGTGAACCCCCGGGAACCCTGAACAGCTGCTGTCACTCTCCAGTGAAGCCCCTCCCCTCCCCTCAAGGCCCAGCCAGGGACCCACCCAGGGACCAGCCTCCAGCTTCCGTCCTTGCCTTGCGCCCCGACTCTGCTCTGTCCACCAGGCACTGTGGAGCGTGTCCTGCCCCGTGAACTCGCCGGGCCACCCAGTGCTCCTCAGCCCCATTTGCTCCATCCATCCCTACTCCCCAGTGCCAAGTGCATGCCTCTGAGCCCCTACCCTTCCCCTCACGTTGGTCCCAGGTTAGCACCAGGCTTCCCAAATATCCCTCCCTGCTCTCCTGAACTCCAGGATCCTCTGTGGCTCACCAGCTATCCCTGATGGGCCTGTGGCTGCCTGCCTTTCCCGGGGATGACAACCTGCCCAGCAGCCTGGCCGCCCCCTGGCCAGGGACTCAAAATCAAAACGTCTCAAGTGCTTCCTGACACAGCTTCTCGGTTCTGGCTGTTTCCTCCACCCCATGGTGGCTACTTTGCCTGAGTCCCCTTCACCTGGGTCAACGCCTGGCCTCGCTGCCTCACCCAACACCCCATGAGGGGAAGGGCTGAGCGGCCCTGAGGGTCAGGTCTAAGGAAGCTGGGGTGGGAAGAAATGGGATCAGAACTCAGCATGAGAAGACCTGGGGAGGCAGCGGCGGTGAGGTGGGGAGGGCACGGCAGGGCAGGGCAGGGACTGCAGCGGGTGGATCTCGGATCGCGTCTCCCCTTGGCGCCCACAGCAGCACCCACTACAGAGGGCTCGGGAGCACTCTGTATCCTGGTGACCTACAGGAGCCATGGCTGGGTGACAGCAGTTCCCTGAGGGCAAGGACCCCATCTTCCAGGGTTACCTGGCTCTCCCTGGAGCCCACCACAGCCTGGAGCCCGCCACAGCCTGGGGCCCGCCACAGCCTGGAGTTTCAGGGCTCCTCAGTGCATGCTCATGAAATAAACAACAGCACCTGCCCGTGGGTGGCTGGCTGAGCCCTGGAAGGACTGAGTGCCAGTTGCAGTTACCAACCTCATTTCTTTACTTGCTTGTGGCGATTTCTCTTTGCTTGGTTTCATTTTTCCAGGCGGATTCAGTGGTACTTTCCTGTTATCTATCAGATCTGTGGCAGAGGGAATCTTTGATGCCACCTAGGAAAATGCAACAAGATGATTTCTGGAATCCCAGTAGATGATGTTTTTCCACAAAGCTAACCTGCAAGGTGTGTTAGACTAGCTCCTCGTCCACGAAGAGGTGGGTCCGAGGCCGCCCCGGGTAGACGGTCCCTGTGCAACGCAGTCATCCCCCCAGGTCTTGGCTAGCTCTCGCGCCCTACTGGGATCTGTTTGGACATCTTTCTGGGGCCTCCCTGACAGCCCAGGCTGGGGTAGGAGGTAAAGATGCAGAGTGAGGGGACCCTGGGGTAGCTCGGAAGGCTGCCCTGCATGCCCTTATGCCCCCCACGCCAGGTTTGCTGCAGTGGCTGGCTTCCTACAGGCGTCCTTAGATGGCCCCTCTCCACAGGGGCCCCAGATCTGTTTCTCCAGCTTCAGTGCCAGAACCAGGGAGACCTGGGAGGACCCAACACTCGCTGTGATGTGCAACCTAGGCAGGAGGAGGCTAGCACCCCAACGGCGGCGTGACCAGTGCTGCTCGCTGCTGCCTCCAGTGGACACATGTGAGAGCCACGCTGACCCCTCCGGACCTCAGGGAGCTTTGGGCCTGTGCGGGTGCCTGCAGTGTGTTCCCGGGGACTGTCAGAAACCAACGGATGACAAAAACAGGTAGGAGGGAACCCTGGCAACAGAGTGGGAGAGAAGAACTTCCAACCAGGGGCTACTGCAATGTGGAGACTCGTAGGGTCCATTTAGCATTTACTGAGATGACGTTTGGAATGGTTGTATCTGCCATTCTCTCCTCCAAATGTATTTCCAGGCCGGGGCCTTTGTCTAGCCCTTAGTTTAATCCTAGTACATGCCTGACACTTAGAAAGTGTTCGGCAACCAGAAAGGGCGGAAAGATGGGAGGCAGGGAGGACCAGGGACCACCCACCAACCTTTTCCTATCCCTCCCACCCCACCATAAAGCAAGGCACAGGCTGCAGACACAGCAGAGGAAACTCTTGGCTGACTGAGAGCTGGGACACTTTCAGGTGATCAGGATTCTCCCAAAGGTTCTTCCAACAGAAAGAAAAGAACAAATGCTAAATCCTGGCCGGGCGCAGTGGCTCACACCTGTAATCCCAGCACTTTGGGAGGCCGGGGCGGGTGGACTGCTTGAGGTCAGGAGTTCAAAACCAGCCTGGCCAACATGGCGAAACCTGTCTCTACTAAAAACACAAAAAATTAGCCAGGTGTGGTGGCGCATGCCTGTAGTTCTAGCTACTCAGGAGGCTGAGGCAGGAAAATCGCTTGAACCTGGGAGGCAGAGGTTGCAGTGAGCCAAGATTGTGCCACTGCACTTCAGCCTGTCTCGTAAATAAATAAATAAATAAATGCTAAATCCAGTGGGTGTTTTTTTCTTTTAAAATCAGACACTTAATTTTATTTTAAAAGACATTAAAAGTATGTATTTGGAGGGAAGCCCACCCATCCACATTTTACTCCCACTCTAAAATATAGAGAAGGAAGACTTTTTCGAACATCCAGCTCTTGAGTGAGCAAGCAAAGAACCAAATATAAACACGAACACACCGGCGAAGTCTACAACAGGCTGCCGCTTTGGTGGCGTGGAATGGGCTTTGCGCCAGGGTTTGTACGTCAAGTGTCAAACATGCCACTGACGTGAAGCCCAAAATATGGGCTCAAGTCATGGCTGGTTTCAGAGTGACATGAAGAGAAGTGCAGTGCATTTTACAAAGCAGGTGACAGACCCAGGCTTCACCCAGCCACAGGCTTTAGCTCTGCAGCCCTTTCAGCAGCCGCAGCCTCAAGGCTCCCACCCCATCGAATGTACTTGGGGTGTGACCACACAGTGACGGATCAGCAGAAGCACATGCAGGGCTGGGGGCACACTCCAGGACCAGGCTGCAAAGCCAGCGGCCATGATTCCCCAGGCCCGCCCAGCCCAGCCCAGCCCGTGGGTGCCACTGTCCAGTGGGATCCACCCAGCAGTGGCCACCCAAGGCCGTGGCGCCCTCTCGTGTCCTCCTGCCCAGCTGCAGGGAGCTGGGAGCTTGCCCTCCCCGGGCCAATGCGTGGAACCGCTTCCCTGTTATGGACATGGAAACTGGAGTTGTATTTATTTATGCTTGTCTCTCCAACAATACTGAAATACACAGATACACTTCTGTGTAACTAAATGCCTATATGATTGCTTTTATTTCTATAAAATGGACTCCTAAATGTGTTCAAAGGACACGCTCTTAACTTGGAAGGATGCCTTCCGAGCAGCTGGTGGCAGCAGCCTCCATGCTCTATCCCACGCTCCACCACCTCAGCACCTCCCCACGCTGCTCCACCACCTCGGCTCCTTCCCACGCTCCACCACCTCGGCTCCTCCCCACACTGCTCCATCACCTCGGCTCCTCCCCACGCTGCTCCACCACCTCGGCTCCTCCCCACACTGCTCCATCACCTCGGCTCCTCCCCACGCTGCTCCACCACCTCGGCTCCTTCCCACGCTCCACCACCTCGGCTCCTCCCCACACTCCACCACCTTGGCTCCTCCCCACACTGCTCTACCACCTCGGCTCCTCCCCACACTGCTCCACCACCTCGGCTCCTCCCCACACTGCTCCACCACCTCGGCTCCTCCCTACGCTGCTCCACCAGCTCGGCTCCTTCCCAC
Organism: Homo sapiens; assembly: GCF_000001405.40. Taxonomy (NCBI): domain Eukaryota; kingdom Metazoa; phylum Chordata; class Mammalia; order Primates; family Hominidae; genus Homo; species Homo sapiens. The sequence goes on along the minus strand of NC_000010.11, from coordinate 132,358,818 downwards.
GCTCCACCACCTCGGCTCCTCCCCACACTCCACCACCTCGGCTCCTCCCCACACTGCTCCATCACCTCGGCTCCTCCCCACGCTGCTCCACCACCTTGGCTCCTCCCCACACTGCTCTACCACCTCGGCTCCTCCCCACACTGCTCCACCACCTCGGCTCCTCCCCACACTGCTCCACCACCTCGGCTCCTCCCCACGCTCCACCACCTCGGCTCCTCCCTACGCTGCTCCACCACCTCGGCTCCTCCCCACACTGCTCCACCACCTCGGCTCCTCCCCACACTGCTCCACCACCTCGGCTCCTCCCCACGCTGCTCCACCACCTCGGCTCCTCCCCACGCTGCTCCATCACCTCGGCTCCTCCCCACGCTGCTCCATCACCTCGGCTCCTCCCCACGCTGCTCCACCACCTCGGCTCCTCCCCACGCTGCTCCATCACCTCGGCTCCTCCCCACGCTGCTCCACCACCTCGGCTCCTCCCCACGCTGCTCCATCACCTCGGCTCCTCCCCACGCTCCACCACCTCGGCTCCTTCCTGCCGACCACACAGGCGCCTCACGTCCACCCTACGTGTCCCTCACAGGCTGAGCATCTTTTCATGTATTTACGGTGGCTTGGATTTCCTCTTCTGTGGACTGCCTGCCATACTTTTTGCCCATTTCTTCTACTGGATTCTCAGATTTTTAAAATCAATTAGTAGCCATTCTTTGTATATTAGATATGAACATTTAGGCACAAAGATTTTCCCTTGGACTCTGACTACAGCACTCTGGGCCATACAAAGTATCTCACCAGTGCCTGGGCCAGCGCAGGCCCAGAGGGTGGCACAGGGAAGCAGCAGGCCTCTCCATGCGTTCAGCTGCCTCACCCAGGGCCTGTGGGGTGCGCAGAACAGCAGCCAGCTACCACGGAGCCCTGCCTGCTGCCACAGCCGAGGGTCTGCCTCTGCACTAGGTGCGCGCTCCCGTGGGCAGGGCCTGTGCCTGGTCCCCTCCCTGCTCAGAGCAGGCCATCAATACTCGCTGACTGAACTGCTCTATCTCATGATAGATGAGTTTCTAGAAAACCTATGTTTTTCTTTTTTAAGAAACTGCGTACACTCTCACTGTGATGGTCTCACAGGACTCAGAAGCACAACTGTGGCAGCATCGACCCCTCCTCTGCGCCCCCCTCCCCAGAGCCACAGCCCTCCCCGCAAAGTCACTGGGTTGCTGTACGTTCTTCCAGACCAATGAGAGTTTTTGTGCACTGTCCTACAACTTGTGCTGCTTTAACTTACAGTGATTTCTTCAAGACACTTGCAAGCCAGTGGATATGATCACTGACTCACCCTTCTGTCGGCCACAGAGGCAGCTCATGGTCTGGATGTGACAATTTAGCCATCTCCATCTGTTGACATTTAAAGTTTCCCATATTTTTGCTATAATTCAGCTCTGAAAGCATTCTTAGCAATGTCCAATTGTGCAAGTATTTTTATTCCTGGAAGTGGCAAAATATGTATTTTTAAACTTTCCCACATATTGGGGAAATTAGGAAAAAGGTGACAGCAAAGATGGCGACTGAGTGTCCTGTGGGGCCTGGGACCTGAGAAGGGTGAGATGCAGTCCTGGTTTATCCAACGCATTGGACACTGTGAATTCCTAACTCTGAGCCTTGTTTTGAGGTTATGTAAGATGTCACCATCAGGGAAGCTGGGCCGGGGGGAGACGGAAACACTATTTTTGCAACTTTCCTGTAAGTCAAAAACTAGTTCAATACAAAGTTAGACAAAGGAAACACTCCTGAACTGTCCAAGCAGTCCACGCCTGCAGGCCCACGTGGCCACGCTCTCTGCTGTAGGGTGAAGCCCTTGGGGGCCTTACCCCAGCTAAGGGGGCTGCAGAGGCAATCCGTGGCCTTTCAAAGTAACACACAGGGAGCATCTCTTAGAAGAAAGCACCAAAGAAACATCTATGACCAAATTCAACAGCACATTTGCCTGACTATGCTCACAGGACAGAGAAGCAAGCCAGGCGCATTCTGGAGGGAGGAGCCACCGGCTCCCACCACCCTGTGCCCACGGCCCATGCCCGCAGCTCTGTGCCCACTGCCCTGTGCCCGGCTGGACTAAGACCCTCATACAGTCTGGGGAAAATGGGAAGAGAGGACTGTACTCAAGATGTCCCGTGTCCCATAGCTTAAGAGCTGGCAATCTTGGGGGACGGTACTCAGGATATCCCATGTCCCATAGCTTAAGAGCTGGCAATCTTGGGGGACGGTACTCAGGATATCCCATGTCCCATAGCTTAAGAGCTGGCAATCTTGGGGGACGGTACTCAGGATATCCCATGTCCCATAGCTTAAGAGCTGGCAATCTTGGGGGACGGTACTCAGGATATCCCATGTCCCATAGCTTAAGAGCTGGCAATCTTGGGGGATGGTACTCAGGATATCCCATGTCCCATAGCTTAAGAGCTGGCAATCTTGGCTTCCAGGGAAACTGCCTGCCTCGAGGTCCAGAGACCAAGGGTGAGGAGCCCAGAAAGACCTCTGTAGCGCTCACCTCGACCTCAGCTGCTTTTTATCTTTTGAATCTTTTCCCCTCATCTCCTCTTCCGCCTTCCCTCTTTGAGCTTCTAATTCCCCAGACAGGAGCCAAAAGTCAGTGAGCCAAGAGGCAAGCCCTCAAGGCTGGGGTGGGAAGCTGTCCCCTCCGGCTGGGCAGTGAGCAATGGTTCTGGATGCTGCACTCCAACCCAGCCCCACCAGCCAGCAGCCTGCACAGGCAGCTTCCTCCCCAAGTCTCAGCTCATCCTCCATGGACAGGGATGCGTGTGAGCACCCACCCACACCCCCAGGTCTCGGCTCATCCTCCATGGACAGGGATGCCTGTGAGCACCCACCCACCCCCGGGACTGGACTAGTGCCCGGTCACCGCCCGCGCGTGCCGTACCATGCTCCTCCGCGGAGGCAGGAGTTTGCTGAGCTCTTCCTTCCTCTTCCTCATCCTCTGGGCTCGCTCTCTCCACTCCTGCAGTGCCCTTTTCTCTCTGGAGAAAGGGAAGGTTAATGTCATAAGTTACAGGCAGCTTCGAGCCAAGGCTACAGGATTCCTCTGTCATTCTACAGCCTTGCGGTGCACCTGTCTCCAGGGGGCACAGGCTGGGGGCGTGCATGCCCTCCGGGTGGGAGTCTGAACCACAGCCTCTTCCTCCCGGCACATCTGGGCAGAGCCGGGAATGCCGGGTTCTATCCCGAGGCTCTGTGTGTCGGTGCTGCCAGCAGTGACTGATGCTGGGGGCCAACCCGACCCAGTGACCGAGGAAAAGGCATCAGGACCCCTTTCAGGTAAGGGCACCAGCTGGGGCTGCCACCACAGGCGCTGCACGACGGGTTGGGGGTGCCTGGCTGCGGGCACTTGTCGACATAAGGTCTATGGAAGATCTGAATGCCTGTCTCTAAGTCCCTCCCTTCAGACACTTGAATTTCACTTTTAAAAACAGGCATCTGGCCAAGGCGGGCGGATCACGAGGTCAGGAGATCGAGACCATCCTGGCTAACGCAGTGAAACCCCATCTCTACTAAAAATACAAAAAATTAGCCGGGTGTAGTGGTGGGCGCCTCTAGTTCCAGCTACTCGGGAGGCTGAGGCAGGAGAATTGCTTGAACCCAGGAGGCAGAGGTTGCAGTGAGCCAAGATTGAGCCACTGCACTCCAGCCTGGGTGACGGAGCAAGACTGTCTCAAAAAACAAAACAAAACAAGACAAGAACAGGCGTCTTCGGGCCTCCGCAGTCTGCAGCCAGAGTCACATGCTCCCTCCTCACAGCTCGCCGCCCAGGGCTGCGAACGTCCCGAGTAACGCCCACATCTGCGGCTGGGCGGGGCTCCTCGCGTGTGGCTGGGGTGGAATGAGGTCCCCAAGAGCCCTTGCTCAGGCCCAGGGCTCCACCCCCGGAAGGCCAGCTCTCCAGCCTGCAGGACTCCTGTGGTTGGTACCCCCTCTCCATCCTGCCCCCAGATCCGGCCTCCTCTTGTTTCTCCCATCATCATCCTGGACGCCTGGGCCCCAGGCCGGGTTTTCCTCGACGCCTCCACCCGACCTCTGCTCTCCTTCCTTGCGGTCACAGCGGCTCAGCCCTCCTGGGCTCTACCCGGCCCACGGCCCACCTCTGACCACCTTCCTGCTGAGGGCTCCATCCCGAGTCAGTGCTGCCTGGGATCAGAGCCTGGCTGCGTCCTCTCCCAGTGCCACCTCAGGGCACAGGTGGTCTCAGCAGCTGCCTCAGGTGAGGCTGTGTCCTGACGCCTGCCTGGGTGTGTCCCAGCCCCCAGCCCCCAGCCCCAGCCAGGGTGGTGCCCCCCGTGTCCCCACTTAGCACCATGTGTGGTGCTGGCCCCGCTGCGCTCCTGGACGAGGGCCTCCACTTAGTGTCACTGTCTTCTGGTCACACCTTGGGAAGCAAAGGGGTGACGCTGTCCACAGGGTGATGTGAAGGGGGCTGTGCCGGGTCTGGGCCCTCAGAATAGGCCTGCCGAGCTGCTCACTAGGAGACTGCAGGACACTGGCTCTGGGCTCCAGGCAGGAAAATAAAGAAGAAAGAGTTCACTTGCTCTTTGTATCCAAGAACTTCTCTTCCATGAAGGTGTGGGACGAGGCCCGAGCCTGTTGTCTGGGGGTAAGAGTGCCCTTTCTGCCCCCTGCAGCTGGTGGTGCCCAGAGAGCCTGGGGCAGGGGCTGTGCCTGCGGAAGGTCTCATCACAATCACCTCCATCACAGCCATGGCCAAGAGGGAGTGGGACTCCCACAGGCAGCCTCCTGGCAGGGCAGGTGATACCTGAGGAGTCAAGGGGGCAGGTGTCTGGACACCCACTTCAGAAAACGGTACCTTGAAACTGGCAGAGCCGAGGCAGGAGTGGGACCCACCTGCAGCAGGGAAGGGAAGGGAGATGCCTGCTGAGGCACACAGTGAGGGGAGGGCAGCTGGCATGCTTGACAGGCGGGGCCGGTCCTGGGGGGCTCACCTCGCAGTGAGTGACGGGCCCGGCTCTGTAGAGCTACCCCGAGGGACAGTGTGGGGCGACTGATGGGCACCAAAGGAAAGCCTTCCCGGTGCTCCCTGGGCCCCAGCAGCTGTGGCCCGTGGCCAGCAAGACCTGGTCCCACAGCGATGGGCTTTCTGGTGCAGCCCGGACCACACTCCCATGTCCTAGGACAGCCCTAGAGCGGTCAGTCAGCCTCATCCTTGCCCGTCAGTATGACAGCCTGGGACAGGGGACCAGTTCTGAGGACTTCACCTCATTCATCTTTTTAATGAAAAAGACAACCAACTACAATGTCTCTCTGGACATTGGGTGACAGCTGTGGACAATCACAGAATCTGTGTGCTGGACACAGCCCCTATCACATGGTCCCGAGAGAAAACAGCACACACACAACGGGGTGGCTTCAGGAGGGTTTATTCATGTTGGGGAGGGAGCAGGTGAGCCACAGGGGCGGTGCAAGAGCCCTGTGCCAGTCAGGGCCGGGCTGCAGCCGCCCACAGGACAGACCAGGGAAGGAGAGATTGTCGGAACCCAGAAGGAGGGAGAGGCTGGACTCGGCCAGCTCCAGGCAGCTCACAAAGAAGCCGGGAAAGTAAAGACGAGGCCCTCGCTCTCCCTTCCTCCTCGACCTCCTGCTGGGGGCCCCCGCTGGCCAAAGCCAACCACCAAGTGAGGGGCACGGGGGTGCTGTGGCTGTGGTCCATGCCAGCCGGACTCCTGGGGCCCAGGGAGGGGTGAAGCCAGGTGGTCAGTGGAGCTGGAGGACAGAGAAGACACTGAGGACACCGAGTCCATCGGCCAACACACCTCGCAAGGTGGTGGCACTGGCGGCAGTCACAGCAACACAAGAATGAACCTCCCTGATGACCGTGTCAGGGCCTGGAATACTCTAGGGAAAATGAGGAGGAAAGGACTGAGGAAGAACAAGAAATGAGGGAAAAGAACAAGAAAGCAGGCAGGTGTCGTGAGGAAGCCAGGGCAAAGACGGACACAAGGGGGCGACCGCGAGCACTGCAACCGGCCTGTCCCACAGGGAGGCCTCGGGGCTGCAAACAAGGGAGCCCATGCACGCAACGCCCTGCAGACCACGAGCGCTGCACCTGCCCCACATGGAGGCCTCAGCGCCTGCCCCACACGGAGGCCTCAGCGCCTGCCCCACACGGAGCGCTGCACCTGCGCCTGCCCCACACGGAGGCCTCAGCGCCTGCCCCACACGGAGGCCTCAGCGCCTGCCCCACACGGAGGCCTCAGCATCTGCCCCACACGGAGCGCTGCACCTGCGCCTGCCCCACACGGAGGCCTCAGCGCCTGCCCCACACGGAGGCCTCAGCGCCTGCCCCACACGGAGCGCTGCACCTGCGCCTGCCCCACACGGAGGCCTCGGGGCTACAAACAAGGGAGCCCATGCACGCAACGCCCTGCAGACCACGAGCGCTGCACCTGCCCCACACGGAGGCCTCAGCGCCTGCCCCACACGGAGCGCTGCACCTGCGCCTGCCCCACCCGGAGGCCTCGGGGCTACAAACAAGGGAGCCCATGCACGCAACGCCCTGCAGACCACGAGCGCTGCACCTGCCCCACACGGAGGCCTCAGCGCCTGCCCCACACGGAGGCCTCAGCGCCTGCCCCACACGGAGGCCTCAGCGCCTGCCCCACACGGAGGCCTCAGCGCCTGCCCCACACGGAGGCCTCAGCATCTGCCCCACACGGAGCGCTGCACCTGCGCCTGCCCCACACGGAGGCCTCAGCGCCTGCCCCACACGGAGGCCTCAGCGCCTGCCCCACACGGAGCGCTGCACCTGCGCCTGCCCCACACGGAGGCCTCAGGGCTGCAAACAAGCGAGCCCGTGCGTGGCGCTACAGACCACAAGGGGCACGTGCAGCTCGGCTTCCAGGTGAGGAAGAGACGGATCCTGGATCAGCATCAGTGAGGGGAGAACTAACTAAACACTTCCACGAGGCCTGCCATAAAATCACAGCCCAGTCCCAGTTCCGGGTGCACTGGGCGGGCTGTGCGGACCCCCACCCTGTGTGGACTCACCGTCTCTGCTGCTCCATCAGAGCCTGCTTCTCCTGGAGCTCTCGGAGCGCCGCCGCTCGGCTCTCTTCCAGTCTTTTTGCTCGGATCGCCATTTGGTACGGTGACAAGAGGTCGGGTAAGATGCTCCTGGAGGAGGCTGTCTTCCTTCTAAAATTACAGAGTGTTTTTAGCTGAATGTTTAACAAAACCCTGTGACGGTAATTCATACAACATGTGAAATGTAAAAGGAGGGCCTGTGGATCATCCGCTCATCTGAACAATTAGCACGACTAGAAGCTGCAGTCACCCCAGAGTCCAGTCTTGACTGTTGATTTCAGGACACGTAATGAAGATGTGTGGATGGCAGCAGGACACTGTCCCAACGCGCCCACTGCCAGCCAGCTACTTTCCCGGGACGCTTGACAGTCGGCTTGGGAAATGCACCTGAAGGACGTGCAGCCTCGGCAGCTGCACCCGACCTGCTTGAGACCAATGCCGCACCCTTGTCTGACCTGGACAGAGATGCCCGCGGAAGCAGGGGGCCTGGCCAGCAGCTCGCCCGGGCTGGACGATGTGACGTGCCTGGAGTTCAGGTGCATGGGGTGGTGCTGCAGCAGGTCGGAATCCCATCGCTGGGTGATGTGGGAGCAGGGGGCGGGGCAGGCAAGGCCATCAGAAGGCGCCTGGCCTCCACAGACACATTCAGGCAGGGTCAGATACTGGGTCCCCCTTGAGGGAAGCCCGCAGGACAGCAGAGGGGATAGCCAGTAACATGGTGGGGTCGCACGGTGCTGGGGACTCCCTCTCCCTGCCCATGAGAGGGAGCTGACAGGTGTGCCTGGTGTTTCCTCCCAGTGAAAACACCTGGGGAAAACCAGGCTGGAGATAGGGGCTCTGAGCCCAGGACTGAGAGCCAGCCAGGTTCCAGAACATGACAACTCCTCACCATGACCCTTGCATCAAAGCAGTTTAAGAAACACAACTGGAAGCCCTGCCTGGTCTTCCCTCTGAAACCAAACACTTCGCCCAGAGGAGAAAGGCCCATCCCATTCCACGGCCTGCCCTGTGCAAAGCCTCACACCAGCAGCACATCTTGGGAGGCCACAGCCAAGCAGCATGCCCGGTGGCCACGTCCCAGGAGGCTGGCCCGCCCCCCCACGCTGCATGACCTTCCACCCTCATCTTCCCCGTCTGCACGGGAACAGCAGTGACTGTCCCTCGTCTTCCCCATCTGCACGGGAACAGCAGTGACTGTCTCAGTAGAGCAGAGAGGGCAGGCATGGCCTGTGCTCTGGGACAGGGGTCACCTGGGGTGCGTGCTGGGCACTGGCCTTTAACCTGCTGCTTTTGGAAGGGCAGGTGGCCCAGGCTCTATGGAACACCAGGCTTCCCCTTGTGGTCTCAGGGTCCTGAGGGGTATGGAGGAGCTGCCCCAGAGGAAGGCCTGCTGGACGTCAGAATCAGGCTGGGGCAGTGATGCTCCGTCGTACTCCAGCTCCATGTTTGATGACTTCAGAATGCTTTGATTCCCTCCCAATATAATTTTGGGATTTCAGGACCAGACCATTATTTACCTATGATTTTTACATAACATCACTTTTCTTGCAAGTATTTTGGACATGAGCACTCAGCCTTATAAGCAGGCCCAGGCCACACGAGTCACCTTGGACCGGGCCTGCTGCTCTCACCATGCCCACTGCTCCCTGGCCAGAGAACACAGAGGAGCACCAGCTTCCCGAGTCCCAGACCCTCAGGAAGGGCCACCACCCTGAGCGCAGACCAGGGCCATAATCTTAGAGCTTCTTCTTAATACCTGTGACCCCACGACAACCTGACCAAGTGGGGAAACTGAGGCCCTGATAATGCATGTGAGACCACAACCACCCCGTGGGAAAGCTGAGGCACAGAGTGGTTCTCTATGGCTCACCCTGGGCAGAGGCAGCAGAGGGGGAAGACAACACTCAGGGCCCACCCAACCATGGGGCAGGGGCTCCAGGTTGAGGCTTCCTGCCAGAGACTCCAGTTCTCTGCTCCAACTTCCCAAGCCACCCAAAGCAATCTCCGAAGGCTAGGGTCTAGTATCCAAATCTGACATATTGATCAAATTATAAGTACGATTAATAAGCATACCACAATTCACTTGGATTAGCTATTATTAGGGTCCCTAACAATAAATAAATATTTGAAGGGAGGAGGGAAGAAAAGAGGTTTCTAAGCAGCAGGCTCAGGATATTCCTGCCCTTTCACCGTGCGACTGTGTGGACTAAGAACACCACAAGCGTGCTGGAGCGTCCGAGGCCTCGCTGTAGCTGGGAACCTGCTGTGTGTGCTGCTAGGACATCCTACCCTTTAATCTTTTAGTGATGCTTCCAAGGTTTGTTTTGTTCTGTTTTGAATGTTCAAACCTACAGGACAGCTGAAAGATCAGGGCCATGAGCGCTTCATGCCAACACCTCCGGGAAGGTCTGGTGCCACTGTGAACCTGCTCGTGCTGGACGCTGCGTGGAGCCTGAGGGACCACAGACCACTGCGGCCTCCAAGAATCTTCACCCCCAGGAAGCCATTGTTGTCCCCTCGGCTATGACAATGTGCCCCTTGAGAATGCATGATCTAGATTCACCAATTGTTATTTTGCAGCATTCTCTCTCTAGATGTTTACACACACACAGGCACACACACCACATGCAGGCACACACACGCACACCACAGATACATACCTCCCATATGTGTAGGCGCACGCCCTACCACGCCCATGATTCGAGTTTTTCTCTCATGTAGTCTCTGCAGAGCCTGTTTCCTAGGGACCCTTGTCCTGGGTGTGAAAGGAAAATAAAATCTCGGCCCCCAAACTCACTGTACCAAAGGCAAAGGCAAGCTTTGGAAGTGGGCCACACAATGACTGCCTTCCTTTTGTCCCCAGGCAGCTGCCATTTATTTTCTGCATAACTGACCTTTCCCCCAACTCCTCTCTTTTCACAGGTAAAATGTGGATTCAGTGAGCACTGATCGAAGCCTCACAAGAATGTGCCCACTTGGCTCACTGCCTGCCCCCACTTTTACTGTTCTTTCCTCCTTTCCCTGCTGCCCATTCTTTCTCCTTTAAATGCTGACATCCTCAAAGCTCTCTCTGGAGAAAGCACAGGCCACAGATCTCACTGTCGCTTATGTCTCTTTTCCCCGGGCGTATCCTCAACCTTGGCAAACTCAGCCTCTGAATGGACTGAGCTCTGCCGCAGATGCTCCGGGCTTGATGCGGGTCCCCGTTACCCTAAACCTGGGACCGGCACTCACTGCACAGTAAACGGTGGCAACGTGGAGGACACTTTAAAAGCTGGACCTGATGTTTTCAAAGATAATTTAAAATAACTGTATAAATTCGCAAAGATCAAGAAAATCCCCCGTTGCTTTTCAGTTTTACCTGAAAACGTGTCTTGGCTTTGGTAGTTCTTTCTCAATGTTCAAGGCCGCCTTGAGATTTGGAGGTAATTCCCTCGTCAAGAGCTGATCTCCCAGAACGTCTGCCTTCACGTGCTCAACAATCTCCTGCCTCAGCTTCCAAAAGCGCCTGATCTCCTCCTCGCTGGGCCAGTTCTCTGAGGAGTCCGCAGACTTCCTGAGTTCACTCAGGTCTGGCTTTTCCACAGGTGGGAGAAAGCTGGCCTTCTCTTTCATCACAGCCCCCTCTGGGTCCTGAGCGTTCACAGCTCCTTGGTTAGACGCGTGGTCTCCAGACAACTCCAGTCCTGGGCTCGGGAGGTCACGGAGGGTCATCTCTCTAACCGGTGGAGCCTCTGGGAGAGTAAGAAACCGCTTTAGTAGCTACCATCAACGCCATCCCTCTGTGACTTATTCAAAAAGCCAGTGACGGCCTGGATGGTGGGGGGTGGGGTGCCCAGATCCTCCATGGCTGCCACGTTCCCTGTCAATCCAAACAATTCCCGTCACCCCACCTGCCACCTGCACCACGCCAGCCTGCTGCGGCACACAAAGCAGTTCCACATGGAGGGAATGGAAACAACACTGCCAGAAGCACACCTGGACTCTCCCACACAGGCCCCACCAGGCGCACCTGACCCTCCCCGCAGGCACCACCGGGCGCACCTGACCCTCCCCTGCAGGCCCCACCAGGCCCCACTGAGCACATCTGACTTTGATGCAGGCCCCACTGGGAGCACCTGACCCTCCCACGCAGGCCCCACCGAGCACACCTGACTCTCACGCAGGCCCCACTGGGTGCACCTGACCTTCCCATGCAGGCCCCACTGGACATGCGTGACCTTCCCACACAAGCCCCACAGGACACATGTGACCTTCCCACACAAGCCCCACTGAGCACGCCTGACCTTCCTACACAGGCCCCATGAGACACGCCTGACCTTCCCACAGAGGCCCCACCAGACACACCTGACCTTCCCACACGGGCCCCACCGGACACGCGTGACCTTCCCACACAGGCCCCACTGAGCACGCCTGACCCTCTCACACAGGCCCCACCGGGCGCGCCTGACCTTCCCACATAGGCCTTACCACTTTGGAGGGACTTTTTGCATGTGTACACAGGGCAATCTTGCCACATTTAATCAACATTTCTGCTTCCCCTCAGATCACTTAGAATCTTTGTTTCTAAGTAATGTTTAGCCCATTATGCCTGCTTTTCTTGTTTGGTGATGCTTTTGTTGACTTTCTCAAAACACGACCTCAGAGAGGCACTCCAGGCACTTTGGGAGCCACTGGGACCTATTGGCCAGTCTTCTCCCAGCACGTGCCCAGCACGACCTGAAGGCTGAGTGAGACCCCAGGTGGCCGTCGCAGTGGACACAGGCGCATGGACATCACGCCCCTGGCTGCCACATGCTCCTGACTGCTGCGTGCTCAGGGTCTTAGGTTTGAAAGGAAAAGTTTTAAAAAATGGGCAAACATGCTTCAAAACGTCCTAAGAAGTTGTAAAATTCCCCCTGGGGTACAAGTGACTAGAAACATGCATATTTGACCAATCTGCCTGTGGACAACTGATTTAGGGCCAGGGACAAAACTGAAATTCATGAAAATGAAAGCAAACAGGAAGAGTGGGATACAGCAAAAAGACTTTTATTTATTTATTTATTTTTTTAAGACGGAATCTCGCTCTGTCATCCAGGCTGGAGTGCAGTGACACCATCTTGGCTCCGCCTCCCGGGTTCACACCATTCTCCTGCCTCAGCCTCCCAAGTAGCTGGGACTACAGGTGCCCACGACCACGCCCAACTAATTTTTTGTATTTTTAGTAGAGACAGGGTTTCACCATGTTAGCCAGGATGGTCTCAATCTCCTGACCTCGTGATCCGCCCGCCTCGGCCTCCCAAAGTGCTGGGATCACAGGCGTGAGCCACCACGCCCGCCAGCAAAGACTTTTTAAAGTAATTGAAAGGACAAAGTACTAAAAATATACATAGTAGCTGAAAAATCACTCTATGTGGCCCTAAAACCTAATAGAAAAGAGTCAGAAAATACTTATTTTTGACCAGTTACTTAATGTATTTTTTTCAAACTTACAGAAAAGTTGCAATAACACCGCTGAGAAGTTGATGGACCCCGCACCCCATCAGCAGCCGCTGGTGCCTGGCCCCCGAGGCTGCTGCCCCCATGAGCCTACCCGCCCTCGCCTCTCTGTCTGGGGTGCTCATGCATTTCCTAAAACACTCAAGGGTAACTTCAGACATCCTGCCCCTCCACCCTCAGATGGAGATGCTCACACATCGCCATAGCGATTCACCAAAACCAGGAGCGTCCCATCGCTGACTTCTGTCATTTACTGGCTGGCCTTCCTCACACCTTGATAACTGTCCCAGTAATGTCCTTTATCATATTTGTCCTGGCCCAGGATCCAATCCAGGATGAAGCATCACATCCAGTTTCCTATTCCTTTAGTCTCCTTCAACTGGAATGAACCTTCAACTTCTCCTCTTTTTTATCCTGATCCTCCAGCAGGGTCTGTCCGTGTCTCCTGTGCTCCCTGTGTCCTGGCTCCGGCTGTGCCTGACGGTTCTGCCCCTCCATCCTTGTCCCAGCTGTCTCCAGGTCCTGGTCCTATCTCTCCTCGGCCACCCCATGCCCTCAGCTACCTGCCCCCACTCCTGCCAGGTGCCCAGTGCCCTCCACACTGCCAGTCCAGCGGCTACTTTTCTTTTCCTATTTTTATCACAACATCCTGGCAGCATCGGGGTCAAGGGTGCCACAGCCAGGCGGCTTCAGCGCAATGCCCCAATGCAGCCACTATAACCTGGTTAAAATATGTCTACAAACAACTCAGCAAGCACAGGGCCAACAGCTGACTCTTAATCATTTAAAACAATTTCCAAATAGAGTCCATCTGGGTCAAAAGTGCAAGGCCACACGTTATTTACGAAGACCTAACCCACACATTTCAATTGCAGCACATCTATAATCACCTTGGCTAATGTTCCAAACATGCATTTTTCTTAAGTATCAAAGTACATCACAAATAGTAAAATTTTAAATATTCTGACAATATTTCAGAATATGTACTTTTTTTGGCAAGGCTTCATTATGATTCTCCTTTATCCCAATTTAACTTTACCTTTTCCAAGTGTAACTACAATGCGTACTCAAGACCAGAACACATCATGAGCATCTGAAAATACCTGGCTGGTCAGTATGTTGAAAGAATGGAACAGGTTAGTGAGCACCCACCAACAAGGTGATTAGATAAAACATGTCTACAGGGCCATTTTCCTGCTAATTTCTTGTACCTCGTTAGGAATAAGGAATATTTCATTGTACTTATTTTAAAATAGCTGCCTAATGCAGCATCAAGTCATTCCTGAAGCAGCCGCCTGCGGGTGGCTTGGAGGTGATAACTGTTTCATTTGATTGATCACAATAAACTTCTACCAAAATCCACTTGAGCCAGGATCTATAATGTGCCCAGATTTATAGAACCAAGGAAAAGTCACAGAGATGACTGGGTCGGCCTGAGATCAGTGTACACTGTGTCAACTCAGCAGAGGACCCATGGCTCCTGTATTTCTCAGGATGTTATTAAAGAGAAGACAGGTTCTGCCCTGATTTTAAAAAGCTGTAACTTCAACGTTAATGTGATTTGTCATAAATCACCTCCTACAAACCTTGAGAAGTTGGATTTCTGGGGAGAGAGTGTTCTACTGCCCACATCCGCAGGAAGCGCTGGATAGCCACCAATCCCTTCTGCACAACGAGCTGAGGAGGGAATTCCAGAGGGCAGTGTCTTAGGTTCAGTGCTTTCAGCGTGGTTACGCTCCCTGCAGTGGAGGAAAAAAAAACTGTCAGCATTCTATATACCATTCTTGAAATGAAAATGAGGAATAAATAATAGTAACTTTTCACATTTTAAAATATGATTCTATTCAGTATTTGGGGGAAAATCACGTTAACAGATGTCAAAGATTTGCTTTAAAGGTAACTCTGCAGGAGACGGATTCCGCAAATTAAGACCAGGATGGTTTCCAAAAAACAAATAAATAAAATCAAACAAACAGAAGCAGCCACAACCACCTTCACAATTCTGTAAAATTCAGAATACAAAGTCGCTATATTATCTAAAATGCCCATTTTCCACATAAAAACTACCAGACATGCAAAGAAAAGGAAAATGTACCCTACACTCAGGAACGGAGCAGACAATGGAAACTGTCTTGGAGGAGGCCCAGATGTTGGGTTTAACAAAGACTTCAAAGCAACCATTTAAATATGTTCAAGCAAATGAAGAAAATTGTGTTTAATTAGAAGAAAATAGAATACAAGGACTCCACAAATGTGAAATGTCACTAAAAATGGAAATTATGTGAACTTGGAGGCTTTGGAAACGATGGCCGCTGAGAGGTAAGGCTCCCGTGGTGGGCAGTGGGCTGGTGGGGGCTGGCTCACTCCCCAGGCTCAGGGCGAAGTCCCCGGAATGAGGAGCACGGGGAAGCACTGCAGGGGCCCTAGTCCTGTGGCGTTTCCCAATCTGAGGGAGCCAGGGTTCAGTGTGAAAGATGGATGCTTGGATTTTGGGTATTTGGGTGTCCCACCTTTCAGCCGCGCTCGCTTTTCACATGTAGGTTAAGTATTAGGCTCTACAAACTGCAAATGCCTTGTTGGCCCTGTCCATTAATGGGCTCTGCCCTGAGCTCACTGGTCCAGTTGGAAAACAGAGACTAAACTAGAAGCTACCTATCTAAATGAAATTCGTTTCCTTATCAAATCCTGTGGCAAGTGACTCTGTATTATCTTGTCATCCATTTTTAGTCTTCAAACACACCCAAACTCCTTCTTTAAAAAGCTTAAATTCTCTCTCTGTTCTTTGAAGTGTAAATTTGCTATTCTGTTTTCTCTAAAACTGTGTAAGGGTTCCAGCCATAACTCGTTCCATTTACAAAGGCACAATTTAACCTAACTGTTCTTTTATTTTTGTTTTTTGTTGTTGTTGTTGTTTTGTTTTTAGAGAGAGGGTCTCGCCCTGTTGTCCAGGTTGGAGTATAGTGGTGCAATCAGAGCTCACTGCAGCCTTGAAGTCCTGGGCTCAAGTTAGCCTCCTGCCTCAGCCTCCTAAGTACCTAGGAACACAGGCATGCACTACTGCACCTGGCTAATTTTATTTTATTTTATTTTTTGTAGAGATGGGGTCTCACTATGTTACCCAGGCTGGTTTCAAACTCCTGGCTTCAGGGGATCCTCCTGCCTTGGCGCCCCAAGGTGCTAAGATTACAGGCATGAGCCACTATGCGTGGTCTCAACTGTTCTTTTAAACTAATGAGTTTTATCTGATTCATGGCTAAAAATAAAATCAAAGCTATACAATCTTAATGTTTGTACTTTTATGTATACATGCGTATACATGTCTGTTTTTATACTGTCTACATGGTAGCAAGTGACTTACAAATAAATGAGTACTCATAAATTAGTTCTCCAAAATGCTTCTCAAGTTCATAATAGAAATGCCTTCAGAATTTTAGACATTTTTTCCTGGGCTACTAGTCCGACAAATTTATACTGTTTCTGCTAGATATTTTAAAGGTCATAAAACTTGCTTCTGTGATAGTTTACGCTTGTTTGATTTGTCTGTCAGTTTATGCTTTTGGTTTTGAGTGTTTAGATTCTGAAGTCTAAAAAAGTGGTCATGATGGGGCCTAGGAACATACGTAAGTGGTAAAACTTCCCAGGAAGGCCAGCGAGATGCAGCGGAGACAGCACGCAGGGCCTGCAGAGGTGTGTGCGGGGCCTTCAGTTTCCTTAGCTGTGTGACGGCGCCAATGGCCCTCACTGTGACTGTGCCTCACACAAGGCTCACACGTCACACCTCCATAAGAACAGTACGTGCTATATCAACAGTTCTTGAGAGCTACATTATCTTGGTCCTAGAAGTAGGAAGGATTTTTAAAATATCTAGCTTACCCTCCTTTGTCATGCCTGATACTTCCATTACAAGGTCTGGCAAGTTCAAAAGATAGCATTTTAAAATCATCTTTTTATTATTTTATACTTACCCAGCTCCACAGGTAACATTTTGATAGGATTTCTTTCTAAAAGCAAAGTTTTCAAATGCCTTTAAAGCAAAACAAAACAAAAAAATTTAAAAAGCAAGATTTAATTGACTATCTCCAAAATATACCATCAAGTTTCTTCATTTTTCTTCTCTTTCAGGGGCAACTTCAATACAGATACACTTAAATTTACAACATGTACACACAAATGGTCTGCTGTCATATGCAAACACAGGTCTAAGCCCTGCACCGCTGACACATGGGACCAGGCAGTCCATAGGGGTGGTGGTGTCCCCTGCTTTGCGGGGTATTGTACACCTCCAGCCTTTCTCCAACAGATGCCAGGGGTACCACCCACCCCCAGGCGTGACAACCACAGATGTCTCCAGACATTGCCAACAGTCTCCTGGGGGTAAAATCTCCCCGTTAAGAACCTCTATTTTAGGCTTTCACACCTTCCAGTTATAACCTCACTGTAAACCAGTCTTTCCTAAGATGTGCAGTGAGGAATCCCAGTGTTTTATCATGCTCTGTGAAAAAAGTTTTCTACGGCCAAAAATGTTTGAGAGACTTCCACCGCACAGTATAACCTGCCCTGCTTGGAGATGAATGATTCATACACTGGGGACTCTGAGAAGCCTCTACGTAAGAAACTCAGCTAAGGCAGCATTTCGGGAAGGCATCTACTTTCATTTAACACCTAGTAACATCCTTATAAAATGCAGCCCAAAATATATCATGGATGCCTAGACAGACGGACAGGAAAGAATGTAAAAATTTACTAGTTGAATGATGGAAAAATCTATATATTCTATTAAACTCTATTTTGTAACTTTTATTGTACTATGCTTCTTGGTTTTCACATTTAATTATGATGATTATTTTTTGAGACAAGGTCTCCACTCTGTTGCCCAGGCTGGAGTGCAGTGACACAATCTCAGCTCACTGCAACCTCTGCTCACTGCAACCTCCGCCTCCTGGGCTCAAGCAATCCTCCCGCCTCAGTCCCCGCAGGTAGCTGAGACTAACGGTGTGTACCACCATGCCTGGCTAAGCTGAGACTAATGGTGTGTGCCACCACGCCTGGCTGAGCTGAGACTAATGGTGTGTGCCACCATGCCTGGCTAATGTTGGTATTTTTTGTAGACACAGGGTATTCCCATGTTGCTGAAGCCAGTTTTGAACTCCTGGGCTCAAGTGATCCTCCCGCCTCAGCCTCTCAAAGTGCTGGGATTATAAGCATAAGCCACCATGCCCAGCCCTCATTTAAATTACCTTTAATTTTTTTATTGGTAACCCCACAGGAAAATCAGATTACTTAAGGTTTAGACAATTTTCTTTCTACTTACTTTCTTGGATTTTCCTTGTTATTTGAATTTTTTTTTTTTTTTTTTGAGATGGAGTCTCACTCTGTGGCTCAGGCTGGAGTGCAGTGGTGTGATCTTGGCTAATTTTTTTGTACTTTTTTTTTTTAGTAGAGACGGAGTTTCACCATGTTGGCCAGGCTGGTCTCGAACTCCTGACCTTGTGATCCGCCCACCTCGGCCATTCAAAGTGCTGGGACTATAGGCGTGAGCCACCGTGCCTGGCCATTATTTGAAGTTTTTAAGGAATAAACTTTATGAAGCAAACTTTTCTTGAACTGCACAAAAGTGGATTATTTCAATGTGGTTCGTTCAGTTCACTGTTTTTGGTTTACTCCCTCTGAATTTTGCTAGTATAAAACCAGCCAACAAGAACAGCATCTGCTCTCTATAAGGTGAACAGAGGCCTCCAGATGCTGAGGAGGGCAGCAAGAGCAGCACCACGCTCTCGGCTTCTCCAATGCTAGGGCTTTGTCAAGGCAGAAAGGTTCTGGCCCACTCACGTGCTGCTGGGTGGGGCTGGGTTCGGTTTTGCCTGAGAGGGATTGCGGGGGGTGCATGTTTACTGACTATTAACCTGAAAGTACAGCACGGGTTTTTCTACCTTATATAATAATATTATTAAAATATTCTGAGCACACTTTAAACGATAAATTGATAAATGTTAATTCCTTAAATACTATCAATAATTCAAAGCTTACCCGTTGATTCGTTTCATTGATTTTAAAATGAATATATAAACGTAAACGTTGAGTTGGACTTGTTGGCCTAAGGAGGTAAATGAACGGATCCATGCTTCCTACATCTTCTCTCTGCCAGCAAGCTGACACATCCAGGACACTGAGAAGGTGGCATGCTAACACCGTCACTGTTTTAATTATGTTTTGAGAGGTTTAAGGCTTTAATAAGCCCACAATCACTTTGTATTTCCGAGTAATATGTCTCAGCTCTGTAGTTGATCTAATTTGAATGTTATCATGGGTTACAAATCACAAATAAAAGTATACCTCCAAAAACATAGGCAGCCAGCTTTGACTAGCAAAATCAAAGAATTTCAAATTTTGAGGACTGTACACTTATTTTAGGGAAAACACGAGTAGTTATGGGAACAGGTCTTAGTTCATTTACATCCTCTGAGTAGCACTTACTCTCCAGAACTGTGTAAGGCTAAAACAATTTGTGGACAAAAGAGCACCCAGTGATTCTAAACCCAGAAGATGATGATCGTGTGAAGAAGAAATCCTTCCCAAAGCACTCTCAGCCTCAGGCTTGGAAGCCTCCCGAGGCCGTGAGGACAGGGTGGACAACTGCCCAGAGAGCACCTGGCTCCCATGCAGCTCCCAAAACACAAGCGGCTGGCCGGGCTCGGCAGATGTACCAGCTGAGCCCCGGAACACTCTTCTCCTCCAGGTCCGTCTGTGGTCCGCCCTGCAGACCCCAGAGTCCCTAGGAGCCCCATGGAGATGCACCGGGTGTGTTTCCACCTGCTCCGGACACCACCTATCATTAGATAAGCAGCTTCCTCGCAGAGCCTGAAGGGTGAGTGATGCATGGTTCCCTCCCATTACCTGTGGCAAAATACACTGACTTCTTATAAAACATTTTTAAAACCAGTGAGTTCAAGGCAAGTGAAGGGCCTCCTACAAGCCTCTATTCTACTGTCCCACGGAGGCCACCATGGCTCTTGGGAGACACCATTCCTCACGTAGGAACTGGGGGCACCCTGGATACCCCTCTTCTTCTTGTGGCCCCACACCCACCCGCATCCCACCAGCTCTGAAGTCCCACCCAGGCCCTGCCGTGGCCAGCCACGCCCAGGCTGCCCCTCCTGCATGGGCTGCTGCCGTGGCCCCAGCTGATATGGGGCCTTCATATCAGCACTTGTCAAAAGAGGTTCAGGTAGCCGGGCGCGGGGGCTCATGCCTGTCATCCCAGCACTTTGGGAGGCCAAGGCAGGCAGATCACTTGAGGTCAGGACTTTGAGACCAGCCTGTCCAACATGGCAAAACCCCGTTTCTACTAAAAATGCAAAAATTAGCCGGGCATGGTGGCGGGCACCTGTAATTCCAGTTCCTTGGGAGGCTGAGGCAAGAGGATCGCTTGAAACCAGGAGGTAGAGGTTGCAGTGAGCCGAGATCACGCCACTGCACTCCAGCCTGGGAGACAGAGCAAGATTCCGTCTCAAAAAAAAAAAAAAAAAGAAAGAAAGAAAAGAAAAAGAGTTAAGGGCAATCATGGCTTCAGAAGGTGAAAAAGCCATGGCGCCGGGGATGTGGGCACAGAAGCAGAGAGCTCAGGAAAGGAGGACGTCTCCATAGTGAGAGTAGAGTCCTGGCTGCTGGGGAAGGGCCAGGCTGAGGAGGGGAAAGGAGGTGTGACGTTTCCACCATGGGCAGGATTACACCCCACAAGTGGGAATGCAAGGAAACTCCTGGAAGGGAAGTGGTGGAAATGGACAGGACACCTGGAGCTTGGTTGGGTGCTCCCAGTTTTCCAAAGTGAGAAGAATTTCTCACTATTTGCCAAGAACCAATGTGGGTTACCCAGGAGCCCTCAGGAGCAAAGGAGCTGGTTTATTTTTTATTTATTTTTTTTGAGACGGACTCTTACTCTGTCACCCAGACTGGAGTGCAGTGGTGTGATCTCAGCTCACTGCAACCTCTGCCTCCTGGGGTCAAGCAATTCTCCTGCCTCAACCTCCTGAGGAGCTGGGATTACAGGCACCCACCACCACGCCTGGCAAATTTTTGTATTTTTATTAGAGATAGGGTTTTGCCATGTTGGCCAGGCTGGTCTCAAACTCCTGACCTCAGGTGATCTGCCCACCTCGGCCTCCCAAAGTTCTGGGATTACACGCGTGAGCCACCGCGCCTGGCCAAAGTTGCTGGTTTAACTCATCAGAGGTATTTCTGATTTTCAGACAGCTTCACACAAGGAGAGTCAGAGCTGGAATCGGCTGTGACAAAAATCACACTGGCTGCCCAGCAAAAAGACACTGTGGCTACAGCATTCTCTGTGGCACCAAATATCCCAAGTTATAGTTCTGTGTTGGGTACATTCAGCCGTCGCAACCTCTTAGCTGGCTTTAAAAATACTATTAAATGTTTCTATTCCGAGGTAAAAATTTAATCAAGAGTAAAGGACAAGGAGCGAAAGAACAGGCACTCGTGCACTGAAAAGATGATTTTTAAAATCTGGAAACATAAACAACTTACTGGTGAGCTCCAATCCCAGAAGGAAGCGCTTTAATTCTATTGTACCGGAGGTCCAGCCAAGTCAGGTTCGGAAGCAACTGAAAGAAATCTTGAGGAATCACACACAGGGCATTCCTTTGCAGATGCAATTGCTTCCATGGAAAAGAGAATCAGAGAATGTTTTGTTAACCAACTAATTTGTAAAACATGATATATCCAAAATCTATTTCCAAAAGAACTACTAACAACCAGAACCGTATATACTAAGTTAAAAAACAAAAACCCAATCTCTTACCCTTAAAAGATGTAAACAGTAGACAAAAGAATCAGAAAGAAAAGAACCAGGACTCCTTCCGGCGGCCTTTGGAGCCGGAACTGACTTCCTGAAGAGCCGGCACTCTGCTGCTGACCCAGCACACCACTGTTTCTATCCCAAAGCCTTTGACATGGTCTGAATTCCGGGGCCCCACACTCAGTGTCTCGGCCGTTTCTCCAGTGCCTGCCGCAGCACCTGGCCCTCGGCAGCCCCCGAAATCGCCTGCTTACTGAGCAAATAGCCAGAGCCATGTCTGGTCTGGGGGACTCAGCCCAACTCAATCATTAAAATGAAACTAAAAGACAGGGACAGAGATGTCTGCCGTGGTGTTCTCTACGATCAGCAGCAAACAAAGCCTCAGCGAGCAGCATTTCAGAAGCAGATTGACACATCAACTCGGTGGCGTTGTAAAGTCGTGACAAATAAGGGAAGGTGGAAGATGAACGTATACACGCTGATTTTAGCTGTGTAAAATGCATATAACATTCACACAATTTTACAGTCACAGTGTGGAAGGATCATAGCTAATTTTTACAATACTGTCATTAATGCTGCTAGTTGTTTATACTCACATTATTATATGTATTTATATCCATATCTGTATTTCCTGAGGGAGTAGAAACAGATGTTCGGAACAATGATCTCAAAGCCAGACTGCCTGGATCCACATCTAGGTTTCAAAATCTATTGGCTGTGTGACCTTGAGCAAGTTCCTGAACCTCTCTGTGCTCCAGTGTCCTCATCTGTGAGACGGGGCAATGTGGGCAAGCACTAAAGAACAGTGCGTGGATTGGCTGTTGTGATTACGTTGCCTTCTCTATGAAACACACACTGCACATTGCACAGAGCACCACATGCCTCCCCATTCCGCCCTCAACACCGTGTCCCTGATCCAAATCACTGACAGATTCCAACTGGAGAAACACTGACTGGAAAAATCACACTCTTCAGAAAGGCACTGGAAACACTATCTTATCTCTGTTAGGAAATTGCCCGAGTCACTGCTTGCTGGCAGCTGGCTCGGTCTCCAGAAAGCATCCTGGCAATCACAGGTCACAGTGTGTGCCCCCACGTATATGGGTGTGCACCCCCCACATACAGGCATGTGCATGCCTCCACGTGCTGCCTTTCTCGGGCCTCTGCAGGAGTGGTTTTACACTTCTTGGTCCTGTTCTTCCCCCCCCAGGGCAAGCTGATTCCAGTGCTCAGCTTTGAAACCATGTCGTTCTCAATGCCAGTAAAAGGAATCTCAGAAAGATAACACTCTTCTTCCTCCCCAGCACCTCTGGAAATGCAGGCACCACCTGTGACTTGGAGCTGGTTATGGTTGAAGGAAATAATATATACAGTGGTCCATTTCCAAGACAAAGTGCCTTGAATTGGCTTAGGTCAGCAAACTACAGAAAAACAGGATGTACTAGGCCCCTACTTGGATAGCCGATGCCTGCTTGTTGGCCATTCCCCACCCCTTAGTTGCCCTCACCCAAACCAAAGAAGATTAGTCTAAGATGAAAGTTTACTAGCCCGCAAAATAGCTCGTTTTGTCCGTTCTTATCAGCCTGCCCAGCTACTTAGGTCATAAATCAAATACTTGAAGAGCCCCTGAGCTGACTGGGATTGCAATGCATTGTGGGCCACGACAAAATAAAGCAGGACAACCCTAAAGAAAATACCTACAGCCCCTGCCCAACAACCAATAGGGAACGTCCAGGAAGACTGCGACCCTATAGTACTCTGCCTATGAGGAACCAGGGGAGGAACCTGCACCGTACAGCCCCTACCCAACAACCAATAGACGACATCCAGGAAGACTGTGACCCCCCCCATAGTACTCAGCCTATGAGGATCTGGGGGAGGGACCTGCGCCCTACAGCCCCTACCCAACAACCAATAGACGACATCCAGGAAGACTGTGACCCCCCCCCATAGTACTCAGCCTCTGAGGATCTGGGGGAGGAACCTGTGCCCTACAGCCCCTACCCAACAACCAATAGGCGAAGTCCAGGAAGACTGTGACCCCCATAGTACTCAGCCTATGAGGATCTGGGGGAGGAACCTGTGCCCTACAGCCCCTACCCAACAACCAATAGGCGAAGTCTGGGAAGACTGTAACCCCCATAGTACTCAGCCTATGAGGAACTGGGGCAGGACCTGCGCACCAGGGGATAAATGGCTTGTTGTAACCCTGCTGGGTGTGCCTGCCCATCAGACACCCAATCTTGCAAGACCGTCATTAAAAAGTCTTTCTTCCACTGTTCTCTGAGTCCATTCTTTGGGTTTGGATGGGTAAGTTTGTTTCTCATGTGGTGAACAGTGAGGTGGCTATGTCACAATACAAATTCCATCTTTCCTATTAGGTCCTGGGAGCCTCATGTGAGGATGGGGGATCTCTGGAAGTGCTGTTTATGACTTTAGAGACTGCAGCCACAGCGGCAGAAAGTCTACCACTCTGATTACCACATTTAAAGACTCTATGCCATGGTAATAAAATTTATACTGACATTTGTCTTCTGAAAGGTATAAACAGTTATCAAGTTTCTTCATCAAGCCTGAAGACCTCTGGAATTTCCTCCTTCTCCCTTTGTGCATAAAGGTAACAGAAACCTCAGGGCTCTGCTGGATCCCTTATTCAGGGCTGAGGATATCTGTTCATTAAAAGTGACACCTGTGTAACAGGAGCCAGGACAAGGCAGGTCCCTGTGACCAGTGCCTCACCCTAGATGTCAGCATGAAGGAAAGAAAGAGCAAGACCAGCGCTGCCGTGACAGCAAAGACAATGCAAATGTAGAGTTTATAACTTAAGCAGCCACTAAAAATCTAAATATGTAGCTCTTGTAGAAGCACTCAAAAATGTCAATCTGGCCAGGTGCGGTGGCTTACACCTGTAATTCCAGCACTTTGGGAAGCTGAGACAGGCAGATCACCTGATCTCAGGCATTCAAGATCAGCCTGGGCAACATGGTGAAACCCCATCTCTACTAAAAATACAAAAAGAAAGTCAATCAATATCATAACTATGTTCCAGACACTGAACTTTCACATTATTCATTTTCACAATAAATGATGTGAAAACATGATCATTCCGACATTCCAGATTAAACCAAATGAGGTTTAAGGAAATTCTGTGAGTCCCAGCAGGGACAAGTGCTGCAGGGGGAACCCTCAACTGTCTAACATCAAACCTGTGCCCTCACAGAAGCTTTCTCTAGAAATCACATGGACAAGACAGCATCTACTGCGGACTGACCCGGAGAAGGGCCGGGCACAAAGTAAAACCAGTGTGTAACATGAGCAAAATCATGGGTGAGAACAAAGTTTTTAACTGCTCATGTTGCCTGATTTTCTTTAAGGTTTTGTGTTTTAATTAAGAGACCAAGCGTGTTTGGCAGTAGTTTCTACCACAGGTTTTGAGAGATGAACTGCAAGGAAGAGAACAGACACCTTCATCTAAATAGATGTACTATTTCCATTGGTTGGTCCCCATCATGAATTTCCCATTTTGTTGTGATTGGCGTATGAAACTATGAGTTAACCTTTCCTCTATTTAATTTTAGAATTCATCAATTCCAAAGAGAAAGAAGCCTACAAATAAAGCCCAGGGGTACATTCCCATTTCTGTCTATAGGGGACCTGTGGGCACACAGCCTGAGGAGCAGCCCCACTTACTTGAAGGCTGGGGATTCTAAAGACCTCCTCCAAACGGCACAGACCACTTTCACTCAAGTCTAAAATCGGTGAGGAGGAAAAGATGATGCCTCCAACACCCTTGTGAACATCTTTGGAGGGGGTGGCAGGCAAGCTCCTAGTCTGACCAGCACCCTCCTCCAGATCAGCAGCAGCCACAGAGGGAACTTCGTAGGAGCTGCTTCCCTCCATCCGTTCTCTTCCAGGGACAGCAGCTCATCCTCCTTGGTCTGGAGTCACCTGGAGACACGGGAAAGGGAAACGTAGAAGCAACTAATTATACCGAGGCAAAACAGAATAGCTGTGTGGCAGATCTACTGTAATGTAACTTGCTTTAAAAGCTATCATTTTTCCTAAGCAGTAGCAAAAATTTGACTTTTAAACATGTAAAAAAAAAAAAAAGGAATACAAAGAGGTTCAGATTAAAATTCTCTGCTCTCACTTTGTACAATGGAGTTCCAAGATTTAACTCCTGGAAAACGCAAAGGCGCACAATAGTAATGATCATTTTAGGGATGTAAACAGATCGGAACATTTCAAAGCCTGTAAATCAACTGCAACGCTTCCATGAAATGACTAGGGGCGGGTGGAAATTTGCACTGTTTCTTACCTCTGGTGTGGTTCTGTGCCATTTGAACTATGTTTTTAGTTTCTTGAGGCCAGGAAGCCTGTCTTTTGTTTACCATTTTGACCCAGTGACCAGAACTAAGTCTGGCTTACACCCAGTTAAGCACCGGGGAAAAACCTGTTAAATTAATCTCGAATTTTCGTTGTCCAGCAACACTTTTACTCAGAAGTATTGTTCACCAAAATCTCATTCAGCGAGGCACACTTCCACTTGCAATTTCCAAACAATTTATTCGGCAATAAGAATCAACGTTGGAATGCATCAGTTCACCTAATTCAAGTCACTCAACAGCCCAATGATTGGCATATGAGGCGCAGATCAGTTAGGGAACTGTTCCAGGGGCGCAGTTAATTGGGGGGTAGAGGCGACACCGGGACCCAGCAGGGTTCAACCCCAGGCAGCCTGCATTCCATGGAAGCCCGCGGGCTTTTTCACGGTCAGTTCACTTGTTTTCTCCGAATCACGGAACTTAAAACAGAGGAGGGGAGGCTTCAAACCTCAGAACAGGGAAAGTATCTTAAAACCAGAAGTGAAACAACAGCCTGGACTCACACAGGGCCCAGGCAGCGCAGGCTCCGTGGGGTTTCCGAGGCTGCCTTCAAGGGATCCCCACGCACGCCCACCCCCGCTCCCTGCCTCGATTTCCCCATCCGGGCGAGGCTGAGTTGGGTCCGACGCTCTGGGCCTCACATTCCAGGCCTCAGAAGGGCAGCCTTTGCGGTCAGCATCGCGGCTGGAGCTAGGCGACAGGGCACGACGGGCCGAGGCACCACCTTCCTGCCGCCGCCCGCCTCGAGGGCTCAGCGAGCTGGCCGTACCCGCCCCGTCTCACCTGCCGCGTCCCCGCCCACTGAAGCGCTGGCGAGCCCCGCCGCTGAGAGCAGCAGCCCGACAATGGAGGCCACCCAGCCAACGCGGTCGCCATGGAGACGCCGGTACGGAATCCCGCAGGCGCCACGCTGAGCGCGAGTGTGTCTGTGATGCGCCTGCGCGAGGGGTGTGGTGCGCCTGCGCGCGGGGGTGTGCGTGTTGTGGGGGTTTGTGCCTGCGTGCGGGGGCGGGGTGTGGGTGCCCCTGCGCGGCAGGGGGTCGGGTGTGGTGCGCCTGCCCGGGAGGGGGCGGGGTGTGGTGCGCCTGCGCTGGGGCGGGGGGTTGCGCTTGCGGTGGGGGGGTTGTGGTGCGCCTGCGCGGGGGTGGCAGGGGGTGGTGCGCCTGCGCACGCACGCGGCCAACGGTAGCATCCGTTTTTCCGCGCCCGCGGCCTTGAAGGGGTGGTGGTCGACGGGCAAGTAGAGACCGCGAGGGTCTGGAGGGGCGACCGGCCTGGCACAGAGGGGAAGGAAGAGAGCGGGATGCTAAGTGCCGTCTGGGGAGCCGGAGGGCCCGGGGCGGGCGGGGCTGCTCGAGGACAGCCGAGCAGAAAAGAATTGCTGCTGAGGCACCACCTTTGGAGCGGTCCTCGCTGCCTGTCCTTCCCGCTGGGCTCACTCCCCGCGTCTCTCCTGGGGCTTCCTGGAGCCACTTCCCACAGGAGCTGCTTGTCCCCAAATCTTGCCTCAGGACTTGCTGCCAGGGGAACGCAGACTCAGAGCGTCCTCTTTGGAGAAGTAAGGCTGCCTCTGGACGGAGGAGTGAGGGGGGCGAGGAAACGCAGTGAGTGTCCTGAGGAAGGGTTTTGAGAATTTGGAAGAAGATGAAATGACACCGGGCGGGAGGGGAGGTGCTCGCGTGGTCCTGTGGAACCCTGGAGTCCCGTGCACCTTCATTCCAGGATCCAACTGATAATGAAAAGTAGCACCCTCTGTCCCACCCAGAAACACTCTGGAAACCCGGACAGTTTAGCTGGAGTCTGCCATGATTTCACTTTTTTTTTTTTTTTTTTTTTTTTGAGGTGGAGTCTTGCTTTGTCTCCCAGGCTGGAGTGCAGTAGCGCGATCTCGGCCCACTGCGACCTCCGCCTCCCAGGTTCAAGCAATTCTCCTGCCTCAGCCTCCCCAGTAGCTGGGACTACAGGCGCGCGCCACCACGTCCAGCTAATTTTTGTATTTTTAGTAGAGACGGGGTTTCATCATGTTGGCCAGGCTGGTCTCGATCTCCTGACCTCATGATCCGCCCCCCTCGGCCTCCCAAAGTGCTGGGATTACAGGCATGAGCCACCGTGCCCGGCCTGATTCCACTTTTTAAAGGAAACGACATAATTATGTGGAGAAACGACTATCCACTTTGAGGGGATTTACGTTTTATTTTTGTGAAGAGATCACAGTAAGAAATGTTTTTTAGGCCGGACACGATGGCTCACGCCTGTAACCCTAGCACTTTGGGAGGCCAGGGTGGGAAGATCGCTTGAGGCCAGGAGTTGGAGACCAGCCTGGGCAACCCAGTCTCTACAAAAATTAAAAAAAAAAAAAAAAAAAAATGCTGGGTGTGGTGGCACACACCTGTAGTTCCAGCTGTGTGGGAGGGTGAGGCAAGAGGATCGCTTGAACCTAGGATTTTGAGGCTGCAGTGAGTTATGATTGTGCCACTTAATGTCAGCTTCGGTGACAGCGAGACCCTGTCTCAAAAAAAAAGTTTTCGTACATACCCAACTATCTACCAATCAGGAAGCTGAAAGCACAACCAGTACCTTCTCAGGAGCGTGGGGAGGCCAGCCACCCGGGCAGAGCAAGGAGAGAATGAGGAGTGACATGGGTGTTGCCGTGAGTGGCGAAGGGGATGGAAGATTTCAGCACGATGCTATTTCTAACAAGTTTCAGCATTCCAGTATCTCTTTTCACAAATAAAACATTTACTAACCATTTGAGCGTATTCCCTCTTGCTTGTTATTGTTGCCTCAGGTTTTTGTTTCACATTTTTCATGCTACATTAATTTTTGTAGTCAGTAGTTAATTGTATGTACGAGCATGTTTTGCCCTTTACTGTGCTCAGTTTTTGCCCAGCCAGATTGTATCCATTGGTAGCCTTTTGGCAAGTATTCTTGGGTGAGCCTCCCAACGTAGGAACGAATGAAGTGTTCGTGTTGATCTGATTATTGAGTGGCTGTGGAGCTGGTGCCGCGTTCCTTGTTGAGTCATTTCCTGTCTTGATTTTAGGACCTTCCTCCGGGCAGCGACTGCTGCTACCCTGCCGAGAAGTTTGCTGCCCGTGGCATTGCTACTTCCATGAAGGAAATCTATCTTCTCTTTTCATGTCTTTGTTCTGAAATTTCGCTGTGGTATTTCTGAGTATAAGTTGGTTTGGCTGTGTTGCCTGGCGCTGGCCGTGTCTTCTCACCTGAGATAGCTAAGTTTCAGTTCCCAGCCCTTCCCGGCCATCTGTCCTCCCGTGGCACCTCTGCACCCTGACATAATTCTTGTTCTGGATCTCCTAAAAGGGAGTAGCTTGCACCCATTCAGTGTCTTCTCCATCTCTCAAACTGCGCTTCCCAGTATTGGTCTCTGTGTTCTCAGTTTACGATCTTCCAGTTTACTAGTTCTGTCTCCATCCAATTAGTTTGTTTAATCTGTTGAGTTTTTAAATAAAACCGCATTGGTCTCTATTTCTAATTTTCTTTTTTGTGTCTAATTTCTTCCAGTTTTTGTTTTATAATCTGTTTTTAATGTTCACGGCTGTTTTCTTTCTTTATCTACCATGAGAATCCCAAACACCTCTATTTATTTATTTTATTTATTTTTTGAGACAGGGTCTCAGTCTGTCACCCAGGCTGGAGTTCAGCGGTGTGATCTCGGCTCACTGTAGCCTTTGCCTCCCAGATTCAAGCAATCCTCCCACCTCAACCCCTCAAGTAGCTGAGACTACAGGCATGTGCCACCACACTGGGCTAATTTTTGTATTTTTTGTAGAGACGGGTTTTACCATGTTGCCCAGGCTGGTCTCGAACTCCTGAGCTCAAGCCATCCACCTGCCTCAGCCTCCCAAAGTGCTGGGATTATAGGCGTGAGCCACTGCCAGTCCTGAGCCACTGCCCGGGGTAGACACATTTATTTTAAACTGTGCTTTATTGTTTTCATCTCCCCTGGGCGGAATTTACCAGTTGATGGCTGATACTGTTATCTGTCTTCTTGGAGTCCTGTGTTTTGAAATCTAGGCTTGCAGGCTTCTGCAGAGGGGGCTTATGTTCTGTTTCCCTGAGTATTCACTGTGTGTCATGCTCTGGCAGGAGCCTCCGTCCAGCCTTTTGGGGTCATGCTTGGGTGCTTGCCTGGCCTTGCCGTTGGGAACTGTAGATCCAGTCCTGGAGCCAGCAAGAGGCTGGGCCGAAGGCTGTCCTCGTCTCCATCTCCAGATATCGCTGCAGAAGTTGTATGTTTTTTCACATTCCTTTCATGGAAGTGAAACCGCCTTTGCAAAATTATAACTGAGGAAATTATGACAGTGAAAGAGATCAGACCTAACCGATTCCATCTTGCTTCTAACTTTTAAGCTGTCCTTGTTCATTCCTGGGCATAGGCCAAACTAACCTTGGGAAGGAATTCAGTTCATGGTTTGACTCTGAAACAAAATGGGTAATAGCCCTTTCCCGAAAATACCCCCTTCTTGCCCAGGGACCAATCTGCCTTTGCAGGACTAACAAATTAGGTACAATATTAGACATTACAGGTTAGGGGTCCTGCAGCCTCTGGCTCCAAGAGTCTAAACCTCCCCAAATTGCTCCTGGGTATAACATCACTATTGTAAAACCCAAGATCAGAGCTTGAGATATTTTGCAAACCCTGCACTCCACAGATCAGCCGACACCACCCAGACCTGTAATCTCGCTCCGGCAGTTCGGGCACCCACCCAGGAGCAGAAAACAGCAAGGAAACCTCACTTCGACCCCCTATGAGTCCATCTCCAACCTGACCAATCAGCACTCCTCATGTCCCAAAGCCCCACCCTCCCAATTATCTTTAAAAACTCTGATCCCAGAATGCGCAGGGAGACTGACTGAGTAATAATAGTAGAACTCCGGTCTCCTGCACAGCCCGCTCTGCGTTAATTACTCTTTCTCCATTGCAATTCCCCTGTCTTGGTAAATGGGCTCTGTCTAGGCAGCAGGCAAGGTGAACCCATAGGGCAGTTACAGAGGCAAGAGACTTATTCCAGCCCTGGTTTTCAGCGATGCTCTTGGCTGTTCTCCACTACTCTCAGGCACTTTCTGCCCCCTCACTCTTCAGGGACAGCCCTCCCAAGCACCTTTCCCTCTTTCTGGGCCCAGAGCCCCCACAGGCCCAAAGTCTGGGTCCTGTGAGCTGCTATGTGTTTCTGATTCATTTTTGGTCTATGAAGTGTTGGTGGTTTTTAAATTTTTGTTTTAAAAATTACCTATTATAGGCCAAGCATGGTGGCTCACACCTGTAATCCCAGCGCTTTGGGAGGCTGAGGCGGGCGGATCACCTGAGGTCAGGAGTTTGAGACCAGCCTGACCAACATGGCGAAACCCCCATCTCCACTAAAAATACAAAAATTATCCAGGCGTGGTGGTGCATACCTGTAGTTCCAGGTACTCGGGTGGCTAAGGCAGGAGAATTGCTTGAACCTGGTAAGCAAAGGTTGCAGTGAGCCGAGAGCATGCCACTGCACTCCAGCCTGGGTGACAGAGCAAGACCCTGTCTCAAAAAAAAAAAAATTTGTTTTAAATAAAAATTACCTATTGTAGCCATGGTTGGGGAGAATTGTGGGAGGGCCTCTGTATTAGTTTGTTTTCATGCTGCTGATAAGGACATACCCAAGACTGGGAAGAAAAAAAGGTTTAATGGACTTAAAGTTCCACATGGCCGGGGAGGCCTCACAATCATGGTGGAAGGTAAGGAGGAGCAAGTCACATCTTACGTGGAGGGCAGCAGGCAAAAGGAGAGAAAGCTTGTGCAGGGGAACTCCCCTTTTTAAAATCATCAGATTTCATGAGACATATTCACTATCACAAGAACAGCCTGGGAAAGACCTGCCCCCATGATTCAGTTACCTCCCACCGGGTCCCTCCCACAGCACGTGAGAATTGAAGATGAGATTTGAGTGGAGACACAGCCAAACCGTATCAGCCTCTAAGCTTGAACTTGCAATACCATCTTGCCCAGAGAAAGTAATATTTTCCAGTACAGGAAATAAAACAGTTTTACTCTGCTTTAGTTTTTTTATGTAATCCCTTATTGTGAAGCTGCCATAAGTTATGTGTGATGTTTTTCCAGTAATTAATATTCTTCTACATTGTAAACCAAAAACAAAAGTCTGAGTCCCCCAACCAGCTGAATGGACCCCTCTTCTCTGTCAAGGGGATTCCAAAGAAACCTGAAACTAGTTCAGACCATGACCAGCAGTGGAGGACTGAGTGCACCTCCTAGTTCAGACTGTGACCAGCAGTGGAGGACTGGGCGCGCTTCCTAGTTCAGACCGTGACCAGCAGTGGAGAACTGGGCGTGCCTCATGATACTCCTCTCCTTTTGGGGTTAGACAGACTCACCAGCATTAACATTAAAATAGAGATCTTGGCTGGGCGAGGTGGCTCACGCCTGTAATCCCAGCACTTGGGGACGCCAAGGCAGGCAGATCACTTGAGGTCAAGAGATCGAGACTAGCTGGCCAACATGGGGAAACCCCATCACTACTAATAATACAAAAATTAGCCAGGCGTGCACCCATAATTCCAACCACCTGGGAGTCTGAGGCACAAGAATTACTCGAATCCAGCAGGTGGAGGTTGTAGTGAGCCGACATCACACCACTGCACTCCAGCCTGGTGGCAGGGTGAAACTTTGTCTCAAAAATAAAATAGAGGTTTTAAGACTGACAGAACAGACTCTGTAGCAATAAGATACCAACTCCAACTGACTCTGGCGTAATATCACATGGCAGATAAGGAAATCAAGATAATTACCCCCAAATTTGTTTATTTTTCATATCTGGAAATGGCCCTGCAAAGCTGTCTTTTGTGGGGCGGAGATTTGTATCTGTGAAGAATCTAACATAACTGGATCTTTACCCTTCCAGGCCTCCCCGATCCTGAAGAGATGAACTGATAGTCTAGCACCCTTTGAAGGTCTACATAGGAAACCATGTTAGTCCATTTTCACGCTGCTGATAAAGACATACCGGCCAGCGTGGTGGCTCATGCCTGTAATCCCAGCACTTTGGGAAGCCAAGGCGGGCAGGTCACGAGGTCAGGAGATCGATAACATCCTGGCTAACACGGTGAAACCCCGTCTCTACTAAAAATACAAAAAATTAGCTGGGCGTGGTTGCAGACTCCGATAGTCCCAGCTACTCTGGAGGCTGAGTCAGGAGAATGGCATGAACCCGGGAGGCGGAGCTTGCAGTGAGCCGAGATCGCGCCACTGCACCCCAGCCTGGGCAACAGAGCAAGACTGTCTTAAAAAAAAAAAAAAAAAGACATACCAAAGACTGGGCGATTTACAAAAGAAAGAGGTTTCATTGGACTTAAGTTCCACCTGGCTGGGGAAGCCTCACAATCATGGCGGAAGGCAAGGAGGAGCAAGTTGCGTCTTACCCGGATGGCAGCAGGCAAGAACTTGTGCAGGGAACTCCCCCTTTTTTTTTTTTAAGACGGACTCTTGCTCTGTCACCCAGGCTGGAGTGCAGTGGTGCGATCTCGGCTCACTGGAAGCTCCGCCTCCTGGGTTCACGCCATTCTCCTGCCTCAGCCTCCCGAGTAGCTGGGACTACAGGCACCCGCCACCACGCCTGGCTAATTTTTTGTATTTTTTAGTAGAGATGGGGTTTCACTGTGTTAGCCAGGACGGTCTTGATCTCCTGACCTTGTGATCCACCCGTCTTGGCTTCTCAAAGTGCTGGGATTACAGGTGTGAGCCACCGCGCCCGGCCGGGGAACTCCTCTTTCTAAAACCATCAGATCTCGTGAGACTTATTCACTATCATGAGAACAACATGGGAAAGACTTGTCCCCATGATTCAGTTACCTCCCACCGGGTCCCTCCCACAACATGTGGGAATTCAACATAAGATTTGGGTGGGGACACAGCCAAACCACATCAGAAACATCAGAATTTACCATCAATTGTTTCTAACAGTAGCCACCAATGAGACTTCATTTACCACTAAGAACTTGATCTCTACAACCCCTTATCTTAACCCAGACACTCCTTCCTGTTGATTGATTCCAGGTCTTTAGATAATAATTCTTTCAACCAATTGTCAATCAGAAAATCTTTGAGTCCACCTATGACCTGTAAGGTCACTCTCCTGCATCTCTCCCCATCCCACTTTCAGTTGTCCTTCCTTTCTAGACCAAACCAATGTATACCTCACAGGCATTGATTGATGTCTTATGTTCCCCTAAAATGTATAAAACCATCTTGCAACCCAACCACCTTGGGCACATCTCAGGATCTCTTGAGACTGCCTTGGGCCATGGTCACTCATATTTAGCTCAGAAATAAACCTCTTTAAGTATTTGACAGAGCTTGACTCTTTTTGTCAACAACATCAAAAGAAAGGCAGTCTTTTTTTAAAATGTAAAATATACTTTATAGAAAGTTGAATGTAAGGACAATACACATTTCTACGTAAGTTTACAGATTTCAAAATGGCCTAAAATTGTTTTTTGGAAGATGTTCAAAATGCCCCTGGCAGCTGATTCCATTTCTGCTCTGCTGTGCCTGCTAAACCAATCATCATACAATGTGACAACTGAAATACATTGCTCTTCCTTGAAAAGAGTTCAGACTGCAAAGTGAAGATGACCTCTGTTTCCTCATATAGGTCTTCTGAGAGCACACCCCAGGACTGGGATTTTGCCAGGAAGATGTGGAATGGTGTGGAAAGACAAGAAGCTGCAGCCTTCAGGCTGCCATGAAAAAGCTGGGGGTGTGTTCTGTGGCCCATCAAGAGGGGGTGTGTAATGAATTGTTAATGAATTTCTCAGATGAGCCAAAGTGGTGAACTTGTCTCAGTACCCAGGGAGACTCAGACTCATCCCCAGCTCTTGGCCTCCATTTTCCCAGCTGCTGTGATTGGAGTGGGTCCCTGGAATTCATATGCTGGAAATTTGGTCCAGGTGTGGGTGTGTTGGGAGGTGGGGTTTAAGGTGTGGTTAGGCCATTAAGAGATTAATGCTGCTCTTTAGGGACTGGGCTAATTCTTGAGGGAGTGAGTGGCTTCCCGCTCTCTCCGGACAGCATTAACTGCCACAGGTTGGGTTATTATAACATGAGGCCACCCCTCATGTTTTGTCCCACTCCCCCTTCCACTTCGCTTCTGTGTCATGATGCAGGACAAAAGCACCACCAGAAACTGTTGCCGTTCTCTTGGGCTTCCCAGCCTTCAAAACTGAGTCAAGTAAACATCTTTCCTGTATAAATCATAACCCAGCCTCAGGTATTCTTTGTAGCAACAGAAAATGGACCAAGACACTGGCCTTGAGACTTGGGTGCAAAATGGTTTAGCTCCATCCATCACCCCATCCCAAGCCAATCTCATGGCCTGTGAGCCTCCAATCCCCATGCACCCCACCTTCTATCTTAAATTCTTTAACCTGAATTCATGTACCTAACATAGACACAGGTTTTGGGGATTCAGACATGGACGTCTCTGAGGGCCATTATTCTGTCTGCCACAATTAGATCAGCACATCTCTTGGAAAGGAACTGTCTTTATTGGAGGAAATACATTGACGAGGTGCCAGGGTGGGCAACAGTCTGTGAACATTGGTATTGGCCTAGGCCAGTGAGAACGCTAGGGATGGAGTCTTAAGCCAGCCAGTGATGGCACTATTCAGTCCATACAGTTAAGAGATATCAAGGATGGGTGACCAGGAAGCCAAGGGCAAGCACCTCAGTAACAATCATGATTCCTGGCCCATTTCCAGACTTGAGCCAGGTTTTGGACCCAGAATGCACTGTGCAAGGAGAAATTGATTTGGTGGAAAATTACATGGTAAGCCTATTGTAAGGGGCAGGAAGAATTCCCAAGAGGTTCAACAAAAACTAAGCAACTGAAAACGTCATTATTTCAGTAAGGACAAGCAGTAGGAAGGGAAATAATCATAGTACACAGAATGAAAGGGTGGTGAGTCCGACGCAGGGCAGCACTTAGACCAGGGAAGAGACATCCTCCTTCCCTGGGCTTTGCATTTTAGAGGGCCTGCATTTCACAGACACAGAACCAGCTATCTGTTCTTTTTGGTTTCGTAAGAACACTCTGGGATTGAGTAAGCGATCAAATGTGTTCAGGAGAGGGACGCACGAACCAAACTGGTCCCTGGGCCAGAGAGAATGGGGCTGAGACATGCACATGTTTGTGGAGAGAGCAGAGAACCACGACCTCCACCCCAGGACACTGGAGAAAGTACAGAGTGGCCACTGCAGATGACCCCAAATGGGTGTCAGGCAGGAGGGCTTCCCAGATCAGGGTGCCTCCTCCCCCTGCTGGGTGGTATGGTCCTGGGAAGGGCTTAGTAATTCCAGGGCTTCTAAGATGCTGGCAACATTTTACTTCCTGTGCTGGTAGTTACACTGGCGTGAAATTTGGTTGAGATGCATGCCCATTACCTGTGTAGTTTCCCACAGGTATGCTATGCGCCAGTGCAAGAGTTTATACACATCCTTAGGAGAAAATGTCAGTGAATTTTACTTTGTTCTTAGGCTAAGAAAGGATTTTTAAACAAGATATAAAAACACCATAAAAATAAATATTGGTAAATTCACTATACTAGAAATAATCCTGTTCATCAGAAAGATACCATAAAGAAAATTAAGTCAGCCAAAAACTGAGAGAAGATACTGGCGACTCTTACATCCAATGAAGATTAGTATCCAGACTATAATCCGATAAAGATAGTATGCAGCATTCCTATGATTCAATAGGGAAAAGATAGAGATACATTTATAGTAATAGGTAAAAAGATATAAACCAATAGCTCACAGTAGAGGAGAAATAAATGGCCAATAAAAATATAAAAGATGCTTCACTTTACTAGCTGTCAGAGAAATGCAATTTGATCCAAGATTGTATTTCAGATGAGTGAGTCTTACACTCACTCAACTGGCACCAGCAAAGCAGCTGCCTTGTGTTGGTGAGCTGGTGAAGCCCACGGAACCCGCTGCTGTGAGAGGGTGTTCGTCAATATCTTGGGAGCATCTGGGGACTCCTGTGCAGGGTTGAATTCTCAAGTGCAACAGCCCCACAATTCCCCCTTTGGACTCCAGTAGAGAAGCAGATGGAGGCGTGCACCAGGACACAGGTGCCAAAATGTGCCCCGCGGGATCATGCATTTAAGCAAAAGCACTGGAAAGGCCAGGACGGGAGAAAGCACAAATACGTCACACTGAAGCCAGACAAGGAAGCATCTTACAGCCTCAAAATGAATGACCAACCCTCCGCCTCCCAGGTTCAAGCGATTCTCCTGCCTCAGCAGTAGCTGGGATTACAGGTGCCTGCCACCACACCCGGCTAATTTTTTGTATTTTTAGTAGAGACAGGGTTTCACTATGTTGGCCAGGCTGGTCTCGAACTCCTGAACTCCAGCCATCCACCCACCTTGGCCTCCCAAAGTGCTGGGATTATAGGCATGAACGACCATGCCCGGCCCTTAGATGGAAATTTTAAAGAGGTTACAGACCAGAGGGTGAATGAAGTGGCTCTGGGACTAGTTTGGGGACCCTCTGGGGAGCTGGCCTTGGGTCATCTTAGACATTGTCCCAGCAGGCTATGTGGAGGGTGACGTGACTCCAGTTGGCTAGTCTCAACAGAATTCCACATAACAAACCATCCCAAAATTAGTACCATGAACGCCAAGCATTTACCTCTTACTCTGCAGGTGGGCTGGGCTTGGCTGGGCTTGGCTGGGCTTGGTCAGTCTTGGCTCTGGGCCACAGATGCAGCTTGCATCTATTCTATGGGTGTCTCATTCTTCTGTGACAAGCAGGTCACCATGTGCCTCCCATGAACATGCAAAGGTGCAAGACGGTAGCTGTGGGAGGACATCCAGGGCCCACTTCGCTGGCATCCCCCCAACATCCCTTTGACCAGTCAGGCCTCACCGTGTTCCATCCCACTCTCCAGTTGGGCCTCTCTGCTCCCTCCCACCTGACACCCCATTGGCCAAACAAACCACACGGCAAGCCAGTCCCAGGATGGTGAGGTGCACTGCACCCACCCCAAGGCCATGGCAGGGTATGGAGATGTCATTTATTATAAGATGGACAGATAAGCTGGACCAATAATTTACAGATTCCAGCAGAGGGTGAGGACACCCAGATGCGCCAGGACTGTAGGAAATCACAATGATGGCAACGCCTTGGCCTTCCTGGGGACAGGGAGCCCTATTTCCAAATATAGTCACATTCTGAGGAGCCGGGGGTTATAACATCAAGTCTGCCCTTGACCTCACACAAGCCAGGCTCCTCCAGGCCCTCTGCTCCACCAGGCCTCAACGTGGCGCACAAAGGATTGAACGGACGCCAGCATCATTTGTAAGAACTCCAGGCCGCATCCCAAGGGTGACCTAGCCCCCCAAATGCCTGCCTGAGAAAACTTAAGCTGCCCAAAGGATCTCTTCTTGGCTCCAGCAACCCGAGAACAGGGCCCCGTGCCCCAGCCTCTGCGGGGGTGGGACCTCACTTCCATAACCGTGGCCAACAAACCTATTATAGACGGGTCTCCTGTGGACCCACCCTCTTCCCACTCTTAAGTTTTCACTTCCCCAGCTCTCCTGAGCCCCAGCGGACCCCCACCCCTCACTGTCCCTTTAAAACCCACAGTCACCGCCGTGCAGATTCAAGCTGAGTCAGGTCACGCTAGACTCTTCCCCATTGCAACAGTTATGACTAATCACAGTCTGCCCTCACCACTCTGGCAATGGGCTGTGTTTATCTTTAACCAGCATGAAAGTGGAGGACACATTCAGCCATAGCACCCATCCTGCACACCCCCCACCATCCCCTACCTGCCCCCTCCCCAGCCTGGATTGTGGGATGTTCCTGAATTTTTCTCTTGTTTTAGAATTTTATCATTCACACGCGCAATGTGCCATCTAGTTTTTCTTGGCTTTATAAACCTCATAAAAATGTGCCATACTGTATGAGGTCTCCTGTAACTTTTTTTTTTTTCTGGAAACAGCTGTTTCTAAGACTTTTTCTCATTGTTGCTTGAACCTGGGAGGCGGAGGTTGCAGTGAGCCGAGATCGTGCCATTATACTCCACCCTGGGAGAAAGTGTGAGACTCCATCTCAAAAAAAAAAAAATCCATCTAAGGTGCAATAGATGAGTTTTATATTATGTAAATTATGCCTCAATAGAGATGACAAAAGGAAGGGGAAAAAAAAACCCTTGGCTACAAGCCATTGTGAAGACACAATACCACAATTTTTATTCAATTTACAGTAAATTTATACCATCCCCACACTCCCACTTTAGGATGAGTACCCTCAGCCCCTGCATTCCCACAGCTGTCTGCAGTCCATTCCGCTCTCACCCCAGCCCTAGGGAAGCACTGACTCTACACATTTGCCTGGACAATGGGGTGCACATTTTAGGTAAATGGAGTCAGACAGTATGTCGTCTTTTCATCTGGTTTTATGTAGAATAATGATTTTGAGGTCCATCCGTGTAGTAGAAGGCATCAGTATTTCATTCCTTTTTATTGCTGAATAATATTCTGTTGAATGGATATACTATTTGTTTATCTGTTCACCAGATGATGGACATTTGGACTATCTACAGTTTGGGGCTATGAAATCATGCTGCTATGAATATTCATGCACCTATCTTTAAGTCATATATTTTATTTTTCTTGGCTAGATTCCTGGTAGTGAAATTACTGGGTCATATGGTAAGATTATGCTTAAATTTAAAATAAATGAACTGTTTTCCAGTGTAGCTGTATCATGACTGGGCGTGGTGGCTCACGCCTGTAATCCCAGCACTTTGGGAGGCCGAGGTGGGCGGATCACCTGAAGTCAGGATTTCGAGACCAGCCTGGCCAACATGGTGAAACCCCACCTCTACTAAAAATACAAAAACTAGCCGAGTGTGATGATGAGCGCCTGTAATCCCAGCTACTTGGGAGGCTGAGGCAGGAGAATTGCTTTAACCCAGGACGTGGAGGTTGCAGTGAGCCAAGATCACGCCACTGCACTCCAGCCTGGGCGACAAGAGAGAAACTCCATCTCAAAACAAAACAAAAAACAAAGTAGCTGCATCACTTTAACAAAATATGGACTCCAGTTCTGCCACATCCAACCCTTGGTATTGTCTGTTTTTTTTTTTTAATTATGGCAATCCTAGTAAGTGTGTAGTTGTATCTCATGGAGGTTTAAATTTTTACTTGCTTCTTCAGAGGTAGCAACAGTTGGCAGGAAGAAGAAAAAATAAACTAAAAGCAATTTTAAAAATTTTATTTGCCCAGTGACTCATAATGTTTATCACATTTTACATGTGTATCAGCCATGTAGCCATTTGTATGTCTTATTTGGTGAAATGTTTTTTCTTTTCTTTTCTTTTCCTTTTTTTTTTTGTTTTTTGAGGCAAGGTCTCACTCTGTTGCCCAGGCTAGAGTGCAGTGGCGCAATCTCAGCTCACTGCAACCTCCGCCTCCCAGGTTCAAGTAATTCCCCTGCCTCAGCCTCCTAAGTAGCTGGGATTACAGGTGCGCACCACCATGCCTGGCTAATTTTTGTATTTTTAGTAGAGACAGGTTTTCCTATGTTGGCTGGGCTGGTCTCGAACTCCTGACCTCAAGTGATCTGCCCGCCTCGGCCTCCCAAGGTGCTGGGATTACAAGCGTGAGCCACCGTGCCTGGTTTTCCAAGTCTTTTACCTACGTTTTTATTAGATTGTTTTCTTTCTCTCTCTCTCTCTCTTTTTTTTTGAGACATAGTCTCCTTCTGTCGCCCAGGCTGGAGTGCAGTGGCGCGATCTTGGCTCACTGCAACCTCCACCTCCCGGGTTAAAGTGATTCTCCTGCCTCAGCATCCCAAGTAGCTGGGACTACAGGCGCCTGCCACCACTCCCGGCTAATTTTTGTATTTTAAGTAGAGACCAGGTTTCACCATATTGGCCAGGCTGGTCTGGAACTCCTGACCTTGTGATCCACCCTCCTTGGCCTCCCAAAGTGCTGAGATTACAGGTGTGAGCCACTGTGCCCAGACTTTTTTTTTTTTTTTTTTTTGAGACAGAGTCTCACAGGCTGGAGTGCCTTGGTGTGATCTCGGTTCACTGCAACCTTTGCCTCCTGGGTTCAAGCGATTCTCCTGCCTCAGCCCCCCGAGTAGCTGGGATTACAGGCACACACCACCATGCCCGGCTAATTTTTGTATTTTTAGCAGAGACGGGGTTTTACCATGTTGGCCAGGATGGTCTTGATCTCTTGACCTTGTGATCTGCCTGCCTTGGCCTCATTTTTATTTTTTTAGACAGTGTCTCACTCTGTCATCCAAACTGGAGTGCACTGGTGCAATCCTGACTCACTGTAGCCTTGACCTCCTGGGCTCAGGCGATCCTCTAACCTCAGCCTCCCAAACTACAGGCACATGCCACCACACCATGTGAATTTTTAAAAATTTTTGTAGAGATGTCATTATGTTGCCAGGCTGGTCTTGAACGCTTGAGTTCAAGAAATCTTCCCGGCCAAGTGTCCTATATGTTCTGGGTACAAGTCCTACACCAGAAAGATGACTTCCAACCTTTCCCCTTGTCTGTTTTCTTAATTGTGTATTTTTGAGTGCCAAAGTTTTTAACTTTAGTGAAGACCAATGAATGAATTTTATGCCTCATTCATGCTTTTGGTGTCACATGTAATAACTCTTGGCCTAACTAGAGGTCATAGAGATTTTCCCCTGTGTTTTCTTCTAGAAATTTTATAGTGTTAGCTCCTACATTTAGGCCTCTGATTCAGTTTGAGTTATTTATGTAAGGGTCTAGGTTTATTGTTCTCATATAAATTTTCAATTGTCTCAGTACTTTCAGTTTTCTTTGGGAAGGAGTTTTAACTTACAAATTCAGTTTCTCTTGTAGATAAATTATATTTTTCAAATAGTTTCTCCATTTTATCTGAGTTACAAATATAATGTACTGGTACTACATTTTCACAACATGCCTTTCTTCATCTTTTAAGTATCTTTTTTTTTTTTTTTTTTGAGATGGAGTCTCACTCTGTCCCAGGCTGGAGTGCAGTGGCATGATCTTGACTCACTGCAACCTCTGCCTCCCAGCCCAGGTTCAAGTGATTCTCCTAATTTTTGTAGTTTTAGAGTCGGGGTTTCATCATGTTGGCCAAGATGGTCTCAATCTCTTGACCTTGTGATCCACCAGCCTTTGCCTCCCAAATTGCTGGGATTACAGGCATAAGCCACCGCGCCTGGACTCTTTTAAGTATCTTTAGATTCTAGAATGATAGCCTTTTCTTCATTTCTAATATTCTAATTCCTCTTTCTCCTTATTCTGTAATCCTGGGGCTTTATACATTTTAATGACTTTTTAAAGGATCACTGATTTGCTTTGCTGATTTTCCTGATCTTTTAGACAGGATCTCACTCTGTTGCCCAAGCTGGAGTGCAGTGGTACGACCATGGTTCACTGTAGCCTCAACCTCCCAGTCTCAAGGGATCCTCCCGCCTTAGCCTCCCGAGTAGCAGGGACTACAGGTGCATGCCACCATGCCTGGCTAATTTTTTTATCCTTATTTTTTGTAGAGACTGGGTCTCACTATGTTGCCTAGGCTGGTCGTAGACTTCTGGGCTCAAGCAATCCTCCCACCTCAGCCTCCTAAAGTGCTCGGGTGACAAGTATGAGTCACCGTGCCTGGCCTTATTTTTTTAACTTTTTATAGCTCATCTTTACTCTCTTCTCCCATGAACAAAACTTCCCATCTTTGCTACATTGGCTTATAGTAGTGATTTTTAAGGTATGTAATTTATTTTTTAAATTTTTTTTTACAATTTATTTTCTTTTTAATTGGCAAATAAAAATGATATATACTTATGGCATGCAACAAGATGTTTCAGAATATGTATACATTGTGGAATGGTTTTTTTAGCTTCTTAAGACAGAACTTAGAAAACTGATTTTTAACATCTCTTATTTTTCTCATACAGGCATTTAAAACTAGCTGCATCTCATACATTTTATTAGTTTGGGTTTTATAATCATTCCATTTGAATATTTTTAAATTTCCTTGTGATTCATTATTTGATAATGGATTATTGTTTAATTTCCAAATGTTGGACTCTCTTTTATAATTGATGCTTAATTTCATTGTGTTCAGATAACACATTATATATTATTTCAATCCTTTGAGATTTATTGAAAATTTTCATTTTGTTTCAGGATATGACATCCTATTTAATATTTCTTGCACACTTGAAAATAATGTGTAATATGCAGTTATTGGTTATTGTGTTCTATAGATGTCGATCAGGTCAACTTGCTTAAGAGTGTTGCCCAAACTTCTATATCCTTAGTAATTGCGTATGTGTGTACCTGTTCTAGCAATTCCTGAGATGGAAGTGTTAAGCTCTACTACTATGACTGTGCGTTTGTCTATTTTTCTCTCCGGTTGTCAAGTTTTGCTTTATATAGTTTGAAGTCTTCTTATTAGGCGCATACATATTTGGGATTGTTAGGTATTCTTTTTTTGTGCTATCTATTTATTTATTTTACTTTTAAGTTCTGGGATACATGTGTAGAATGTGCAGGTTTGTTACATAGCTATACATGTGCCATGCTGGTTTGCTGCACCTATCAACCCATCATCTAGGTTTTAAGCCCCACATGCATTAGGTATTTGTCCTAATGCTGTCCCTCCCCTTGCCCCCAAACCCCCAGCAGGCCTTAGTGTGTGATGTTCCCCTCCCTGTGTCCATGTGTTCTCATTGTTCAGCTTCCACTTATGAATGAGAACATGTGGTGTTTGGTTTTCTGTTCCTGTGTTAGTTTGCTGAGAATGATGGATTCCAGCTTCATCCATGTCCCTGCAAAGGACATGAACTTATTCTTTTTTTTTTGAGATGGAATTTCGCTCTTGTTGCCCAGGCTGGAATGCAATGGTGCAATCTCTGCTCACCGCAACTTCCGCCTCTTAGGTTCGAATGATTCTCCTGTCTCAGCCTCCCAAGTAGCTGGGATTACAGACATGCGCCACCACGCCTGGCTAATTTTGGATTTTTAGTAGAGATGGGGTTTCTCCGTGTTGGTCAGGCTGGTCTTGAACTCCTGAACTCAGGATCTGCCTGCCTCGGCCTCCCAAAGTGCTGGGATTACAGGCATGAGCCACTGCGCCTGGCCAAACTCAATCTTTTTTATGGCTGCATGTTAGGTATTCTTAAATAATTGATCCTTTTATCATTTGAAATGTTCCTTTTTATCTCTAATAATATTCTTTGTCTTGAAGTCTACGTTATCTGATATAAATATAGCTACATCACCTTTCTTATGATTATTATTTGCATGGTATATCTTTTTTCCATCTTTTTACTTTTAAATTCTTTTTTAGTGTTTAGGTTATAATTCATCTTTATATTTAAGATGCAGCTTTTAGAATCAGCATATACATATTAGGGTCTTGCATTTGTATCCAGTCTGATGGTCTCTATCTTCTAATTGAAGTGCGTAGTCCATTTACGTTTACTGTAATGATGAACTCTACCACTCTGCTCTTTATTTTCCTTGTGTCCCATGGGTTGTTTTCATCTTCTCCTGGTGATTTTAGTTACATTGTATCTCCTCTGTTGGCTCGTTAGCTGGGCCACTTTTTAAAGGCATTGCTGTGGATCACGATAGCCACCCTCAGTCTGTCACAGTCAAACCTGA
Source organism: Homo sapiens (assembly GCF_000001405.40). Classification (NCBI taxonomy): domain Eukaryota; kingdom Metazoa; phylum Chordata; class Mammalia; order Primates; family Hominidae; genus Homo; species Homo sapiens. The sequence goes on along the minus strand of NC_000010.11, from coordinate 132,314,329 downwards.
GCTGTAAAACACCACTTCCAGGGAATGTCAGAAAAGCTCAGCAGTGTCATCATCTCTTTGCCCTTTGTAAGTTGTGCAGTTTTACATCTGCACATGCTATCAGGCAGAGTGTTATTAGTTCTGCTATGAGCGATGAATTGTCTTTCAACATGAAATTGATTTGCCCCTCCTTTATATAGATGCAGAAGGGCAGAGGGGCAGAGAAGGGCGGGGCCCAGGTAAGGTGGTGCATCGCGGTGCTGGCCGAGGGCTTATGGCTGGCTGAGTTCTGACAGAGGCTGCTGCTCCATGGATGCCCTGCTTGGCCAGGTAGGATGCCTTCACATGGGCAGGAGAGAGACTCTGCCTGCGAACTCTTGTGGGAAAGAGGAAGGAGAGGTGGCTTATCCTCCCAGCAGTGGTTTTCCATTGGCCAAAGTTCACTGCATGGGTCTTAAACAACCCCCATTTCAGCAGCCTTTCAGGAAGCCAGAGCTAGCACCTTCCACGGAGCTCATGAGGCCTCTTGACCTGGTCCTTGTCATCTCCTTAGCCTTCGTCTCTTGCCACTCCCTGCCTCAATCTCTCCAGCTTAACCAGCCTGGCCTTTCATTCATTCCTTTCTTCTAAAGCATCACATTCTTGCTCACCTCTTGGACGCTACCCATGTTCTGCCCGGAGGGCTGCTCTCCTGCTCCCCTTTGGCTGACGTCTGCCCATCTGTCAGGTGTCAGCTCTGCTGTGGGCTGCCTCGAGGGGGTGTCCCTCATGCTCTGTCAGGACTGGCATCCACTCCTGCTCTCGCAGCCCTCTGTGCATCCCCTCTTTGCCTGCTATCCACTGGGTTCCCGTCTCCCTCGCTGAGAGGGGTGCACGCTCCATCTGACCATTCACTATGTCAGCAGTGTCTGCTGCAGTGCCTAGCATGGAGCAGGTGCTTGGCAAATGTCTGTCGTGTGGCCCGTGTGGAAGGGTCCTTTTTAGCCTTAGAGGCTGCCTCTGTGTGGATGGTAAACAGCCACGGCGTTTAATGTTGCTCATCTCAAGGCCAGTGCTTGTTAGCTGCTGTAAGGGTAGAGTGTGTGACTTAACCGTCACTCGGCATGGCCTTAGGTCCTGTTTATAATTTGGTATCTTATTGCCACAAAGAGCCATTCCGTTTGTCTTATGGTCTCCAGCTTAACATTAAAGCTGGTTGGTTGTTGTGTCTAAACCGTAAAAGGGAGGGGGTATCAGGAGACCCGTCTGACCTCCCATCCCACCATCATAGCCAGGAACTCAGGTTTTTAATTTAATTTTATTTTATTTTTTGAGACAGAGTCTCGCTCTGTCGCCCAGGCTGGAGTGCAGTGGCGTGATCTCGGCTCACAGCAATCTCCACCTCACAGGTTCGGGTGATTCTCATGCCTCAGCTTCCTGAGTAGCTGGTATTACAGGCGTGTGCCACCACGCCTGGCTAAGTTTTGTATTTTTAGTAGAGGTAGAGTTTTGCCATGTTGGCCAGGCTGGTCTCGAACTCCTGACCTCAAGTGAGCCGCCCACCTCGGCCTCCCAAAGTGTTGGGACTACAGGCATGAGCCACTGCATCTGGCCTGGAACTCAGTTTTAAGGTTTTTCTGGAGTTTCCTTGGCCAAGAGCGGGTCTGTCCCATCGGTTGGGGGCTTATGGTTTTAATTTTAGTTTACGTAGTGCAGCATTGAGCCACCAAGAATTCTTGCCAGGCCTTGAAACCTCATGGAACTTGCCCTGCTGGATTTGAACTTACTTGGGACCGATGACTCTTTTTATTCCTTCTTATTTCTCCCTTTTGAAATGGGAATGTATATCTTATGCCTATCTCATCACTGTACCTTGGAAGCATATTTTCCAGTTTCACAGTTACACAGATAAAGGGGAATTTTGCCCAGAATGGATTGAACTGAGGTCTCACCCATGCCTGATTTAGATAATGAGTCTTGGACATCATTTCTGATTGTCTAAATCAGGCATGATTTAGACAATGAGTCTTGGAGACTTTCGAGCTGAAAATATTTAGACGAGAGGCTGGGTGCAGTGGCTCATACCTGTAATCCCAGCACTTTAGGAGGCTGAGTGGGGTGGATTTCTTGAGCCCCAAAGTTTGAGATCAGCCTAGGCCACAGTGTGAAATCCTTGTCTCTACCAAAAGCACAAAAAATCAGCCAGGGGTGGGGTCATGGATCTATGGTCCGAGCTACTCAGGAGCCTGAGATGGGAGGATCGCTTGAGCCTGGGAGGTCGAGGCTGCAGTGAGCCATGATAGCACCACTGCACTCCAGTCTGGGCAACACAGTGAGACTCTGTCTCAAAAAAAATCTTGAGCTGGGATTTTGGACTTAGAGTTGCTGCTGTAATGGTTGGGACTTTGGGGCTGTAGGGTGTGGTGAATCCATGCTGCCCATGGATGTGGTGGGTTAAATGGTGGCCTTTTGCCACCAAAGGACATGTCCGTGCCGGCCCTGTGAATGTGACCTTATCTGGAAAGAGGATCTTTGCAGATGTAACTAAGTTAAGGATCTCAAGATGATATCATCCTGGAGTAGGGTGGGCCCTAAGTCCAATGACAAGTGTCCTTATAGAGGAAGAAAAGGGCGGAGTAGACAGATGAAAAGGCAACGTGATGATGGTGGCAGCAGGGGCTGGGGTTGTGGGTCCTTAAGCAGAGCTGAGCGGTGAACTCATGCTCGGCCCCGGCGCACTGCAGTGGGGGCGAGGGCTCCTTCCTAGTGGCTGCAGCCCGTCCTGCATGTTCTCCGTCGCTGTGCTCCTTCCTGAGTCACCAGGTGGCCACATGACCTTTAAAATCAATACTGTCACCATAGCAACCAAGTGTCCCCACACGTGGGCTCCAAGGCCCTGGCCTTCCAAGAATCCTCAGTCCCAGGCCCCGCCAGGGCTGAATCTGAGGGCGCCACGGCCATCTGTCTTCCATTTCCCAGGAGGGAGGCTGTCCGTGGATTCTCCACATAGGTGGACACCAGCATCGGAGTCCCATGGGAGCCCATTTCCTGTTTTGGGGGTCAGTTCTGAGATGTGTTTTCCAGCAGGAAACAGCACACACGAATCGTGTGATCTGAGGAGATTTAATAAAAGGACTCTTAACAAAGGCGTGGGCAGAGCATGTGTTAATTTCATAATGATGACAGAAGATGAAGCACACATCTCGGTGTGACTGAGCTGTGTGCCAATTATGTGGCAACGGAGGACCCATGTCCAAGGCATGTCCCTCAGGAGGCGTGGCTTTATGGACGAATTATGAACAAATGCACATGAAGCCTGGTGTCAGGGACTGCACCTTGTCCCCCAAACCACCCCCAGCCCTTCAGCACATGCCACGGCCACTCACTTGCTGTCCTGCAGCATGGACCCTCCTGTCCTCCCGCACAAGCCGGTTTCTACCTTAGGGCCAGCTCCTGCTGTTGGAACCCGGACACCTGGCCTCCCTTGGGCTACTCGTTCATGCTCCGGCCTCAGCATCAAGGTCACCTGCTCAGAGACTCATGCTGGACTACCCAAGCTAAAGTGGTCCCACGATCATGCACGTGCTGCCCAGCCATGTGCCTTCCTGTGTGCTCCTGCGTGCTAGACGTCAGTGCACTGAATGCATTTATCTGTCACATTGTCACTTGGTCTCCTGTCATTGGAAGGGGCAGACACCATCGCTGCCCTAATGAAGTTGACGTTCCCGGGCAGCATGGGCACACAGGGGAACTCAGGAATTCTCTACTGGCCTCACTGCCCCTTCCCATCCACAGCTGACTCTGTCCCAGCCTCAGTCCCTCCCAGCATCCCCCTAGAACTTCAGAGCTACCTCCCATGAGGCACCAGGGGTTGGCATCCTCTTGGGGACAGCAGTTCCTGACCCCTCCTGTCTCATGCCTACACTGTGCACCTCTTAACGCTCAGTCTTGTGTTTGCCTGGACCCTGAGCCGTGGCTGGACAGTACAAGAGTTGCACCTGGACAGTACAAGAGTTGTGCCCTGAGCCCACAGGCCCCTCCAGGGCTGATCTGCACTGGCCAAATCTTAGGACCCGGCATTCTTTTGGGAGCTGCTGTTTCCCTACAGATCCTTCCTGTTTCCTGACTGAGAGGCAGGTGCCTGGCTTGGTGTTTGAGGCTCACAGCAAGGGTGAGGTTGGAGGGTCTCCTAGTTAAGTGTGCAGATGTCCCCATGAACCCCTCTGCCCCCCTGCACTCTTGTCTTCTGCAGGACTTGGTATCCCTAGGTCAAGAGCCCCTTTGGACCCTCAGACCAGAGGACTGTCCATCCCCAACTGCCCGGGCCGGGGAGGCGTCCTGGGCTCTGGCTGTATTCACATTCTCCCGCCTTTTGGGGTCCTGGTTACCTGCAGGTCCTCAGCCTCTCCAATCTTCAGAGTCAGCTTTCTACCTGCTGTCTGAAGTCTATTAACATGTCTTCCCTTCTCCTGTTCCCTCTTAGGTGGTGGTGGGGACGTTATATCTTTTATTCCTTTTCTGCCACTTTTAGGGGTCAGAGGGAGAGGAGGAGAGGCGATGATGTAAGTTCAGAGGCTGCGTGTTTTGGGAGGAGCCCTGGGGAGTCTGATGTGTGCACCGGGTACGCAGGGTTCCAGGCACTGCCCTGCCTTGGTACCTCCCCTTCCAAACGCTCCTTCACCACTCCTGCTGGGATGGGCACCGAGGGCTTCCTCTGAGGCAGGTGCTGAACCCACTGCCTTCTGCGTGCCTGCTGGAGAATGGCAACTTTGAGGGAGAGCAGGGAACAGAGCTTCGCAGCTGCAAGGGCTGAAAACTCGGCTCTGTGCACTGGAAGTTAGAGACCGATGCGTTTGTGCTAGCCAGGCAGGGAGAGCTGCGGTGGCTGGTTGGTCAGGTAACCTAGGTTATGCTGCCATAAAAATACCCTCTAAATCTCAGTAGTGAAATGCATGCCATGTGTCCTAAGCGGGTGCATGTCCAGGTGGGTGCATGTCCTAGGCGGGTGCATGTCCAGGCGGGTGCATGTCCAGGCGGGTGCATGTCCTAGGTAGATGGGCATGGTTCCATTCCTTATAGTCCCCAAGGGATGGGGGCTCCTGTTGGCCCAGAAGCCACACAGACTTCCCGTGCTCACATTTCATGCATCAGGCGGTTAGGGCGGGCGGCCACACTGAATGTCAAAGGCCGTGGGGAGGCAGGGCTCACAGTGGCTGAATGACAGGGTAGACAGTTGTGTGCGGTGGGAGGGACGGGAGCGGGAGACACTGGCCTTGGAGCCATGTTGGGGATCCGCTCATCGTCCGGGCGGGCAGCAGGAAATCCCATCTAGGATTTCACCGAGGAGGAAGAGACCCCGTCTTTGTGTCCTGGTTACAGGGCAGAACTTAAGGAGGTAAAGGCTTCCTAAAGTCAAACAGCCCGGTAGCAAAAACTGATTCTTCAGTGACAAGCGCCAGGGGCAGGCGGCGAGGCTCCATGCAGAGCCGCGCCTTCTCCAGGGCACTCCAAGGCGCCCAGCACTTTCCGCGCAAGGTCGCGCCTGGCCCTGCGCAGGGGCAGAGGTGCCCGGAGGTCAAGCCGCGCCCCAGGCCTCCGAAATACGCCGAGTGCCGAGGCCCCTGTCGCATCTGGACAAGGGGACCCTGGGCGACTCGGGCACGCGGTCTCAGGCCGGACGGGGGTCGCGAGGATGGCACGGGGGTGCCCGAGAGCGCGGGCGCACGTGCTCAGGGCTTAGCGCCCACCCCAGGCGCCCGCGTGTGCGCGCGCGCAGCCAGGCCCGCCCTGCCCCACCCCACCCTCTGGCGCAGCGCTTGGACTCAGCCTGCCGCCTCCTGACCGTGAGCCGGGCTCTGCCCGGCAGATTCCCGCCGCCCGCATCCCGGGCCTGCAGCCCGGCCTCACCCTGCGCAAAGCAGAAGGCTGGAGTTTAGGGCTCCCCGCACTGGGCGGCGGAAGCCCGCGCGCCGGCTGTTTTCACGAAGAAGGCAGGGGAGGGAGGCCCCCGGAGACCGCGAGAAGGTCCCGCCGCCGTGCCGGGCACAGCAGTCCCCGTGCCAGGGACGCCGACCTCCGGGGCCCCAGGATACCCGTGGGGACGCTCCCTGCCTCCCTCGCTCTCGTACCCGCCGTCTAGTCTGAGCCGTGGTCCCCGTGTCCCGGCGAACCACAGCCCCCATCCCTAGACTGGTGGCGGCCACCCACTCCCTAGCGACACTCCAGGCACTAGCCCCGCCCCTGCCCCGCCCCCGGCTCGGCCCCGCCCCTACCCTTCCCGAAGCTCCGCACCTGCCACGCCCCGGCGCTCAGCTCCGCCTCGACCCCTTCCAGGAGCTCCGCCCCGCCCCCGCCCCTTCCAGAAGCCCCGCCCCTGCCCCGCCCCCAGCGCTCGCAATCTACGGGGCGGGTTCCACCGCCCAGAAGAGCGCACGGCGGGCGCTGCCGGCCCCGAGCGCTCCCGCTACCACTGCCGCTCCCGGCCCTGCCGGCCGGCCATGCCCCGAGTTCCGGCTGCCGCGCGCACCCAGACCCGGCGATGAGGAGTGGCGCCGAGCGCAGGGGCAGCAGCGCCGCGGCGTCCCCGGGCTCGCCGCCCCCCGGCCGCGCGCGCCCCGCCGGCTCCGACGCGCCCTCGGCCCTGCCGCCGCCCGCTGCTGGCCAGCCCCGGGCCCGGGACTCGGGCGATGTCCGCTCGCAGCCGCGCCCCCTGTTTCAGTGGAGCAAGTGGAAGAAGAGGATGGGCTCGTCCATGTCGGCGGCCACCGCGCGGAGGCCGGTGTTTGACGACAAGGAGGACGGTGAGTGCGGGCACGGGGACGACGTGGGGGCCGCGCGCTATTGCAGGGGCGGGCGCGGCTGGGCGGCTTTTTCCCGCAGGGGTTCCCCCGGTGTCCGGGACGGCTTCCCGGGGCGCCCCGGCTTCCGGAGAAGCTCGCGCCGGGTGGCTGCGGCCCCACGCGAGTTCTGGGCGCCCGCCCGCGTCCTCCGTTTCTAGTGGCGGCGCCGCAGGAGGAGCAGGCTGGGCCCGGGCCCTCGGGGCGAGGGTCCCCCGCGGCTGTGGCGTCTCCGGGCTTGCGCGCGCCTCCGCCCACCGCCCGTGGCAGCCCTGCTTTCCGCTTTCCGTGATCCGCTCGGGCCCACGTGCGGGCTCGTTTGTACTTTGCAGTTAGAGAGGCGCTCACCTGTGCCGCCCGAGTGCGAGTGAGGCTCCTGCCCCACAGGTGGCGGGGCCCGGCCGCTCAGAGGCTCAGTCTCCTTGGTGACCGCGCGGTGTCCATCCTCTGCTCACCCATGTGCGCTGGAGGCAGGGCCAGGCCGTTGTGCAAAGACCTGCCCTGCCAGGAACGAGTGCGCTGCTGAGTCCTGTAGATAAAGCCGCCAACCCCGGGGACTGGTGTCTCCTGAGTGACCGTGCAGCCGTGGGCGCCATAGAAAGCAGAGAAGGCAGGTGAGGTGACATGGGACAGGCCTGCAGGGACACCTCCCGGGGTGCCAGGGGGCCCCGGGGACCCCCGAATTATCACCTGCAGGGAGATGTGGTGCCGCGTCTGCCTGTGGGCACTGTAATACAGTCACATGCAGACATACAGCTCTTTTCTACAGGTAACATGCAAATCATTTAAAATCGTACATTGATGACACATTTCATGTTTTTTGACATTTTCTTAAAATACTTGAAATGTGCATTTTTCATTTATAGATAGCGTGCAGAGGTATGATGGATCCTTCAAAATTTTAGAGCCCAGCGCTCAGGAGCCAGGCTATTTACTTGCGATAAATAATTTAAGCATTATGGGAAATTACAGTAATACGACCTCAGGCCGGCGTTGGTGAGTGTGGGGCCGTGCACCGCCGTTCCTCCGGGAGACGGCACCGGGGATTCATGGTGTGCTGCCTAGAAGGAGGGCTGAAGGCCCAGCCACACCAGGCCCCACACGCTCCAGGGTGGCCCGTCACTGTGTCCTGAACTTCGGGACAGCAGAACTCACGATGGTGAATGTTTGAGAAATGTTTTTGTTTTTAACATAAATATTCAAAGTAAAGAAAGCCCAGAGTGAACTAGGAGCTGATCAGGAGGCAGATTTGCCTCTCGTTTCTGGCTGCGGGTTGAGAGAACGTCTGAGAAACGCATCTGGTTTAGCACTTGCTGGTGTCAGCCAAGAGCTGGCTGCTCTTCTGGGTCTCGGCACCGTGCTCTCCGGGGGTGGGAGTGGAGACAGTGGTGTGGCACTGGGCTGCCTTCAGCTTTGTAGGGTAGACTTCCCTGTGTGTTCACAGTGTGTTATGTCACAGAATTCAAGGATCACTAGAAAGGCAAAAAGAGCAAGCACAGAGTCTGTCTGTGGGGCTCACGGTCTGACTTGGGAATTCTTTCACATCCCCAGCATCACCGTATTTGCCTGTAGTAGGACGGCAGAGATTCGGCTGACGGTGTCCCACGGATGCTGCTGGCTCCGTATGGCTTGGTATGCAGCCACATCCCCAAACTGAGCACCCGCCGGGACTCAGCTGGGCTTTGTGTGGTGAAATCAGGAGGGCAAGACTAGGCCCTGGCCCGAATAGCAGAGGACATCTCTGGGCGGTGACCGCTTCCCTCCGCTTCTTCCTGTCACTGGCAGGGCACAGACAACTTGGGAGTCATAGCACAGGGTTTGCAGAAGAATGTTCTGCACCTCTGAGTGTGGATGCCGGGGACTCGTGTTGGTGGAAGGGATTCAGTTTGGAAGGAGAAAGGAGAGTCTTTTAGGAAGGGACTGTTGCCCCTGAGTCCCACCCCTTTCAGGTTGGTGCAGTCATTTGCCTGGTACTTTCGTGGCCCCGTGGCAGCACTGGCTTAAGGAGGCCCTGGTGCTGTGTTGGTGTCTCGAGTTTACTGAATCTGCACGGTTGCTATGGCAATGCTAGACCTTCCGATGAATTTTTTAGATTAAAACACCTAATTAATATATCAAATTTAGTATGCAGAGAAAAGGAAAAAAGAAATTAAGAGTGCTGTTTAACAAAGTGCCAGGTAAATTTCAACTGATAGGCATAGTTGCGACATATAAGACTAAATGTCCTCTGTTCCTTTTAATCCTTGTGGACTCCAGAACCATTTTCCTAATTTGGCAGATATTTGGTGCATGTACAGAATTCTCTGCACGTCTTTGTCATGCCAGAACTGAGGGTCTCCAGTTTTCCTTCCCCTCAGCCCCTCACATGCTCCCATTCTATCCCTTCTCTGACTTCGGTGAAAAATTCATTTTTGGGGTTGAACTTGGTTAGGGGGTCTTTCTGCTGCTGCTCTGCACCAGAGCTGCATGGCGTTGGGCGAGCCCCTTCATTCCTCTCTGTCTTGGTGTCCTGGTGATACCAAGTGAACCTGAGAGGAGGCTCCGGTACCTTCCCGCTAAGCAGCTCTGCAACCTGGGGGGCGCTCGCCCGTCTCGGGGTCACAGCATTGAGTCTCCAGCCTGACGTGGCATTAGCCCGCCAGCAGGAAGTAGCTCCTCCCTGAGGGGCTTTGCCTTCATCTGGGGAAGGCTGGAGTGGACAGGCCCTTGCAGGCTGTGGACGGCCCGCCCTGGGCGCCGGGCCGGGCAGGCAGTGAGGCAGGACCAGGGGCCACCAGACTCCTCAAGTCATCTCTTAAAATTAGAAACACCTTTGTTTTTTCCTAATTATGAAAGCATTAAAATGTATGCATTTAAAAACATTCTATACTTTATGCCACGGTATCTGTAACTTCAGCATTGGGATCACGGTGTCACCTCCCAGCCTTTTTCTGGAAATACAGTCCCAGGTACAGCCGTGGAGAAACACTCTCTCTTTGTTAGCAGAAGTGGGATCCTGCTCTGCATGCCAATTTGCCGTAAGGTGCTTGTTGATTCAGCGATATGTTGCCAGCCTCTTCCAGACCTGAGGCATCATTTGTTGGCTGAATTTACAACAGTTCTCAGCCCCAGGCTGTGGACCCGAGTCATTCACTGGGCACTCTTAAAAAATGCAGATGCTCAAGCCCCACACCCGTGAACTGTGGGTGAACTGGGGGGGTTTGGTGGGTTGGGGGTGGGGCTCAGGGGCTCAGGCTTTTTTTTTAAGCCCCTCTTGAGTTTTACCAGCAGTCGAGGCTGAGATTCCCGACTCTGCAGTGCTCCCCTGAGCAGCTGTGACTTTCTCTGCTTACTTAGTTTCCTGTCACAGGACTGTGAGGTGTTTCTGTTTTATAAATATCATAAACGACGTATTGATGAACATCGTTGCAGATCTTTGTGCACTTGGCATTGTTTCCCTAGGATACATTTTTAGGAACGACATTGCTCAGGCAAAGGGGTCCGTGTGAAATACCTTAACACGTGTGGCCGCTCAATTGGTCCCTCTCTGAGCATTGTTTATGGGCCATGCTGTCGTGGGGTAACCGGGCAGAGGGGAAGCAGAGAGACTGACAAGACAGGGAGGCAGGAGCGAGTGCAGTGGGTGGCGGGAGGCACCTGCAGGGGAGAGAACCAGACCACCTGCTGCCAGCGGAGCTGGCGGGAAGGGAAAACCCATTTTCACTTGCTCCAGGAGCGGGAGGGTTTGATCGCCTTTTCCCCTGAATCCTCTCCAGCTTTGGGTATCAGCAATGTTTCTATTCTTTGCCAGTCTAAGAGATTAAAAGATGGCACTCATGCTTTGAGTTTCTTTGATTATCAATGAGGTTCATCATCTTTTTACCTTAAATGTTTAGAGCATTCAGCTCTAAACACATTTCACGTGTTTCCACACTTTTTGAATTGCCTGCCCGCGCTTGTTAGCGGCATGTGTCCTGTGGGATGGCAGCCGCAGGTTCCTCTCGCCCTTCCTGGTACACAGGCTGAGCCTTCAGCAGCTTCCCTCCCACGTTCCTCATTTATCTTTTAATGTTGCTACTTAGCTTTTTTCTCTATGGATGTGTTTAATTTGTGTGTGGTCAGATTCATCATCTGCCTTTGTGGCTGCGTCCGGCCTTGCCTTTATGTGACAGCAGTCCTTCCCAGCACAGTTAATAATAATTTAATTCATAAACCTGCATCTGTACTTTCTTCTAGCGCTTCTGTGGTTTCACTTTTTGCGTTGGAAATTGCAGCCCGTAGGGAGTATCGCTTGACGGAGAGTGAGAAAGCTCTCTCCTTCTCGCATTAGTTCTCCTCTTTCCCAGGATGAGTGCAGTTAGGATGTTTCCCCCTGTAGGGATCTGAGGCCTCCCACGCAGCCCCTCACCGCAGAGCCCCAGGCAGGCTGCGCCCTTGCTGCTCCCGGCCTGTGGGACTGGAGTGGGACCGTTTCCACGCTGGCTGCTGCTGATGTGAAGGAACGCTCCACTTTTACAAGGTTCACCTTGTGTGTGGCTGAGACTTCGCTGCCTCTTGCACATGACTGCACTTGGCTAAATTCTCGTTAGTCTATAGCTTTGAAGTTCATTTTGTTGGCTTTCTGGGTGGTCTGTCACGTTGCCTTGGAGTGACTCTAGTGGCCCCGTGATGGTTTTGCCTCGTTCTTTCCTTATGGTGTTGCCGGAGCTCATGGAGCAGAGAAGAGAGAAGGTCCTGAGCCCAGGGGCTGCCGAGGGCTGGGGACAGCTCCTCCCGCACGGTTGGTATGGACGGGTTGTCCTTCCAGAGCGTCAGCTTAGCCCTAGTGTGGGAAAACTTTCCAGTCAGGTGTGGACTCGCATTTTGGAGGGTGCTCTTTCCTTGCCTCCTGACCCTGTGAGGCAAGGGGTGGGGGCTCTCTGTGTGGCCCAGACACCCATCCCCCACAGTGCAGGCGCTTGGTGGTCAGAAGCCTGGTGGCTGCAGAGGCCCCTGGTCTGGGGTGTGGACTGGGGAGGAGGCCTATGGTCCTGGCCTCCTGCCGGGCACCCCGTCACATGTTTGCTCCTGGCTTCCCCGGTTCTGGGCCCAGCACCGGGTGTCCTGGGGGCCCTTGGGGCAGCTGTGCAGCTTGATGCCTCTTCTCCTTCCCAGCTGTGAGGCTGCTCTAGAATGGACTCGGGACCTACTGTCATACTTTTTATGTAACAAATGTCAGCTCTGCGTGTCTATCCATCTGGTTGTGCATTTTACAAGGCTAAAAATAAGCCGGCTTTTCTTTTAGAACTTGAACCACCCAGCTTTCCAGTGGAGAAGTAATGCGAGGATGCCTTGGAGGTGATTTTGTTGAGGGATTGATTCTCTGCGGGTGAAGCCCAGAGACACTCCAAGGTGATCTGAGGGAGGCAAAGTCACAGACAAGTGTTTCTTCCACACGGAGCCGGGACCACTCAGAGCAGCTTTCCTGCCTGTCCCGGACCCCCAGTCACCCAGGACTTGTGAAAATGCGGCTGACCCAGCCGGCCTGGGGTGGGGCCAGGAGCCCACATTTCCAGCCGGCCCCAGGCGGTGCCAGCGCTGCTGGCCCGCGGACATACTTTGAGTGTGAGAGTTTAGTGAGTATATAGCCGGTGCATCATGGTGAGTGAGGGCAGGAAACCCACGGGGTGCTGGTCCCTTGGCCCGGGCTCCCGATGGGCCTGGAGGGGGATCTCTAACCCTCTGTACCACGGGGTTGCCAGTCATCAGAGGGCGCCTCGCGGTGTGGACTTTTAATTTGCTTTTCCTCCTTCTGTTCCTCTCAGTCCTCTTGAAGGCCCAGCCTTCTCCACACGTGGCCGACGTGCAGCTCCTGGTTCACATCTTGCATTTTCACCCGGCCCAGTAGCCCGCACTGTTTCCTTTACACTGGGATGCGGCATCTGTCTTCTGACCCGGATCTGAGGCAGGGTAGTCTGGTGTGTCCACTGGCGGGTTCCTGGGGAGTGTGGCCCCGTGCTTTTGGGCGGAGCATCCTGTGTCCCCGAGCCCACTGCGGGGCCTTGTCTTCCCCGGGGACCCCCACACCTAACGGGCGCTCCCAGCTGTGTCAGGCAGGACCCTCCTAGGGAGGAACCCGGGTTCCAGGCCAGGCCCTGCAGGACCACTCAGAGCAGCTTCCCAGACTTCCTCTTGAGCCCCTCGGCTCTTACATCAAGTAAGGGCCTGTGCCCTGTGGCCCTGACCCTGTCTCTTCCTGGTTGGGAAGCTCGGAGCTGCATCTGGGTTCACATTAGTGGAGGACCAGGCCTTCTACTTGGTGTCGGGAAGCTCGGAGCTGAATCTGGGTTCACGTTAGTGGGGGACCAGGCCTTCTACTTGGTGTTGGGAAGCTCAGAGCTGATTCTGGGCTCATATTAATGGAGGACCAGGCCTTCTACTGGGCGTTAGGAAGCTTGGAGTTGAATCGGACCTCGTGTTAGTGGACGACCAGGCCTTCTACTTGGTGTTGGGAAGCTCAGAGCTGAATCTGGGCTCACGTTAGTGGACGACCAGGCCTTCTACTTGGTGTCATTTCCCTTCCCAGCCAGATTTTCCTCCTCACCTAAAAAGCTCCGTTGAGCTGTGTGTTTCTCTGAACCTCCCTCTCTGCTGTCTGTGTATAACTGGAGATAAAAATAAAGCTCTGTGAACCACCATTTCTCCTGCTGCTGCTGACTAATACTTGGGCACGTGGCGAGACCTTGGTCTTCTCAGCCACCCTCCTGAGTGGGATGCCGCCTTGTTCGGCTCTGGCTGTCAATGGGGGCGAGTGGCCACCCGGGGTGGTATCTCTGTGCCTGGAGCGCTTCCTTACAGGTCTCCTGCCTGCCCTGGGCGTGGGCAGAGACGCAGGCCCCTCCCCTCTCCCAGTATACAGGCAGACCAACCTGCTGATTGATGATAAAGATCAGAACTTGAGACAGTTTGGGGAAAGCTATAAGCAATACAATTATTGTTATTTGTATGGTATGCCTGCTTCATCAGAAAACAGTTTCCTCATTGATTTGAAATCTATTGTTTTAAAAATCAAGGCTGCTGCAGAGATCAGCATGGCTGGGCAGGAGTGCAGACGGAGGTGCTTGCCCTGGCCTGGCTTTGTCCCCCCCAGATTCCATCCAGCCTCCTCTCACCCCACTTCTCCACCTGTGAGGAGGGAGCCCCCATGGTCTCTGCCATGCTTCCTTCTGGGCTCCGGCCCTGCCAATCCTGTGGAAACCCATCTCGATGTTATTTAAGTTCTGAAGCCAAGGAGATGGTGTAGGTGGGAGTCAGTGTCGCCCCCAATTTATTAAAAATAGGAACCGAGCACATTCCATTTCTCACAGTGATTTAGAAAGTTGACTTTGCAAAGGTTTCTCCTCTTTTGAATTCACATCATGACTCTCCGTCCTCCGAACGCAGAAGGCAGAAAGTGTGATAGAGCAGGAGAGAGGCGCCTCTGTGTTTGGAATGTCTGCAGGAGTCTAGCACGGGCGTTGCACGCATTCTGGGGCCTTGGCAAGGATGACATTTGTCTTGTTTTGACCACGATGCTGGGATGTGAGCAGGAGTCCGCGGGGGTTTTGGTGCCGCCTACTCCATGCACCTCTGCCTCTCCCTGTGCCAGCGCCCTGGGTCCCGTCCTCAGTCACTTTGTGACGTCTGACCTCAGAGCCTCTGTTCGCTGTGGGAAAGCTGTTCCTGGCGGCTCTTGTGCCCAATAACAGGGCTCGGGGTCCTGGCACCGCGTTTCTCAAACCGGGTCCTGTTCGTGCCCAGGGGACACATTGTTCCACTTTTCTGTTGCTGCTAGTAAACTACCCTACACTAGTGACTTATCAGCCTCCTTGTGGTTTCTCACGATGCTGTGGGCTAGGAATTTGGACAGGGCCTAGTGGGGACGGGTGTCTCTGCTCTGCATGACGTCTGTGGGACCAGAATGTCCACCGTGGCTCCCTCATCCATGTACACGGCACCTCGGCCAGAGCGGCTCAGAGAGCTGCGGGCTGGTGCAAACCTCCCCAGGGGTCTTGTCCTGAGGTCTCAGTTAGTTTGCTGTTGGCTGGTGGATCAGCTGTCCATGCTGCTGGGTCTCGTCCTGGGGTCTCAGTTCGCTGTTGGCTGGTGGATCAGCTGTCCATGCTGCTAGGTCTTGTCCTGGGGTCTCAGTCCACTGTTGGCTGGTGGATTAGCTGTCTGTGCTGCTGGGTCTTGTCTTGGGGTCTCAGTTTGCTGTTGGCTGGTGGATCAGCTATCCATGCTGCTGGGGTCTCAGTCCACTGTTGGCTGGTGGATTAGCTGTCTGTGCTGCTGGGTCTTGTCCTGGGGTCTCAGTTCTGCTGGTGGACTAGCTGTCTGTGCTGCTGGGTCTTGTCTTGGGGTCTCAGTTCGCTGTTGGCTGGTGGATCAGCTATCCATGCTGCTGGGGTCTCAGTCCACTGTTGGCTGGTGGATCAGCTATCCATGCTGCTGGGGTCTCAGTTCCACTCTTGGCTGGTGGATTAGCTGTCTGTGCTGCTGGGTCTTGTTCTGGGGTCTCAGTTCTGCTAGTAGATTAGCTATCCATGCTGCTTAATGAATTTCCTCATAGCCTAGTGGCCCACAGTGAGCTCCATCTTATCGTTTCTGAGTCGGTGATTCAGGAGTGGCTTAGCCGGTGCATCCTCTTGGTGTCTCTCATGAGGCTGCGGTGAAGATGGCAGCTGGGGCTGCTGTCACCTGAAGGTTTGACTGGGACTGGAGCGACCACTTCCAGGCCAGCTTCCCCATGTGGCTCCTGGATGGAGGCCTCTGTTCCTTGCAAAGGGAGCTTCCCCACACACTGCCTGGGTGACTCCACACACTGCGCTCAACTCCCTCCCAGTGACCCCACACACGGCGCTCAACTCCCCCCCAGTGACCCCACACACGGCGCTCAACTCCCCGGTGACCCCACACAGGGCGCTCCCCTCCCTCCCTCCCCAGTGAGCTGAGCAGGAGCGAGAAGCCACAGCGAGGATCTCAGCCACAGGCTCCTCCCAGCATGTCCTGTTAGGAGCAAGTGAGCAAGTCCAGCTCATCCTCAGGGGAGGGGAGCTGGACCCCGCATCGGAAGGGGCTGCCGTGGGACCTGTGGACTTGTCTCACACCACCACAGCCGTCCTCAGAGTCTCGGCTTCTTCGCCCCACTGGGCCCCACATTGGGGCAGGAGGAATTCCTGAGAGGCCCCAGGGCGCCCACAGACGCAGAGTAGAAGATGCCGGGCCTTCTTGAGGCTTAGGCCTGGGCTGGCACCGTGTCACTTTGACTGCTTTCTGCTGGTTGGAGCCAGTCACAGGCCCAGCTCAGATTCAGGGGAGGGACCACACAGGGTGAAGTCTCCGCATCTGGGGGTGGGCTAGGGCTGCTGCGGGTCGGCCGGGCTGTTTGGAAGAGCTGGACATGGGGCCGGGAGAGCAGGGACGAGTTGGAAGCGTGACCTTCAGGGAGTGGTGCTGCTGCCTGCCACCTGCCAGCATCACACAAGTTCTCTCTCAGCCACCTCTAACCCCAGTTTAGCCAAATGGCCAAGCACCAGCCAGTGTACCCGGGTTGCTGCCGCAGAGCACCAAGACCCCAGGAGACACAAAGCATCTTCTGAGCTTTGAAACTGAAAGAGCTTGGAGGGAAGGCTGTTTGTACTTGAGAACAAACAAACAGGAAGTTGGAGTGGAGTCAACATCTTCCTGAGTTTGGAAAATAAAGCCCCAGAGACCAGGCGGGTGTGCACCTGCTGCTGGCCGCGGGGCGGGCCCCTGACTACGGGGGCTTCGCCGGGGAGTCTCGGAGCTCTGGCTCAGGGCTTCCTGCACTGCCCCTGGAGGACGCACCTGTGACTGCCAGGGTCTTTGTTTATTTTGCCCCCAATTCTTTTTCCTTTTTCTTGTAAACATCAGTCATCTTGTGTGTCTGAAGTGATGTTTTATCTCCAAAGGCAGAAAAGATAATCTGTAAAGTTAGCACATGACTGAAAGAGGGAAAAAGATGAAATAGGAAGAAAGATACAAAGGAAAAGGGGAGGAAAAAAAATCTGTTCTGAAGAAAGCATTGGACCCTGGGACCCCAGCCCCAGAGTGCGTGGCCCAGCTAGTACCGGGGCTGGCGTGGCCCCTGGTGGGGCTGGGAATTGTAGGTGGCAATTGGAAAACCCAGGGTGGGCTAACCAGGCACAGCCACAGCAGGCCCTTCGGTGGATCTTCGGGGTCTGCTGGCAGCGGGGGCGGAGGCACCGGTGGGGTGGCAGCGAGGACTGGCTGCCCTGGACACGCTGGGGATGGCCACGGAGGAGGGGCTGGGGCATGTCCTGCAGAGGGTGTGGGGTGGGAGCCAAGCAGGAGGGGAGTCCTCTGTCATTGGGTCCTGGTGCCCCTTCCCCAGAGCCACAGCAGCCAGAGGCGCAGGAAGGAAGGGGCCTAAGCCGTGACTGTCACCCGCCCAGAAGCTGCACCTGCTCGGGCACCACAAGGAAACAAAAGGTGAAAGGGGTGGTGAGTCAGTGGCAGGAGAGGACACTGGGCAGAGCTGTGCCCAGGCCTTGGCCTCTGTCTGTGGCGATGTCCGCCTCCCTGTCTCTGGGCTGCCTCTCCTTCCCTGCACCCCCTGCCGTGGTCTCCCCACTGGCCCTGACACTCCTTTCCAGAGCCGCAGAGGCTTTCGGCGTCCCAGAGGGCGCGGGCCTGCGAGTCCTGCCTCTGTGGCCACCATGCCCCGGGGTCGCCTGGGACATCTGCTTCCTGCCTGCTGATCGGTGCCATTCCTCACAGCGGCCCCTTTCTGTCTCCAAGTGGCCTGGTTTGGATGATCAATTGTGTGGTTGCCCGGTCTAACCACCAGATGCTGTGCCAGGACGATCTCTTTCTTCCTTTATAGCTTTTTATTATATAATGAAAGTGACGAGAAAAAAATTAAGAAATCCAGCATCTTGTGTCATGTCAGCACTGATAAACAACCATTTGTAGTTTTTCACATGACCTCCCAGTTCGTACTGGAAAACATGCAAAATCTATGTGGCCTTTTAAATTTCAGGATAGTTTAGATTTATAGAAAAGTTGTGAAGCTGATACAGAGAGTTCCCTTGTTCCCCAGAAGCAGTTTCCCCTTACGTCACCGTCTGGCATTAACCGGGTACATTTGTCGTAACTAGAGGACCCGTATCCATACCTCGTTGTGAACTGAAGTCCACACTGGGTTCAGATCTCCTCAGTTGTTCCCCGGTGTCACTTATCTGTCCCAAGATCCCGTGTTACATGAGTCTCCTGGCGCCTTAGTCTACTCCGTGCTGTGACCGTTTCTCAAACTTGCTTTTTATGACCTTGACAGTTTGGACACTGGTCAGCTGTGTTGTAAAATGTCCTTTAACTGGGATTCATTTGATGTTTCTCTCAGGATTATGGGCCTTTGGGAGGAAGACCACGGAGGTAAATGCCATTCTCATGATGTCATACGAGATTACACGCTGTCCACACACCTTCCTGCCGATGCTGGCCCTGTCACTGGTGAGGTGTCTCCACCATGACGTCCCCTTTCCCCCTTTTCCACACTGTCCTCCCTGGCAGGATGGCACCATATGCAGCCCACACCGGGTGTGGGGGTAGTTATGGTCCCCTCATCAAGGGGGCTTATCTATATACGTCATTCAGAATTCTTTTTTTTTTTAAGATGGAATCTTGCTCCGTCGCCCGGGCTGGAGTGCAGTGGCACAACCTCGGCTCACTGCAGCCTCCGCCTCTGGGTTCAAGCGATTCTTTTTCCTCAGCCTCCCGAGTAGCTGGGATTACAGGCGTGCGCCACCACACCCAACTAATTTTTGTATTTTTAGTCGAGACAGAGTTTCGCCATGTCGGCCATGCTGGTCTCAAACTCCTGACCTCGTGATCCGCCCTCCTCGGCCCCCCGAAGTGCTGGGATTACAAGCGTGAGCCACTGCGCCCGGCCTGGAATTCTTCTGTGTAGATTTGTCTCTTCCTTGCGTTAATTCTGTTACCCCGTCATTGATATCACTGTAGACTCATGGGTGCTGATTTTACACGCTGGTTGTAATTCGTCACTGCTTTAATTTCTTGGTCACCCCGTCCCAGTCTGGCCACTGGGAGCTGTCCTTTGCCCTGGCTCCTTCAACACCCCTTCTTCGGTGCTTTCGTTGTTGCTCTTGTGAGTTTCTGATCACTTTCTCACATTCGGGCACTGCACGATGCTGCAGGCTCACCCCGTGTGTTTCCTTACCCAGCCCTAGAACTGGCCATTTCTCCAAGGAGCCCTGGTTTCTTTGTTAGGAGGATGGTGTTAGACACTGAGCTCTGGGTCCCATTGTGCTCCTTGCTCTGGGGGGACAGTGATCTTTTTAAAGTACGAAGCCCATGGTGTCACTGCCGGCTTAAGACTCTTAGCTTTTCCTGTCACTTTGTTTGCTCAGCTTAACGTGTTTTCCGTGCACCTGCTCTGTGCACTGCCGGTGGGCGTGTGAATTGACAGGCCTCCTTTGGAGGCTGTTTCTCTGGGTTTACTGAAGTGGCACAGTCCACACCGAGAGGGGCAGAGGCCGCTGACATCTGGAGCTGTCCTGGCTCTGCTGGCCGGGCCTCAGTGTTCCCTTGTGGACCACACATGATTTACCCGTGTCATACACAGGC